>NC_000003.12:113705574-114008604 GCF_000001405.40 Homo sapiens | reverse complement strand
TATAAAGTCAATCCTGTCGGCTTCTTCTTTTATCACTGCTCTTGTCATGTTTAGAAAACCTTGTGGAGAAGAGCTTCTACCCCCTCACCTCCACCCTCCACATAATGCTGTTAAGTACTTAATTCAGACATGTGAAATTAAATTGTGCACTAGAGGGTCCCCAGCCTTGCTTTTTACCCTGATTATTGCTAGCAAGTAGGCTAGTTTTAATTTAAGCTTATTCTCTGAGCAAGGGGGGATCAGGAAGATGCTTGTTGGGACTTATGTGTAACATTTTGGTCCCTTCCCCTAGGCAATGTATCTACCTTTATGGCAGATAATTTTGTCTCCATTGAGACCCAAGACAGACTTCTATCTTAAGAAAGAGCTGTATGGAACCTTTTACCTTACAAAGTGCCACTGTTCTTAAATGAAAAAAAAAAAAAAGTCAGCAGAAAGTATTTTTTACCTGTGCAAAACAGAAAAATTACTATATATATGTAGTAATTTATATATAGTAATATATATAGTAATTTATATATATAGTAATATATATAGTAATTTATATATATAGTAATATATATATAGTAATTTATATATATTTAGACTCAAGGGAACAAAAGACTCCAAATCTCTGAAATCAAGAACAAAAGACTTTATCAAGAAAGGACAGTATTGTTAAAAATGGAGCAAATGATAATAGAGGGCTACAATAGACCCTGTAGAGACTAAGTAAACTAATCTTTTTCCAGCGTGTACAGCAAAACATGACCAAGTGAAAATATAAAATCTTTAGTTAGATGCTCATTAATTATACAGTCATAGGAACTCATGTACTAAGAACACACAAACTGTACCTTGAATTTTTCCAAAATTATCAGTTAGCTAATAGGTGATTTTCTCTAATTAAGTCAGACCATTCACTCCTGCTCTATTAAGTACTATCTGTACCACTAAGCTTTTCCTTCATGTTCTTTATTTTCATGTTAAAAAGTTACCATGATCCAAAAGAAACCCTGTCGCTTTACTCAGGGCTTTGACACAGTCTTGCTAGGTTAATAAGGTGTCATTACCACCAAGTTTAAAAGAACCTAAAACATATACCCTGCTTGATATAAATTGCTTAAGCAGGTGTTCTCATGAATAAGTGTTCACTGACATTACTGAAATAAAAGGTTACTTTTAAAAGTGTTTAACATGTCAGAGTTTCCATATATCACATCTTTCATTTCAGTTGAGTCTATGGAAAGCATTTCTATAATCGTGAAAAATATTTTTGAGTCCCTAAGGATGGGGTCCTGTTAGAACAAGAAGCTTCTGATATTTAGATAGCTCATAGCATTTTTCTCTTTAAGCCATTGCAGATGGCAGAATCAAAAACTTAGACCTTAGAACATGGACTCAAACCATTCTAGAAGAGACACTTTAATATGACATTATTTTGGCCAAGATAGCTGTTTCTAAATAAAAATTCTTGTTTCCTTCCCCTCTGTATAGAACTTGTAATTGAGTATGGTACCTCAGTCTATTAAATGGGATTTATGTAATAAAGCTTTGAAAACTAGTGATATGCTAATACAAAATATTATTAGGTAACATTATTCTTATGTAATGCAGATATTTGCCCAGTGATCCTGAGCTTCCAAATATTTCCCACCCATAGATAGTTTGTAATGCAGATATTTGCCCAGTGATCCTGAGCTTCCAAATATTTCCCACCCATAGATAGTTCAGGAATAGCTGGAAACGGTTAGCTAGGCTTTAACGGGACCTTGATGCTGAAATAACTAAATATCCTATACTATGGCATATGATTAATTTACTAGTGTCAGGAGAGGCATTGAAAGAAAAGAGATATATTATTCATTTGTAAAGATATTCTTTGGTTTTCAGACATTCTCGAGAAAGAATATATCCTTTGCCACAACATCTTCAAATTTCCACTAAAATTCAGAGTCAATTTATGCATATTAAATTCATGTTTTTTATATATAAAATATATATATTTATATATATATATATATATATATATATATATCTGGAGTAACCTTGCCTAATTCACAAATGAACTGTCCAAATTAGAAATTTATAAGAGAAGATTTTTGCTATTACGAATGTCCTGGCCCATGGCAATGGTTCATACAGCTGTAGCCACTCTCCCAGTTTTCTTTTTTTTTGAGCCAGGGTCTCGCTGTGTTGCCCAGGCTGGAGTTCAGTAGCACAATCTCAGCCCACTGCAACCTCCACTTCCCAGGTTCAAGCGATTCTCCTGCATCAGCCTCCTGAGTAGCTGGGATTACAGGTGCGTACCACCATGCCTGGCCAACTTTTGTACCTTTAGTAGAGACAGGGTTTCACCATGTTGGCCAGGCTGATCTCAATCTCCTGACCTTAAGTCATCTGCCCATCTCGGCCTCCCAACGTGCTGGGATTACAGGCATGAGCCACCACAGCCGGCCACTCTCCCAGTTTTCATGGTGAGCAGCAATGCATGTTTTAAGAGTGGTGGCCTCTGAGGTAGCCAGGCCAGGAGCACAGACCACCTTTACCTGCAATACATGGCAGTTGTGCCATTAAACAAAACAATACTGACCTCATAAATGTTGGATTTCATCAGCACAGTCCTTTAAATAGTTGAGCTATAACATGTTTCTCTCTCTCAGGAGACTGCTGTGCCCCCTTTGTGGGAAAAGCCTCCCTTGGGAAGCAGTGGTTGTATGCTCAGTCCTCCCCTGGGAAGAACAACAACAGGCAACTTGCAGGGTTCCCTTCAGAATGTCTCTCTGAGTGCACCTGGCAATAAGCAGCACAAGACCCTGGGTGCTGAACCCTCTCAACAGCCTGGCAGCAACGAGACACTCAGAACTACCAGCCAGAAAGCAGAACCGCTTTGCTTGGGTCATTTCCACAACCGCCATGTCTTCCAGCAACAGCTGATTGAGAAGCAAAAGAAGAAACTTCAGGAACAGCAGAAAACAATTCTCGAGCTGAAGAAAAACCTGCAGCTGGCAGAGGCTCAGTGGGCAGCAGAGCATGCCTTAGCAGTCACAGAAGCACAGAGCCACCTGCTGTCAAAGCCCAGAGAAGAGGAACCAAGAACCTGCCAGATGCTTGTGAAGTATGTCTGTTCTATCAGAACTCGCTGGACTCATTTTAAGGGGTTTTTCACTTTGGGCTCCTGAGCTTCTTTGCCCTGCTTCTGAGCCCCATGATTGTTCCTTTTCCTTGATTTTGCACTCTCAAAGCAAAGAAGCCTAGTTATGACTAGTATATGACAGGCACAGATAGTCAAGGATGCCTGTAAGGATCCAGTTATACTGTTAGCATTTGGGTCACGGCTGCCTTTGAGGATCTCTGTTACTATGCCAGTTAAAGAGAAAAATGCTGTCTTGCTCTATTTCTGGGTTTCTAGCTATGTTAAGTGCTGAGAAGCCAAGTCAGACAACATCAGGTCCACATGGAGCAGCCCCTGGGCTGGCTTATTTCCTAGCTTAAATTTGTAGTTGTTAGGGATAAAACAAAACATCTTTGAGCCTCAAATAAGAGCCCAAGTTTCTCAAAAGCCACGTAAGATGGTTTCAGTTGTGCTTGAGACATACTCATTGCATGTGGTAAATGGTAGGATAAGATGTGGTGACACCTATGGATTTGAAGCATTAGGATGGGAGTCACAGTACCTGACTCACTGTGTAGACTCATGCCGATCACACAACCTTTCCATACCTCATTACACATATTTATGGAGTGGATATAATATGTAGTTATCTCAGAGAGTAGGGATTCATTAAGGTCTGTAAAAGGCTTTGAGCATCTCAGGTCAAAGGAGTTTGAAGGAAACTGGTTAGTAGTCTAAATTCCTTTCCTTTATTTTTTCCCTAGTTCACCTGTTGCTTCCCCTGGGACTGAAGGCAGAAGTGACTCCCGAAATTCTCTTTCTGGACTCAGAAGGAAACCAAAGCAATTGATGACACCGCATCCCATACTAAAAGGCAGGGCTGTCTCGGTGGTGGCCTTGGTGGTTGTTATCTTCTCTCCTAGAGTAGAATGTGTACACTGGGACTGAATTCTGGCAACTCTTGAGGTTTTGAGACTTGGCAGAACCTGACATCAAAAATCTCAGAATGGTAGACATGTGAGGAGTGGAGTACACCAGAGAGCCCCACTACTTTTTTCCTGCCCCTTTTGCCAACCTTTTTGGCATTCCCAGCCAACACACACACAAAAAAACATAGCTGAAAGGTATATCATTTTTCTGTAATTTGAGATTTGGATTGTGAAAAAAAAAGGAATAATTACACAAATGAGAAAACTCTGAGTAACTGCCAAGGACAAACACTGATAAAGGACACCTGTCATTGTACTTTGTTAATGTTCAAATTTGATCAGTTTACAGTAATCCAAGATAAGTTATTATTTTATAATATTATAACTTGTTGATAGGATTTTAGTAATAAAACCTACAAACCAGATATGTTAATTTGATAACATTTTTGATGCATCTAGAAACATTTATTTATTTGGTACAGGCAGGGTCTTCCTGTGTTGCCCAGGCTGGTCTCAAACTCCTGGCCTCAAGGAGTCCTCCCACCTCAACATCCCTAGGTGTTGGGATTATAGGCATGAACCACTGCACCTGGCCAGAAACCCTTATTTAAACTAAACTATACGAATAGAAGCATTCTTCAGAACCCACCTAGTGAATCTGCTAATTGTTTTTACTATATGCTTAGTCCTTCACTGTACTTATGTTTGCATGTGGTGGTTGGCACTTTGACAATTATATTGTGGTTTGTAAATTTGATTTTTTACCTGTGACAAGATTGCTGGTTTAACAAGAAGTAATTACAAATGAAAGACACTGTGCCTGCAGTCAATTCCTATTAATGAAGAAATTGGCAGTCTTTGCATTAACTATCTGCCAGGACAGCAATTTATGCTGTCTTTGCCTATCATTAAGCTTGGTCAGTAAATACCCAGTTAAGTATGATTATTTTTTTAAAATTATTGTTTGGTCAAGGAGTTAGCTATTTTAGAAGCCCAGTCTACTTTCAAGTAGTCTTTTGATGATTAGATCTAGAAAAGATGGGCAAAGGGCATATTACCAGAGACTCTGCTTCTTAGGGGTCTCTTACTTTAATCCCCTAGTCTATTTCTGCCTTCTTAGAGACAATTTCACTCTCGCCATCTGTGGCACTACCATTCTTTTTCAGCAAAGCAGACACTTAATAACTGTAAGAAATAGCCTGGTGAGTTTTTTGTTTATTAATTCTTAAAACTTGGACTTAAATTCTTTTCTCTAAAATATGGCACAAGGAACTGAAAGTAACTATTGGCTGGCTTAGGTGAGCAGAACTTGATACTCCTCCCATCCATGCCCCTCTTCCTATGAAAGCCCCAACTGATTATAGAGTCATATTATCAGACCATCTTGCACATTTGTTTCTTTTGGATCGATATTTAATAGCCTGTCAAGAACAGGAGTCTGACACTCAAATTCATTCAGATGCCAGTTCTCCAAATGCCTGGTACAATTCCATTTCCTGCCCATCTGTATATCCAGGCCTTAAAACTAGATTCAAATATATTCATCGTGACCCCAAACTTTAGTTTGTTTGTTGTTATTCTTATATATACAGACATATGTACAGTGACTTAAGAAAAATTAGCAGATTCAATAGGATTTGAGGAACGATTCTACTCTCAAAGTACTTGTTAGATGTAATTAAAGTTTTCTGCATTCATCAAACATATAATCAAATTAGAATTCTGGTTTCTGGGTTTCATATACTAAAAGTATCATCAAGGCACATTATAAATCAGTAAACAATTATTTTAATAAAAATGTAAACAAAATAATTAATTTATAAATTGTTCCTCATTGCTGAGGATGGGATAATAGGTCTTTAACCTGTAGAGTATATAAGTTCTGTTTATCTCTATATATTTTCTGAGATTGTGAACATTCAACTTACAAGAAAACCCTAATAATAACACTAAATTTTACTATGAAATGGAGACATTTCTCTTGCAGTATTCCTCATATTTTTTCAATATAAAAAATATTAGAACTCTGTTACTATTTTCTAGCTATGGAAGAGAGAGCAATTCAACGAGCTGAATGTAGGCGGATCTTGGCAGAGAAGAAGAAAAAACAAGAAGAAGAAAAATTGGTAATAGATTCAAAATGCAAACTGAGTCAAAAAAGAAGGATTTGTCCAGGTCTTTCTTAAAAAATGAAACCTTGCTTTTTCAGAACTCCTGAGACAATAGAGTTACATCAACTTTGGAAATGGTTTTTTGGCCTAGTGGCCTGAATTCCGTGACAATTTTAGGAAAATAAGGGGGACAGAAACATCAACATCATTAACACAGCAGGAAGAAAATGTTATGAAAGTTGATGAGAGTCAGCAGATTAGAAGATTTACACATAACCAAGATTAGTGTATTATAGGTAGATGTCTGACCTACTGAATTTGCAAAGAGGGATAGTTCTTATTTTCCAAAGTTTTGACCTAGACTATCCAAAGTAAATTTTGTAACTACCAAGAAAAAATAAACAGTTCCAACAATTGGGGGTTTTCTGGTGAAATGAAAGAAAACCTTTTTCCCCCTAAACTGTTTCTAACTTGGAGTTAGTTTTTCACAGATGACAGTAAGAACTAAAAAGTAATCATTTTTTAATGAAAGATTGGTGATCTTATTTATGATCAGTCTTACCTTCCCAAGTAGAAAAGGATTCTTTTGGAGAAACTTTTAAGTTACGTAACTGATGACAGGTTGATTGAGTTTTCTACTTTTATCACAAAATGCAGACTTCTTCCAGAGATAGGACAGGCACTTTGGTAGACGCTTGACTATCCTAAACATAAAAGATCACATTTCTGTTCAAATTGAGGGTTCTGATATTTCTGGGTTCTAATCTCAATCAGGCCCAGTTAAAGGCCCAAGAGGAGGAACGTCAGAAAAGGGAGGCAGAAGAAAAGGAGGCACAGCTTGAAAGAAAACGAGAAGAGAAGAGACTGAAGAAAATGGTTAGTATTGTCTATTTGGTCAGTCCCTGTATCTTGAGGTTTGCTGTGTGTGATACTGTGGCCCTATCCACCTTCTTTAACCCAGAACTTCTATCTGGAATACTCTTCTCTCACCCTCACTTCTTTTCTCTATCTTACTTAGTGAAAAGCTACTCATTCTTCAGATTTCAGCTAAAACAGAACTTTGTCCAGATTAGCCTTTCCTGCCCTGCCCACCCTCCTCTCCACTCAGAATTAGGTTGGGTCCCCCTTTGTGGACTCTCATCAAGTATCTTCCCTTCAGAACATTATTGACAGTTATCATTGTGCATTTGTTTTATGGCTGTTTTATTCATTTCTACATCCCCAACTAAACTGTGATCTCCATAAGGGTTAAGGGAACAGTCTGATGTTGTTCACTATTGTATTGGCACCCAGCAGATATGTGTTTAATGAGTGAATAAATGAATGAACAAATGGAAGAAGAAGTGATAATACACAAAGAAATAATAATACACACAGAAGAAATAAGAGAAAAAGCTCTTACTCTAAGGTTATTAAATTCTGCTTGGGAAGATAAGGCCTAAAAATACAAACGTGTCAGAGACACTGTAGTAGAGTATTTGACATCATGTGCTACATAGACGAAAAGAGATCAAGGGGCCAGACATTGTGGCTCACACCTGTAATCCCAGAACTTTTGGGAGGCTGAGGTGGGAGGATTGCTTGAGCCCAGGAGTTTGAGACTAGCCTGGGCAAGATGTTAAGACCCTGCCTCGATAAAAAAAAAATTTTAATCATCTGGGCGCAGTGACACCTGCCTATAATCACCAGCTACTTGGGAGGCTAAGGCAGGAGGAATCCTTGAGCCCAGGAGTTCGAGGCAGCAGTGAGCTGTCATTGTGCCACTGAGCTCCAACCCGGGCAGCAAAGTAAGACCATCTCTAAGAAAAAAAAAGAGAGAGAGAGAGATCAAGAAAGTCATATAAGGTATGTTTCATGAAGAATTTGGAGAAATTAGAAGTATTTTCATGAAAAGGAAATTTGAATGGAGAATTGTATTAGTCAGGATTCTCCAGAAAAAGAGAACCAGTAGGACATATAGACAGAGGGAGACTTATTTTGAGAAATTGGCTCACGCAATTATGGAAGCTGAGAAGTCTCATGATCTGCCATCTGCCATCTGGAGACCCAAGAAACCCAGTGGTGTAATTCCAGTTCAAGTCTGAAGGCTCAGAATCAGGGGAGTTGATGGCATAAATCTCAGTCAAAGAGCAAGAGAAGACCAATATCCCAGCTCCAGATGGGAGGCAGGAAGCAAAAAGGGGCAAATTCTTCCTTCCTCCTCCTTTTTGAAAGTTCTATTCAGGCTCTCAGCAGATTGGATGATGCCCACCAACATTAGTGAGGGCAATCTACTTTACTAAGGCCACCAACTCAAATGCTAATCTTATCGAGAGACATCCTTAAAGACACATCCAAAAATAATGTTTAATCTAGCACCCCATGGTATAGTCAAGTTGACACATAAAATTAGCCATCACAAGTCCACCCCTTGTCAACATGGCACCCATGCACATCTCCTTAAACCGTAGTTAATCTGCAAATAAAGACAATAGCACGATCATAATTCCACCTAACATGATACAACTATCCAGCATACAACTAAAAACATACTAAACCATTCCTCAGAAGAGGAGGTAAAGTCCTTGTGTGATGTTTACTCTTCTCCATGATATCCCATAACTTAAATACTTAAATAACTTAAATAGCATAAATGATATAATATTAGTAACTTAAATACTGTGATAGAAAGTTACAGTATAAAAGAATAAGAGGAAAGAAAATGCACAAATGTATTCATAGCAAAATAAGGAGAAAATACTCATGACACAGTTTTTGTTTCTACAACTGGTTACATGGTCGTAACTGGTATTTATAAATACCTTCTTCCACTACCCCTCCATATTCCCCTTGCCTTCAGCAAGCACCTCAGCTGCTTGTGATTCTCTACCCAACAGGTGACCCAAACCTTCATTCCTAAAGTCACAGCAACATTCATAGTCCTGCCTGGATTAGGTTGTAGTTTTCCATTTACTCTAATTACAGGACAATGTTAATACTAAGAGACACCCTAACAAATCTCCTGTATTCCAAATGTATTCTTCCTTACCTTCATGTAGAGTAGTAGTTCAGTTTCCCCTTGGCAGGAAGGATCAGTCACCCCAAGCTAGCCTCATAACTCCCTTCTTTGCCATCGATTCAGTGGCACAAGGAGCCGAAAGTGGCCAGGTAGCAGTCAACTTGCAGTTAAGTGGAATCATTATGTCTCTTGGTGAAAGCATTCTTCCCTCTGGAACTAAGACCTCTAGGCTAGTAAAGCATAAAGTCATGGGAACAGGAAGCCAAAATTTTGCTAGTGGTATTACTAGGGGTAATAGTGTACCATTCTCATTTCCATCCCTTGATTCCTGGGCCCTTGAATCCTGGCTATCAGAGAAACCATGCCATGTATTGGATACTGATTAAGAGCATGTACGGACTTCTGAAGAACCTTCCCCAGCCCTGCAAGGTATTGCCACCTAGCTGGTGCTATAACTAAGTCTTCAAAGGGCTATTCCATTGTTCGATCAATCCACCTGGTTCTGGATGGTAGGGAACATAGTAAGGCCAGTGAATTCCGTGAGCATGGGCCCATTGCTATACTTCTTTGCTGTGAAGTGAGTTCTTTGGTCAGAAGCAACGGTGTGTGGAATACTATGACAGTAGATAAGGTGAATCTGTAAGTCCACAGATGGTGGTTTTAGTAGAATCACTGCATGCAGGGAAAGCAAATCCATATCTAGATAGAGTGTCTGTTCCAGTGAGAACAAAATATAACCCCTTCCTTAATGGAAGCAGCTCACTGTAATTAACCTGCCACCGGGTAGCTTCCTGATCACCCTGGGGAATGGTGCCACATCAGGGACTCATTGTTAGTCTCTGCTGCTGGCAGATTGGGTACTCGGCAGTGCCTTTAGTCAGGTCAGCTGGTGAGTGGAAGTCCATGTTGCTGAGCCCATGCATAACCTCTGTTTCTGCCACCATGGCCATTTTGTTTATGAGCCCATTGGGCGATCTCAGGAGGTCAGGATCATCAGTATCACAGTCTTCCACCTCCACAGTTTGTTCCACTGAAAGGTCTTCAAGGGCAATAACACCGGTGGAGCTGTCATCTCCTATGATAGCGATGCTTTCTTCTTGAATACCTCTTGAAGGACCTGCCTGAGGCTGTTTTATAGTTAACTTTTTTTTTTTTTTTTTTTTTTTGAAGCAGAGTTTCACTCTTGTTGCCCAGGCTGGTGTGCAATGGTGCGATCTCGGCTCACTGCAACTTCCGCCTCCCGGGTTCAAGTGATTCTCCTTCCTCAGCCTCCCGAGTAGCTGGGATTACAGTCATGCACCACCACGCCTGGCTAATTTTTGTATTTTTAGTAGAGACCAGGTTTCTCTATGTGGGTCAGGCTAGTCTCGAACTCCTGAACTCAGGTGATCCGCCTGCCTCGGCCTCCCAAAGTGCTGGGATTATAGGCATGAGCCACCACGCCCAGCCAACTTTTTTTTTTTTAATTAAGGAGTACAATCTAAAATAATGATAAAAAGTATAGTGTCATTCTCAAGTATTATGTAGTTCACATAATTATATATGCTATACTTGTATATGACTGGCAACACAGTAAGTTTGTTCATACTAGCTTTACCACAACTGCTTGAGTAATGTGTGGCACTATGAATTAGAATAACCACAGTATCACTGGGCAATAGGAATTTTTCAGCTCCATTATAACCTCATAGGGCCACCTTGGTACATTCAGTCTTTCATTGACCCAAACATCATTATGTAGCATATGACTGTATATGTATTTTATACTTTGGGTTATTAAAAATACTGTGTTATTTATTTTGTTGCTCAAATTGTTTCAGCTTTGGCCACTGGGAGCTCTTTAAGGTTGGCTCCTATTGTCCCTTTGACATGCCCCCATTATTTTGTGTTTTTTGGGCACTTTACTTTCTGATGCTATTCATCTTTTATTTTTTCATTGCCCTGCCCTCATGAATAAGCCATTTCTCTGAGGGTTCTTAGTTATAAATGGTATTTGGAAAGCAAGATCTAAGTACTGAGGGTCTAATTGCTACTGGGTGTCACTAATTCTAGGACCTTGGCAGTTGGAGGTAGGTAATATATGTATGCTATGCTATGTATACACACCTATCTGTAATCATTCTGAATCTATCCATCTGTGTGTGTATATGTACATATATGTATGTGAAACTCTACCTAAATATGAGTTCATACTGATGTTTCTGGCTCTAATCCAGCACTAGAGGGTTTATCCTATGCTTCCCTTCTTGCTTATTTGTAAATGCCCTCTGACAGCATGAAACCTGGCTCCCACAATTCATCTGTTTACTTATTTGTTCAACCCCAGGATAGATGTAAAGCAGTTTCAGAACTGATTACCCAAACCCCAACGAGAAAAAAATTACCAAATACAGTACAGTGTTAATGTACAGTTCCATTTATCTTTAACCTTATGTTTTCCAATTAAAATCTGGGATACATATGCAGAGCATGCAGGTTTGTTACATAGGTATACATGTGCCATGGTGGTTTGCTGCACCTGTCAACCCATCATCTAGGTTTTAAGCCTGGCATGCATTAGGTATTTGTCCTAATGCTCTCCCTCCCCTTGCCCCCCACCCCCCAGCAGGCCCCAGTGTGTGTTGTTCCTCTCCCTGTGTCCATGTGTTCTCATTGTTCAACTCCCACTTATGAGTGAGAACATGCAGTTTTTGGTTTTCTGTTCCTGTATTAGTTTGCTGAGTATGATGGCTTCCAGCTTCATCCATGTCCCTGCAAAGGACATAATCTCATTCTTTCTTATGGCTGCATAGCATTCCATGGTGTATATGTACCACATTTTCTTTATCCAATCTATCATTGATGGGTATTTGTGTTGGTTCCAAGTCTTTGCTATTGTAAATAGTGCTGCAATAAATATACATGCGCATGAGTCTTTAGCTGGAGGCATCATCCTATTTGACTTCAAACTATACTACAAGGCTACAGTAACCAAAAGAGCATGGTACTGGTACTAAAACAGACATGTAGACTAATGGAACAGAACGGAGACCTCAGAAGTAACACCACACATCTACAACCATCTGATCTTTAACAAACCTGATAAAAACAAGCAATGGGGAAAGGATTCCCTATTTAATAAATGGTGCTGGGAAAACTGGCTAGCCTATGCAGAAAACTGAAACTGGACCCCTTCCTTACACCTTATACAAAAATTAACTCAAGATGGATTAAAGATTTAAATGTAAAACCCAAAACCATAAAAACCCTAGAAGAAAATTTAGGCAATACCATTCAGGACATAGGCATGGGCAAAGACACCAATAGCAATTGCAACAAAAGCCAGAATTGACAAATGGGATCTAATTAAACTAAAGAGCTTCTGCACAGCAAAAGAAACTATCATAAAAGTGAATAGGAACCTACAGAAAGGGAGAAAATTTTTGCAATCTATCCATCTGACAAAGGTCTAATATCCAGAATCTATAAAGAATTTAAATGTATAAAAAAAAAAAGAAACAGTCCCATCAAAAAGTGGGCAAAGGATATGAACAGACACTTCTCAAAATAAGACATTTACGCAGCCAAAAAACATATGAGAAAAAAGCTCATCATCACTGATCATTAGAGAAATGCAAATCAAAACCACAATGAGATTCTATCTCACACTAGTCAGAATAGCGATTAGTAAAAAGTCAAGAAACAAAAGATGCTGGTGAGGCTGTGGAGAAATTAGGAACACTTTTACACTGATGGTGGGACTGTAAACTAGTTCAACCATTGTGGAAGACAGTGGTGATTCCTCAAGGATCTAGAACCAGAAATACCATTTGACCCAGCAGTCCCATTACTAGGTATATACCCAAAGCGATACAAATCATTCTACTAAAATAAGTTTTAAGTTACTTAGGTCAGCTCCTATTTTTCCCTAGGTCAGCACCTATTTTCCCCAGCTCCTTGAGTACAGTTTTGTCATTTGTTTTTAATACAATCAGATTCATTTGTCACAGGGTACATTCCATCCTGGAATCCCTGACATTCTGGTTGATTTTGTTGTTTTTCTACTTTAAAGTTCACTCTTGGTAATGTACAGTGCTATGGCTTTTAACAAATGCAGAGTATTATAAAAAGCAGTTCCTTCATGTTACAACTTCCTCTGTATACCCCTCATTTTTTAATTTTTATAGATTTAGGGGGTATAAATGCGGTTTTGTTACATGGATATATTGTGGAGTGCTGAAGTCTGGGCTTTAGTGTACCCATCACTCAAATAGTGAACATTGTACCCAGTGGGACATCCGCCAGCCCCTAACCCCTGGCAAACACGGATTTGTTTTCTATCCCTATGTGTTTTGCCTTTTTCAGAAGTCATAACAGTGGATTCATACAGTGTTACTTTTTTCACTTAGTAAAATGCATTTATGATTCATCCATTTTGCTGCAGGAGTCAAAAGCTCGGTCCTTTTTATCATCAAATAGTATTCCAATAGAACTTCATCTGCATATGCAAGTTATCTATTCCTCTATTGATACTGCTTCCAGTTTCTGGCAATTATTAGTAAAGTTGCTAGAAACATTTACATACAGGTTTTTGTTTGGACTCATAAGTTTTCAGTTCAGTCAGGTGTTCACACCTGTAATCCCAGCACTTTGGAAGGCTGAGATGGGAGGATTTCTTGAGCCCAAAAGTTGATACCAGCCTGGGCAACATAGTGAGACCTTGTCTCTACAAAATAAAAGAAATTAGCCGGGTGTGGTGACATGCACCTGTAGTCCCAGCTACTTGGGAGGCTGAGGTGGGAGGATCGCTTGAGCTCAGGAGTTCGAAGTTGCAGTGAGCTATTATTTTGCTACTGCACTCCAGCCTCAGTGACAAAGCAAGACCCTGTTTCTAAAAAAAAAAAAAAAAAAAAGAATTTAGTTTTTTAAGTTTTCAATTCACTTAGGTAAATACCTAGGAATGTGATTGCTAGGTAGTGTGGTAAGTCAATGTTTAAGTTTATAGGTAATTGCCAAATTCTATTCCAAAGAGGCTGCACCATTTTGTGTTCCTACCAGTGATAAATGAAAGGTCTTTTTGTTGCACATCCTCATCAGCATTTGTTATTGTCAGTTAGGGGGGTTTAATATGTTCTAATAGGTGTGTAGTAATATATCATTGTGGTGTTTATTTGCGTTTCCCTAACAACAAATAATGCTAAGAATCCTTTCATATCTTTACTTGATATCCATATATCTTCTATGATGAAGTATCTGTTCAGATCTTTTGTCCATTTTTTGTTTACTTATTGTTGGGTTTTAAAAGTTCTTCATATATTCTGGACCAAGTCCTTTTTAGATATGTGATTTGCAAATATTTTCTCCCAGTCTAAGGCTTGTACTTTAATTCACTTAACAATGTCATTCACAGAGGAAAGTGTTAAATTTTAATAAAGTCAACCTTATCACTTTTTTCTTTCATGGATTGTGCTGTTGGTGTTGTATCCAGAACTAATCACCAAACTCAAAGTCATTCAGATTTTCAGTTTTTCCTTCACAAAGTTTTACATTTTACATTTAGGTCTGTGGTCTATTTGGAGTTAATTTTTTTTTCTTTTCTTTTTTTTTCTCTGAGACAGGGTCTCACTGTCACCCAGGCTGGAGTGCAGTGGCACGATCTCGGCTCACTGCAACCTCCACCTCCCAGGCTCAAGCGATTCTCCCACCTCAGCCTTCCAAGTAGCTGAGACTACAGGCACACACCACCATGCCCAGCTAATTTTTGTATTTTTAGTAGAGACGTGGTTTCACCAGGTTGTCCAGGCTGGTCTCAAACTCCTGACCTCAAGTGATCCACCCACCTCAGCCTGCCAAAGTGCAGTATTGGGATTACAGGCATGAGCCACCATGCCCAGCCCATTTGGAGTTAATTTTAATGTAAGTTGTGAGGTATGCTGTAATTTATTTTTTATATGGACGTTCAGTTGTTCCAGTATCATTTGTTTAGAAGACTATCTTTTCTCCATTAAATTATTTTTATATATTTGCCAAAAATCAGTTGACCATATTGTGTGGATCTATTTCTGGGCTCTCTGTTCTTTTCTGTTGTTACTTTATGTCTATTCCTTTGCAAGTAATACTGTCTTTGATTACTGTAGCTTTATAGGCATTGTGAATTCTGCTACTCTATTTTTCTTCTTCAGAATGTTTTGGCTATTCTAGTTCATTTGACTTTCCATATGAATCATAGAGTCTGGGTGTCACTATGTTACCCAGGGTGGTCTCAAACTCCTGGGCTCAAGTGATCCTCCTGCCTCAGCCTCTCAAAATGCTGGATTACAGGCGTGAGCCACCACACCTGGGTCACAGGGGTGACCCAGCCTACTGAAATTTTTTTTTATCATGCAAGGGTGTTGAGTTTTGTCACATGCTTTTCTGCATCTGTTGAGATGATCATATTACTTTTATCCTTCATTCTGTTAATATGGTGTATCACATTTATTGATCTGTGCATATTGAACCATCCTTGCATCCCAGGGATAACTCCCACTTGATCATAGTGTATTATCCTTTGAATGTGCTCTTGAATTTAGTTTGCTACTATTTTGTTCAGGATTTTTGCATTTATGTTCATCAGGTATGTTGGCCTATAATTTTTTTTGTAGTATCCTTGTCTGCCTGTAGTATCAGGGGAATGCTGGCCTCATAAAATGAGTGTGGAAGTGTTCCTTTCTCTTCAGTTTTGTTGGAAGAGTTTGAAAAGAATTGGCATTAATTCTTTTTTTTTATTATACTTTAAGTTTTAGGGTACGTGTGCACAACGTGCAGGTTTGTTACATATGTATACATGTGCCATGTTGGTATGCTGCACCCATTAACTCGTCATTTAGCATTAGGTATATCTACTAATGCTATCCCTTCCCCCTCCCCCCATCCCACAACAGTCCCCGTTTAAATGTTTGATACAATTCACCAATGAAGTCCTGGGTTTTTCTTTGTTAGATTTTTAAATTACTCATTCAATCTCCTTATTTGTTTATTGGTTATAGGGTCTGTGGCCTTTGTTCATTTGGTTGTTTATTGGTTAGTAGGGTCTGTGGCCTTTCTTCCCTGTTCCCAGCCTCCTCGAACCACTCAGCTGTGCTGATTACCTCAGTAATCTGGGTAAGGTAAGAAAGAAGTGGGCCTCTTGGGCAGCAGCCTACACAGCTGAGGGAGCTGAATGCTTACTCACTCTCCTCTCACTTTCCTCCGTGGGAGGAATCACAGGCTGTGGGGGTCTCTCTTGGCATTGAACTATGCTGCCTTGGGGGAGGGGTGACCTAGATAAAGTGAAACTATTCTTACCTTCTTCAGTGTGTCCAGTGATGTGCTGGAACTTCACTGCTGGACTTCTGGACTTCCACAAAGTACTCTCATCCATGGGTACTTGTCAAAATCAGTGCTTCTGCGGGGATATGATGGTAGAAAGCTGCTATTCCACCATCTTGCTAATGTCTTTTCTCTATTTATATCTTTGATTTCTTTCATCATTGTTTTTATAGCTTTCCTCACATCTCACATTTTGTTAGATTTGTACCTAACTACTGCATTTTTGGGGCACTATTATAAATGTTTTTTTTAAACTTTCATATTCCATTTATTCATTGCTAATATGGGAACATAATTCATTTTAGTATGTTGGTGTTGTATCCTGCAATCTTGCTAAACTCACTTTTTGGTTCCAGAAGTACTTTTGTAAATTATTTGGAATAGTCTAGGTAAACAGGTTGTCTGCTAATAAATGCAATATTATTTCTTCCTTTCCAATCTGCATGCCTTTTACTTATTTATCTTGCCTTATCACATTAGTTAGGACTTCCAGTATGAGATGGAATAGGCATGATGAGAGAAGACATCCTTGCCTTGTTTCAGATCTAGAGGGAAAGCATTCAGTATCTCACCATTAAGTATGATGTTTGCTGTGGGTTTTCATGAATGTCTTTTATTAGATGAAGGGAATTTTCATTTATTCCTAGATTGCTGAGAGTGTTTATTACAAATTTCACTGAAAGCTTTTTCTGCATCTTTGATATGATCATGTAGTTTTCTTAATTCCTCTACTAATACGGTAAACTACATTGATTGATTTTCCAATGTAAAATTATCCTTGCCTTCCTGAGATGAACTCCACTTGGTCATGGTGTGTTATTTTTATATATTGTTAGATTTCATGTGTTGGTATTTTGTTAAGAAATTGGTTTTTGGGGGGGGGGGTTTGTTTGTTTTTCTTTTTTTTTTTTTTGGAGTCTCACTGTGTTGCCCAGGCTGGAGTGCAGTGGCGTGATCTCAGCTCACTGTAACCTCCACCTCCCGAGTTCAAGCGATTCTCCTGCCTTGGCCTCCTGAGTAGCTGGGATTAGAGGCATGCGCCACCACACCCAGCTAATTTTTGTATTTTTAGTAAAGACGGGGTTTCACCATGTTGGCCAGGTTGGCCTTGAACTTTTAACCTTGTGATCCGCCCACTTCAGTCTCCCAAAGTGCTGGGATTACAGGCATGAGCCACCACATCTGGCCTTTTTTTTTTTTTTTTTTTTTTTTGAGGTGCTTTATCACTATGTTGCGCAGGCTAGTCTTAAACACTTGGGTTCAAATTATCTTGCCTCAGCCTCCTGAGTAGCTGGGATTCTAAGCATGCACCACCACACCAGCCTGCATTTCCTTTTTTTTATATTATGTTTGTCTTGTTGTGGTATTAGGATAATGGTTAGCCTCATAAAATGGGGGAAGTATACCCTTTTTTATTTTTTGAAAGAGAGTATGTAAAGTTGGTGTTATTTCTCTCTAAAATGTTTGGTAGAATTCACTGGTGAAACCACTGGGCCTGGAGTTTTCTTTTTTTATTATTTTATATTAAATTTTTTATTTCTGTAGGTTTTGGGGGAACAGGTGGTATTTGGTTACATGAGTAAATTCTTTGGTGGGGATTTGTGAGGTTTAGGTGCACCCATCACCTGAGCAATATATACTGAACCTAATTTGTAGTCTTTTATCCCTCACCTGGAGTTTTCTTTTTTAAAGTGATTTAAAATAACATATTCTATTTCTTTAATAGATATTGAGCTATTCAGTTCTTTTTTTCTTCTTGAGTAAAACTTGGTAGTTTGTATATTTCAGGAAATTTGAGCATTTAATCTAAGTTTTCAAGTCTCTTGGAACAGAGGTCATAGTATTCTCTTATGACCTTTTTAATGTCTATGAGATCAGTATTGATGTCTTCTCTTTAAATTTTGATATTGGCAATATATATCTTCTCTTCTGGTTTACCTGGATATCAGTTTTATCAATTTTATTTCTTTTCAAAAACTAACTTTTGGTTTCACTGGTTTTCTTTGTTGTTTTCCTCTTTTCAATTTCATTGATTTCTGCTTTAATTTTTATTTCTGTCCTCCTCCTTCCTTAAGAGTTTGCTCTCTTCCTCTAGTTTCCTAAGATATAAACTTCAGTTATTGATTTCAGATCTTTCTCTTTTTCTTTCTTTCTTTAGAGACAGGGCCTTGTTCTGTTGCCCAGGCAGGAATGCAGTGGTGTGATCACAGCTCACTATAACCTCAAACTCCTGGGCTCAAGCAATCCTCTCACCTCAGCCTCCTGAGTAGCTGAGACTACAGGCATGCACCACCATGTCCAATTGATTTTTTAAATTTTTTGTAGAGATGGGGTCTCACTGTGTTGTCCAGGCTGGTCTTAATTTCCTGGGCTCAAGAGATCCTCCCACCTTGGCCTCCCAAAGTGGTAAGATTACAGGCATGAGCCACCATGCCTGGCCTCTCCTTTTCTAGTGTGTGAATTTACTGCTGTAAATTTCCCTCTAAGTACTCTTTTACTTGTATATCATATTTTGATATTTTTATCTTTACTTAGTTCAAAATATTTTTAATTTCCCTTGAGATGTCCTCATTGTCCCATGGGTTATTAAGAAGTTTATTCTTTAATTTTTAAATATTTGAGGACTTTCAGATAACTTTTTACTAGTTTAATTTCTAGTTTTAATTTCTAGTTTAAGTTCCTTATGTTCCAAGAATGTACATTGCATGAAATTGTAAAGTTTTGCTTTATGACCCAGAATATTGTCTATCTCAGTGAATGTTCCATGTGCACTTGAGAAGAATATGTATAGTACTATAGTACTCAGCTGCCATTGGTCTGCTCTAGAAATGCCAAGTCACATTGTTTGAGTATGTTTTACTGTGTCTTACGGTATCTATATCTGTATTCTTACTGATTTTGTGCCTGCTTCTATCAGTTATTGAGAGAGGACTATTGAAGTTTCTAACTAAACTTGAGACTTATTTCTCCTTTCATATCTATCTGGTTTTGCCTCATGTACTTTGAAGGTTTGTTCTTAGGTGCATGTATGTTTAAAAAGACTTACATGGCCAGGGGCAGTGGCTCACGCCTGTAATCCCAGCACTTTGGGAGGCTGAGGCAGGCAGATCATGAGGTCAGGAGATCAAGACTATCCTGGCTAACATGGTGAAACCCTGTCTCTACTAAAAAAATACAAAAATATTAGCCGGGTGTGGTGGTGGGCACCTGTAGTCCCAGCTACTTGGGAGGCTGAGACAGGAGAATGGCATGAACCCGGGAGGCGGAGCTTGCAGTGAGCCGAGATTGAGCTGCTGCACTCCAGCCTCGGTGACAGAGCGAGACTCTGTCTCAAAAAAAAAAGACTTACATATATGCCTTATAAAATTGAATGTCTTATAGACATCATATAGCTATGTCTTGATTTAGCATCTAATTTGATAATCTCATTCTTTTAACTATTATGTTTAGCCCATTAACTTTAAAGTGATTATTGATAAAACTGGATTAAAATCTTTTTTTTTTTTTTTTTTTTTTTGAGATGGAGTCTCACTCTTGTTGCCCAGGCTGGAGTGCAGTGGCGTGATCTCTGCTCACCACAACCTCTGCCTCCTGGGTTCAAGTGATTCTCCTGCCTCAGCCTTCTGAGTAGCTGGGATTACAGGCACGCACCACCACGCCTGGCTAATTTTGTATTTTTAGTAGAGACTAGGTTTTGCCATGCTGGTCAGGCTGGTCTCGAACTCCTGACCTCAGGTGATCCACCCGTCTTGGCTGGAATAGCTGGGATTAACAGGCGCCCGCCACCATGCCCGGCTAATTTTTGTATTTTTAGTAGAGATGGGGTTTCACCATCTTGACCAGGCTGGTCTCAAACTCCTGACCTCGTGCTCCACCTGCCTCAGCCTCCCAAAGTGCTGGGATTACAGGCGTGAGCCACTGCACCCGGCCACAACTGGATTAAAATCTATCATCTTGTTAGCTATTTTCTATTTGTTGTACTTATTCTTTGTTTTTCTTTTTTCCCTACCTTATCTGGTTTTAATTAAGCATCTTTATGATTCTATTTTATTGTGTTTTTTTGGAGTTTTTATACCTCTTTAAATATATATATATATATATTGAGATGGAGTCTTGCTCTGTCGCCCAGGCTGGAGTGCAGTGGCATGATCTTGGCTCACTGCAACATCCGCTTCCTGGGTTCAAGCAATTCTCCTGCCTCAGCCTCCCGAACAGCTGGGATTACAGGCACCCACCAACACGCCCGGCTAATTTTTGTATTTTTAGTAGAGATGGGGTTTCACCATCTTGACCAGGCTGGTCTCAAATTCCTGACCTCGTGATCCACCTGCCTTGGCCTCCCAAAGTGCTGGGATTACAGGCGTGAGCCACTGCACCTGGTCCTCTTTTAAAAAATATTTTTAGTGGTTACCCTAGTGTTTACATTTTTAAAATAATCTCCTTCTACCTGAGTGTCGTAGCATGTACCTGTAATCTCAGCTACTTTGGAGGCTGAGGCAGGAGGACTGCCTGAGTCCAGTAGTTTGAGACAAGCGTGGGTAACATAGCAAGACCCTATCTCAAATAATAATAATGATCTCTTTCCACCTTCAAATAACACTTTACATGTAGTGAAAGAACCTTCTATCAGTATTTCCCAGTTCCTTCCTCCCATTCCTTTTGGTATTGTTGTCATGTCATATTTTTATGTATACTATAAATAGCCAATATCTTGTTAAACTTATTGTTTGAACAATTAGTTTTCTCAGTGGAATTAAAAATAAGATGATTATATTTAACTTTATTTCTTCTGTTTCTGATGCTCTTCATTTCTTTGTGTAGAGCTAAGTTCTTAACCTATATTATATTCTTTATGCCTGAAGAACTTTCTTTACCATTTCTTATAGGGTAGATCTGCTGGCAGTGAATTCCTTCAGTTTTTATTTGTCTGAGAGTCTTTATTTTTCCTTCACTTTTAAAGTATGTTTTTTGCCGGATATAGAATTGTGGGTTGACAGGTGTTTTTTTTTTTTTTCTTTCAACACCTTAATGATGTTACTCTATTGTTTTCTTGCTTGCCTGGTTTCTCACAAGACATCTACTGTAATTCTTACCTTTCTTTCTTTGTGGGTGTCTTATTCTGTTCAGGCTGCCATAACAAAATGTCACAGACTAGGTGGATAAATAACTGAAATTTGTTTTCTCACAGTTTTAGAGGCTGCAAAGTCCAAGATCAGGGTGCCTGCATGGTTGGCTTTTGGAAAGGGGTCTTCTTGGCTTGCAGACAGCTTCTTCTCACTGTGTCCTCATACAGTCTTTCCTTGGTGCTTCTGTTTGGAGACAGAGGGGAGAGGGAGAGAGCGCATGCGAGAGAGAGCAAGCAAGCACACCACGGTATCGCTTCTTATAAGGACATTAATTCTGTCCAATTAGGGCTGCACCCTAGGACCCCATTTAACCTTCATTACTTCCTTAGTGGCCCTATGTTCAAATACAGCCACACTAGGGGTTAGGGCTTCAACACAGTAACTTTAGGGGGACACAAGCATTCAGTTCATGACAGTAGGTAATGTGGGTCTTTCCCTTTAGCTACCTTCAAGACTTTTTCTTTGTCTTTGATTTTTAGCAGTTCGAATATGATATATCTAGGTATGGTTGGTTGGTTGGTTTGGTCTTGGCTTTGGTGGTCTTAAGCTTCTTGGATATATGATTTTGTGTTTTGTTACTGATTTTGGAATATGTTTGCCCGTTATTTCTTCAAATTATTTCACTTACCCCATTCTTTTTCTTTTCCTTATGGGATTTGTTATGCCATTGTTACATTGTTTCATATTATCCCACAGCTCTCAGATGCACTATTTTGTTTTTCACTCTTTTTGCCTTTCAGTTTGTGTAATTTCCATTGCCCTATTGTCAGGTTAGCTGGTTCTTTCCTTGGCTGTATCTTCTAGCAGTAAGCTAGTTGAAGTGCCTCTTTATCTCTATTACCATGTGTTTTTTTATTTCTAGCATTTTTATTTTGAATCTTTTTTTATAGTTTCCATGTCTCTGCTAAAATTACCTATCTGATCTGGAATGATGTCTACCTTTTCCATTAGAACATTTAACATTATTTTTGGAAGTTATTTAAAATTCCCTCTCTGATAGTTCCAACATCTCTGTCATATCTGAGCCTTGTTCTGATGATTGGCTCATCTTTTCAGGGTGTATTTATTTCTTGTCTTTGGGTATGCCTTGTATTTTTTTGTTGAAGGCCAGACCTGTTGTTCAGGGCAATAGAAACTGCAACACGTTGGCCTAGAGTGTGGAGATTTGTACTAATTTAGCCGGGAATTGGGCTATGTTTGAAGCTTGTTGTTGCCGTGGTCACCATTGTTGAGGTTTGTTGCTGTATGCTGTAGACATCAGAGACTTTAATGTCTTCTAGTGACTTTGTTTTTGCTTCCTCTTTTGGTTTTGGGTCTTCCTTTTGTGCTGCTCCCCAGAGAGAATCTGTTGTTTACAGCTTTCTCAGCTGTAATCCACTATTATTATTGGAAGCTTATATAAGTGTGGTGATTGGGTGTGGACGATGGGGAGCATTCTCTGTTCTGATTAAGTCTCAGTGTTTGGAATGCACAGCTTTAAGCACTCAGATAATTTCTGTTCCCACTCCAGTGGTAGAGCTTTTTTCTGCCCCCTTTTTCCCTTTATCCGCAGTGGGTATCCACCACTGTCTCAGTCTGTGACCTTAAAGACCTTCCCTCTGGAGAATAAGGCTTCCCCAACCCCTAAGTGAGATAGGGAGGACTTGTCTGGGCAGAATCCCCTGAATCCCCTTCCCTCAGATGCAGTGCTAATCTGCCAGTGTACTGGGTTGGTTGCTAGGACAGATAAACCTTTTGTTTCCTAAGGAAGAATGCTCTGGGAAGATTTTGCAGTTGCTGCTGTGCCTCTCCCCAGCCAGAACCATGGTGCAAACTTTCTGTGGATTCTCCATGATCTTCTCTGTGAGAGCCTGGTAGCGTTCTTATAAGAAAAGCCTTCAAAGGGATGAGAAGCACCCCCATGACTGTGATCCCCAGGAGCTTCAACCTTCTCATGCTGGCCCACTCACTGTCTGCCTCCATCAGTTCACCAAAATTTCTAGTTTAATTGTCTTACTCATATGGTATCCAGTGGCTTCTGCCTCCGGTAAACAAATGCTTAGGTCCTGTGCCTCCCTGAAGATGCCTGTCTCTCCAAATTTGGGGGTAGCTTCAGATCTCTGATCAGTTCACAAAAAGTCATTAATTTGTTGCATGACCAGCTTTTTCCTTGTTGGAAGAAAACTTATGCAGAACAAGAATGGTGAAAAATACATTACTGACCAAGAGATCATTTTATTTCTCTCACTATATCAAGCCCAAACATTTTCCTTTTAGAAGCTGCAGTTCATAGCAATAGATAAGAAGATTTTGTCACATAGACTAGTTTCCATTTCATTAGTCAACTGGAGCTATCTAAATTGAGATAGGTGCATTTATAGGCTGGCTATACTTGAGTCTTCTTTGAGGACAACTTTAGATATAAAATGCACATGGCAATTGTCTTCTTTTCCTTCTGGACAAAGATGCTCTACACAGTGTGCTTCTCCACTCAGATTTTCATAGGTCTTATTCCTTTTTACCCATCAAGTTCTGCCAAGCAATTCTTTACTTCCTTATATGCTTTATATAACTTTTCCCAGTAAGCAACCTCCAAGGCCATAGTAGTGTTATTCCTCTGGATATCAAAAAGATAGTGGCACTTCTGAACAAGTGCCTTCTGAGACTTCTCTGAATCATTTGTATCCTAGATGTGTTTGGTTGAACTCTGCTTAACCTCTTCTATTTGGGCGGGTATTTTTGCTCATTGAGTGTACCAGCAAATTGTCCAACAGAGGTACCATGTTTTCTAATGACATAGATAAAAAAAAACCCTACTGTTGATATGATAAAGAAAGTCTCTGGGGCAATCATATATATTTCTTTGGAGAGATATTATGAGATAAGCCCAGTTATGTGTGTATAGGGTGCTGTGACACCATTTTAGATAAAGGAACTGGAAGAATTCTTCAGGGATAAGCCCTCATGACAGACCTGTCCTCTATATTCAGCAAGAGGTGGTACAGAGGCAAGACATGGCTACAGCTTAGTGTCCCCATGACCCTGCCAGAAAAGCATGTTGGGTGCCACAGTAAGGTGGCCACTCAGAGGTCTCACAAAGTGACCTTCTGAAAATAATAATCTAACCTCTTCTTAACACCCCCCTGTATGTTTATTAAATGCTTATACTTAACAGGCAATAACTTTTATGGCTATATATACTTCTGATTGATGGACAGTTGAAGTTTGCGGTTGAAAAAATAATTTTATCAGAGAAGACAAGGCAAGATTTAAAGTTTTTCCATAATTGCTTATCAAGCATATTTGCACACTGAACAAATATCTGTAAAGCATTTACTTACGTAGATGTTAGAATGTAGCAATGAAGAAGACAGATAACAGCCCTGCCGTCTGAAAGCTTCTATGCTAGTTGGGGAAAACAGGCCAATAATCAAAGTAATGACTAAAGAAGTAGGGAGAGAGTGGTATAGTTGGTGGAAGCAGTATGGGAAATACCTCTCTGAGGAGGTGATATTTGAGCTCCTGGATGCTGAGGCGGCCTCCACAGTGTCTAGTTGGCGGGGGCATGTTAAATGTGAGATACCTATTGGACATCCAAATGAACATGTCAGATATGTGCTTGGGTATATAAGCCTGGACCACAAGACTGTGTACGCAAGTGAAAAACAAGTCAATGTTTATAATGGTCTGGAAGTAGCTGTAATCAGCTTGGGAGATTGTCTGGATAGAGTAGAAATGAGAGTCCAAGATCAAGTCCTAAGGACTATAAATAGCTATTTAGAGGATAAGGAGCTAGTGAGGTAGAAAGAGAACAGGAGAGTTTAGAATCAAAACACCAAGAGAAAAAAGTATTTCTGTTAGGGGAGTGGTGGGAGTGGTGAATTTGGCTGAATGCTACCGAGTTCAATTAAAAGTAGCACAGATAAGTGATTCTTTGATTTGGAAGCCCAGCAAGCATTCATGACCTAGGCAACAGGGCTTTCAGTGGTGTTCTAGGAAAGGAGCCTCATTCCAGTGGGCTGAGGAGAGAATAGGTGAGGAACTAGAGACCATGAGTACAGATGCGGATCTCCTGAGATCAGAGATAGATGTGGAGCTCATGAGAAAGAGATCCGCATCTATACTCATGGTCTCTAGTTGTTTTTTGTTAGTTATTTTTTATTTTTGGTTTTTTTTTTTTTGTTTTTTTGTTTTGAAGAGGGGAGATACTGGCACATATTTGCATACTGATAGGAATAATCCAGTAGTGAGGGAGAAATTCGTGATGCAGAAGAGCAGAGTATAAATCACAGGAGTGGGTAAGCAGGAATATATTCTAGAGCACAAAGGGAGAGTAGCGTACAAGGGACAGAAGGCCAAGAGTTTTGGGGCAGTGTCAATTGCCCTGTACTTTTTTTTTTAACATAGCTGTAATTTCTGGCTTTTCTCCTAAAGCATACTAGCTGACAAAGCTACACATTTATTTCAGAAAGAAGCCCAGATTTTATATCCCTTTTTAGCCTCAGTGATCTGTGTTCTATGAAACCCCTAGCTACATAGATCCCCACTATAAGTGCCATCTCAAAACAGCATCATATCATGTAATCCTCACAGTAAATCATGGATGCAGGTGCTATTAAAGACATTTTATAAACCAGGAAATTGAAAATGTGGTAATATTAATGAAATACAACCAGTTCTATCGAGGAACCCTTAATAGAGGGAGGAGATACATATTTGAATTAAATTGCTATGTAAGAATACAACATTTTGACTCAAGCAGAACTCATGTTTTTCTTTATATTTTTCCATGGAAGTGTAGACTTTGAAAAAGTCTGGTTTTCCCCACAATTCAGCTGAAAATAATTTTCCTTTTGGAGCTGATTAACACCAGCCAGTAATTATTCTAGGAGGATAGTTACACCATAACTTATCTCTGCATGGGAACAAGTTCTTTTGTCTGAGCCTGAGGGCTTCTCCAAAGGTTATTATCTGCATTAGATGTCTCTCTGCAAGATGCAGCTGCTGCCTTAATGCTACACTGACATTTCAGTGGATGTGGAAGGGTCAGTTTCTGTTTTCCTCCCCACTTAACCCTCAGCTTCCTCTTACTATGCATGAGAAAATTGTTGTAAATTTTCTCTCTGGCCATTTCATTCAACAAGTATCTCAAGTGCCTGAAATAAAGAGTATAAAGCTTGTTTTGGTTTAATGGCTAAGAGAATATGGACATTTCATTTTTCAGAGCTTTCACAGAAATAGGCAGTTTGTATTGGAAAATTAGAGCAATTCTTCCTTCCATATTAGAAATGTTCCATTGCTCTCTCTGTAATGTTTCTCTCACAGAAGGCTCAGGCACATTAAGTAGCTTGCCAGGATCAGCCAGTTCACCACTGCCCTTTTCCTAATGTGAAATCGTATGAAGTAAAGGAAATCAGCTTAAATTAAATGTTTTTGTATTTATGCTGCAAAGATGACGACTATGAAAGCAGTCTTCAGTCTTTGTTGCTCTTGTGTCTTTCACTGCAGGTGTCACTTGCTCCCACTCCCCCTTTCTGGGTAGATTTCTTTTTCTCTCACCTTTACAATAAGCTATTTTTATTAAAAGAGAAAAAAGGAAATAATGATATCTATAGGGTCGATCATTAAGTTTTTGTCATCTTTCTTGGTCACACCCCTGAGGGGTGCAGTTCTTTGAGGGTCATGGAGTGTCTTTTCTCAGTGTATTACCAGGAATAGTTCATCTTTTTCCTTCTTAGAAGAGGGAAGGTAGCTTAATGATGATCAACTATCTTTAACTTGCCTCTGGACTTATTGTTCTTCACTTAAAAAGAAAAATACTAGTAAGAATATTCTTCCAGACTTTTAATGGAGTATCATTAAATCTCTATCCCATAGTTTAAATGAAGTGGCTGTATGGCTGGGTTTTTCATATAATGAGGGGGAAAATCCTGATTGCTCTCCTAACTAGATGTTTTACCTTTTAGTTACTTGGTGAGAGAGAAATTATTTCTGTGAACAATACTGAATAAATCCACGAATATGCATAGCCCTGATTCTTGTAGACTCATGACCAGCTTCTCCTGACCCTCTTAGCAGAATTATTTCCTTTTTTTTAAAGAAAAAGCCCTATTATCCAGAGCTCTGTTATCATGATTAACACACCATTCAATGGTTACATGTTCAAATTAAATTCATTAGCTTTTCATTGAAATGAAACTCATTCGTTTTTTGATCATAGCATTTTGCTTTTTAATCTTTTCCAGAAAGAACTTGAGAAGCAGAAGAGAATTAAGAGGAACCAGCAGCTGGAAGCAATAGCCAAAGAACATTATGAAAGGGTCTTGCTAAGGAAAAAAGGTCTAGAGCCTTGGAAGAGATTGAGAATGCAAAGCAAACAAAACATCCAGGTACACTGTCCCACTGTTATCCCCCAGATTAGAAAATGGACTTTTCCAAATAGGATGGATGCCCAGTTAAGCTTGGGGGAGGGTAGGGTTTGGTGATTTAAAGCCAGAAAGATAAATTAATTGAATGTGTGTATTTGTTTTGGATACAATTTTTGATTTGGTCTTTTAAGGTAGAGAAGGACTTTTGTAATTGAATAGGTTGGAAAAAATGAGAGAAAATGTTTTATTAGAGATCCCCCCAAGGTAAGATGAATAGAAGCTTCTCTCAGTTTGAGTAAGGGAAAAGTTATTACCATAAGGTACATTAGTCAGGTTTCTGCCTGTGATAAAGTTGCATAACAGACAACCCCCAAATATCAGTGGCTTACAGCTCAAGTATTTATTTCTCACTCATATGTCTGTGGGCCAGTTGTGGATTGAGTTCAGGTCTCTCCCCAAGCCTCTCATTCTGGTTACAGCAGCTACTCAGGGCATGCTTTTCACCTGGCAACTGTCAGAGCTACAAAAGGCCAAACCAAATTATGTAAACCCGTTGCTTGTATTATGTCCACATTCCATTGGCCAAAGCAAATCAAAGGGCCAAGCTCAAAGTCATTGAGGAGAGAAAGAGCTCCATCCACTCTACAGGGAGGAACTGTGAAATCACATTGCAAAGGGTATGGGTGTATAATTCTATTAGAGAGAACAGAACAGTAATTCACTCTACTGCAGAGAGATATATGAAATCAGACACCGCAGAAATTTCTAAAATTTCCCTAACAAATTTATCCAGTGCATGCAACTAAATGATTAAAAATTCAAAATAGATAAAATGTTATCTCATCTTTTGGCTCTCAGTCTGCTGAGATGAGTCCAGGACAGGCAGAAATCTCAGGTGCCACAGAGACCTCCGTGGTGGTCATTTTGGCCAATAAATATGACTGCCAAGAGACTCACTTGAGTCAATCACATTCACAGTGCCAGATATCTAGACAAGGCTTAGAAAAATGTGTCGCTGTTTAGAGAGGACTAAGAGAGAAGGCTTTTCCCCTCTTGCCTCTTAAAAGAATATAACAGTTACTTTTAAAAATCTATAAATTCTGATTTGTATGTTTATTTTGATAGAATGATACTCAGTTGAAAAGACATTAAATTATTCATGTTATTTTCTATCAGATGGTTTTGTGGTTTATTGATAATGTCTAAATTTCAATGCTGGTGACAGCTCATTCCACAACACTAATTGAAAGTATTGGCATTTCCTCAATTAGACAGTGGTTAAGTCATGAGAAAGAGAGGTTTGTTGTGGAGTTGCTGTCCAAGCTCCAGGAGAGCAAATTGAGAATGTTGCCAGCTACCCACTCCAAAACTCAGGGGAAGTGAAGTAATGGCTTAGAGGTTGGTTGTTCCATTTCCATAACCAGCAAATCACTGTGGTCTTCAGGGAGCTGGCATTGAAAGGCCATGCATGATGTGAATCTATAACCTCCATAGAATAGGTCAACAGTCAAAGCTTTTAGGACACAGGCTGCATGTACCTTCAGATTATTCTCTACCGACTGCCTAAATGTGTTTTATAGCATCATTTCCAAAGGTGATGTGTTTGTTTAAATGATTTAAAATTTAAGGAATAATATTTCTCATTTAAAAAATTGTCCAGGTGGCAGAAGAACATTACTCTTTGTTCCTGCAGAGGAAATACATGCTGACGTGGTTCCAGCGTAGTCAGGAAAGTCTGGCTAGAAAGATGGCCCAGGCTGATCAATTTTATTCCCAAATACTGCTTAAGAGAGTCATCCAGAGCTGGCTACAGGTAAGGACATAGGGAAGGGTACCTTAAATACATCTCATTGCTCAATTCTATTTAAGAAAACTAAATGAAATCCAGAATGTCCAGGGTCATTATGTTTTTTCAAGAACAAAAGAGTAGTCAATCCCATTCACTGCTTTGAAATAAATGTGAAAATGGTAAATCAGTGTTTTATTAGTGTAAAATCCTAAGCCTGTGTTTGTTTCACGGAGTGTGTATAAACTGTAAGTTATCATTCCATCAGCTTTTGTTTTTATAGTCATTTCTTGTTTCTTGTCTCACAGTGCTCAAGTGATTTAGAAACTTACCCCTTCAATCTTATAACTGTTTCTATTCATGTGTTCTCTTACCATTTTTAGGATACATTATAGAGGATATTTTCTTGGCTTCCAGGTTATCCTTTTCTTTGTATGTCTCTAGTGTCATTTGTTTCTTTTGTTTCATTTCTGTCTTTTGTGCTGTTTATTTGCTCTAATTCTTTGTCAACTGATATTTTTTGTCTCACTTTTATTTCTGTCTTCATCCCCAGTACGTGATTGATCTGCAGGAAGAAGTAAGAAAATTTTGTGTACATTTTCTTCAAAAGAAGATTTTCAGGGCCTGGTTTAACATGGTCAGGGAGGTGAAGATCGATTCTCAGGGCAAGCATGAGATTGCAGCGGAGCACAGTGACAGGTGAGGTTTTGATAGTGAGGAAAATTCACTCTCTGACTTCACAATTGCTCAGCAATATATTCTGCTCCTACAATGTGTCTGCAGAGATGAGCTGGAGGCTAGGAGAGCGGGGAAACACCAGTCAGGGGTGGGAGTCCCGGCTCACCAGCAATGTAATAAACCCCCTGGGACTCCAGGGTTCCATCTTTAAAAAGAGAAGTGGGAGGAGGAGGAGGCCTGCCCTTTCTACCTCACGGAAACTGCCAAGAGAATAAAATGATGTGACCTATATGAAACACACCTAAGCAAAAGTACTGTATTCTTTGTTAGTCAAATATAGTTTTATTTTTTAAGTTCAGTTTCTCTTTCAACATCATTTATTGTGAAATGTACGACAAATATAGAAAAGTGCTTAAATCATACAAATACAGCTTAACGAATGACTGTAAAGTGGACACCCTTTGTTACCACCACTGAGGTCAAAACGTTGAACATTGCTGTCGCACAGGCTCCTTCCCAAGTCTCTCTTAAACTACTCTCCTGACATTTACAATGAACATTTGCTTTTCTTTTTACTTTTCTCCTAAGTATGCAGCCTTCAATGCTATAGTTTTTCCTGGTTTGGAACTTTATATACATGGAATCATACTATATGCCATATTAATATTTAAAATACAGTTATGTTTTATTTAATCCAGTTGTCTTTGAGAAATAAGGTATTCTGTATAAGTAAGTTTTATATTTGTTTTCTAATTTTAAGCATTTGGACAGAATGTTCTTAATTTCATTATGCACTTCCCTTTAAGAGTGGTGATTTGGTGTCATTATGAGCATCAGTTAGTGTGCCGGGTGTATTCAGTGATGCCTCCAGCTTTTTTGAGGTATGAAGACTGTTGTGTGGGTGTATAAAAATGCCCCTTTTCTCAACATTACTCTGTTGCCCGGGCTGAAGTGCAGTGGCATGATACTGCAACCTCTGCCTCCTGGGTTCACGCAATTCTCATGCCTCAGCCCGCCAAGTAGCTAGGATTACAGGCACACACCACGACACCCGGCTAATTTTTGTCTTTTTAGTAGAAACAGGGTTTCACCATGTTGACTGGTGCTGTTTTCTTTTTATTTGCATGTTTGTGCATGGGTGTTTATTTCTGTTCCTTGTAATAGTGTTCCTATCTTATTGCCATGAGGGTGCCTACCTCCACCAAAACCTGTTTGTCCTTGTTTAATTCACAGATACTGGAAATCAGTGGAGTGGGAAAACAGATAAGCAAGTTGATTATAGTTTTGTTTAAATTAAAACAAATAAGCAATAAGTGAGGGCATTCAGAGGACCTCCCTTTGGATAAATGATTTAGCTTTAGAGTTTGAAGTTTAGGACTCAATATCTATGTGACCCTGAACAAATAACCTTTCAAAGCCTCCCTGTTCCTCTCTCATAAAATGAGGATAGCAACAGAACCTATCTATCTATCTTATGGATTGCTGTGAAGACTAAACAGGGTACTATAGTAACTCACTCAATGCACTGCTTGGCCCAAAATAATAACTAACCTTTTTTTTTTTTTTAGTTTAGTGTCATTGTGAATATATTATTATTAAACATCCTTTTTGCCTGCCTATGTTTTCTTTCTGTTTCTCAGCCACTATATACAGGCTGAGAGATTCATTTGGGGCTTTTGCACAAACCATCTCATCTGATAGCAGTAATAACTTGGATGTGGGGAGATGTCATTATTTCCATTTTTCAGGCAAAGAAATAAGCAACAGGCAGGTAGGTGAATTGTCAAGGTATAAAGATAACAAAAGGTTGCTCCCTGAACTCCAGATTAGGTTTTTTGACCCTAAAACATTCTCTTCTTGCTACATCAGTCTTCCTCCCCATTTTTCTAATTCTCCCTCTGTCTTTTTTGTTTGTTTTTGTGTTTTGTTTTGTTTTTTTTTTTACCCTGAGACAAAGTCTTACTCTGTCACCCAGGCTGGAGTGCAGTAGTAGGATCTCAGCTCACTGCAACCTCCGCCTCCTGGGTTCAAGCGATTCTCATGCCTCAGCCTCCCAAGTAGCTGGGATTAACGGCATGTACTGCCATGCCCAGCTAATTTTTGTATTTTTAGTAGAGACAGCGTTTTTTACCATGCTGCCCAGGCTGATCTCAAACTCTAGCCTCAAGGAATCTGCCCACCTCGGCCTCCCAAAGTGCTAGGATTACAGGTGTGAGCCATCTTGCCTGGCCTCATTTTTAGACTATAAAATAGTAAGATAGTCATCCTATTTAGGATTTGAAGTTGTGAAATCAATGTAGGAATCCATGCAATCAACAAGAACCAAATTCTCAGCCAATGTCTACTTGATATAAAAGCATTGCTGTGATTTCATCTCTTCCCACTTTGCTTTTTGTTTACCATGTTCTGGCCCCACTGGCCTCCTATAATGTTTCTTAGACAAACAAAGCTCACTTCTGCTTCAGAGCTTTCACATAACCTGATCTCATCATTTAGCTCTCTGCTTAAATGTCACCTCCCTAACCACCCTACTTGCATCACTGTCTATCCATTAAACTGCCCTACTTCCTTCACAGCACTTAAGACTCTCTGAAAGTATATAATTTACTGTTTACATGTTAAACAGAGTGGAAGCACCACATCTTGCTCATTACTGTGTTCTCAGTATATGACAGCGCTCAGTACATAGGTAACACAGTAAATATTTGGTAAATGTATGAATAGATGAACTTTATTGCAGGAATGACACTAATATTTAAGGTCACCAGTCTTTAAAAGGGGCTTTAACATTAAAAAATTGATATTCAGAGTTCATATTCAATTTTATATGAATGAAATAATACCATATAGAAGAGCTGTGGATGAAAGGAAGGAGAGACATCTATTGGTCTTAAGCCTGACCTTTAAGCTGCAATAACATCGAGAAAGATGATTCTCAATAAGAACATAACTTGTAATCTTACATATCTGTATCACTTCCGGATAATTTTATAAATCTAGCTGAGCTGGATCAGTATTTATAATATGTCTGATATTGTCTTGCTACCATAGTTCTTAACCACAGTATGAACATGAAGTAGGTAGTAATGAAAGTCACAGACCTACACCCCAGAAAATGCATACATGCATATAACATACAACTTTACACAACATGTCAAGGAGTTTATGGGACCCAGCTTAAGAACCCTTACCTTGGTGACTTAAATCATACTTATTATACAATACACCCACATGTAATTATCAAGACATATTTACCAAGCATAAAAAAATACCTAATAACATGGCCCCTGGTGCTCATAATTTAGTAGAAAACATAAAAGATTAGAGAGAAAGAGAGAGATTGAGAGAGCAAGAGAAAGGTTTACTAGAGCCAAGATGAACCAGGGATTAAAGCACCATCTAGTGCCAAAAAGGAGGCAGCCACATAGCAGGAGAACAAAAAAGAAATTAAACAGGTAAATTACAAACAATCTCTAATCAAACATACCCACTGAAAACCAAACAAGCCAGACACAGAAGACTGAAATAAATAAATAATCCTTCAGTGCAAAGGCATAGACATATATCCACAAGAAACAACAGCGAGTTGGCCGGGCGTGGTGGCTCATACCTTAATCCCAGCACTTTGGGAGGCCAAGGTGGGCAGATCACCTGAGGTGAGGAATTCGACACCAGCCTGGCCAACATGGTGAAACCCCCTCTCTACTAAAAATACAAAAATTAGCCAGGCATGGTGGTGTGCATCTGTAGTCCCACCTACTCGGAAGCCTGAGGCAGGAGAATGGCTTGAACCTGGGAGGTGGAGGTTGCAGTGAGCTGAGATCATGCCACTGCACTCCAGCCTAGGTGCTTGAGCAAGACTCCATCTCCAAAAAAAAAAAACAAAAAACAGCAAATGGGGAACCATGACCTTCCCAAATAGATAAATCAAGGAACCAGTGACTAACCCTAATGAGAAGGCAATATGTAAACTCTAACCAACATTCAAAATAGCAGTTTTAAGGAAACCCAGTGATCTTCAAGATAACAAAGAAAAGCAATTCAGAAATTTTTCAGATAAATTTAACAAAGATTTAAAAAGTCAAACAAATCTTGGAACTGAGAAATATATTTGCTGAACTGAAAAATCATTAGATGTTTTCAACAGCCAAATGGATCAAGCAGTGGAAAGAATTAGTGAGCCCAAAGACAAGCCACTTGAAAATATGCTATCAGAAGAGAAAAGAAAAAAGAAAAGGAATGAAGACAGCCTACAAGATATAGAAAATTACCTCAGAAGATCATATCTAAAAATTACTGGTGTTGAAGGGGGACTTGAATGAGAACAAGGGGTAGAAAGCTTATCCAAAGAAATAAAAATAGGAAACTTTCCAAAACTTGACAAAGACATATCCACGTATAGGAAAGTCAGAGAAACCAAACAGATTTGACCTAAACTCTCAAACGTCAAGGACAAAGAGGATCCTAAAAGCAATAGGAGAAAAGAGGCAAATAACATATAATGAAGCTCCAATTCATCTGGCAACAGACTTCTCAGCAGAAACGGTATAGGCCAGGAGACAGCAGGATGAGATTTTCAAAGTGCTGAAAGAAAAAAGAAAAAAAAAAAACCTGCCATCCAAGAATACTGTATCCAGCAAAGCCATCTTTCAAATATGAAGGATAGAGAAAGTTTTTCTCAGAAAAACAAATGCTGAGAGAATTCACCACCACCAGACCCATCTTACAAGAAATGTTAAAGGGAGTTCTTCAATCTGAAAGAAAAAAACACTAACACAAAAAGAAAACAGTTGACAGTAGAAAACCTACTGATAAAATTAAGTACATGAACAAACCCAGAATACTCTAATACTGTAATTGTGGTGTGCAATCAACTCATAACTCTAGTATGAAGCCAGAAAGACACATCTAGCAAAAACAGTAATAGCTACAGCAGCCTGCTAAGAGGTAATATAAAACATGGAAACTAAAACAAGAAAAAGTCAAAATGTTGGGGGATTTCTAAAAAGAAAAGGCAAGAAATTAAAACATACTACCTGAGAAAATCGTTTTGCCACAAGGGAAAACAGTAAGAAAGGAAGACAGGAGTTACAAAACAACCAGCAAACAAGGAAAGAAAAAATTGCCATAGTAAGTCCTTACTTATCAATAACTGAATATAAATGGACTCAGTTCTCCAATTAAAAGACATAGAGTGGCTGATGGATAAAGAAACAAGATCCAACTGTATGCTGCCTATAAGACACCTACTTCACCTGTAAAGACATACATAGACTGAAAGAGATAGAAAAAGACATTCCAAGCAAGTAGAAACCAAAAACACAGCAGGAATAGCTATACTTATATCAGATAAAACTGACTACAAGTCAAAGACTATAAAGAGAAATAAAGAAAGGTCATTATATAATGATAAAGAGGTCAATTCAGCAAGAGGATATAACAATTATAAATATCTATGCACTCAACATCAAGCACCCAAGTATATAAAGCAAACAATAAAGGGAGAGATAACTGCAATACAATCATAGGGGACTTCAACACGCCACTCTCAGTAGTGGACAAATTATCCAGAAGAAAATCAGCAAGGAAACATCAAACTTAAACCAGAAACCAGGCCAAATAGGTCTGACATTTAAAGAATATTTTATCCAGCTGTTGAAGAATACACATTCTTTTTATCAGCACATGGAACATCCTCCATAATAAGACCATATCTTAGGCCACAAAACAACTCTCAACAAATTCAAAAAACAGAAATTGTATCAAGTATCTATTCTGACCACAATAGAATAAAATTAGGAATCAGTAAGAGGAACTTCAGAAGCTACACAGATAGAAGGAAATTAAACAACATGCTCCTGAACAACCAATGGGTCAATGAAGAAATTAAGAAAAAATTTAAAAATTTCTTGAAACCAATGAAAATGGAAATATCATAGATCAAAATCTATAGGTTATAGTAAAAGCAGTAACTTCTTTTAAGAGAGAAGTTTATAGCAATAAACACATCAAAAAAGTTGACAGACTTCAAAAAATAAGTCAACTATGCTCCTCAAGGAAATATAGAAAAGCAAGAACAAACCAAACCCCAAATTATTAGAAGAAAGGAAATAATATAAATCTAAGCAGAAATAAATGAATTGAGACTTTTTCTGACTCAAAATCAGAAATGAAAAAGGAGACATAACAACTGAGACATCAAAAATACAAAGAATCACTAGAGACTATTATGAACACCTATATATCAATAAACTGGAAAACATAGAAGAAATGGATAAATTTCTAGACAGATAAAACCTACCAAGATTGAATGATGAAGAAACAGAAAACCTCAACAAACCACTAATAAGTAATGAGATTGAAGCTGTAATTAAAAAGTCTCACCTAAAAGAAAAGCCCAGGTCCTAATGGCTTCAAACTGCTAAATTGTACCAAACTTTTAAAGAAGAACTAATACAAATTCTACTCAATTTCTTCAAAAAAAAACTGAAGAGGAGGGAATACTTCCATACTTATTCTATCAGGCCAGCATTAGCCTGATACCAAAACCAAACAAGGACATGATAAGAAAAAAGAAAACTACATATCCCTGATGAACACAAATGCAAAATCTTCAACCAAATACCGGCAAACCAAATTCAATAACACGTTGAAAAGAACATTCACCATGATCAAGTGGGATTTATCCCAGGGATCCAAGGATGGTTCAACTTATGCAAATCAATAAACATGATACATCACATTAACAGAACCAAGAACAAAAGCCATATAATTATTTCAAGAGATGTCCAAAAAGGCATTCAATAAAATTCAACATCTGTATGAACAGACACTTCTCAAAAGAAGACATTTATGCAGCCAAAAGACACAAGAAAAAATGCTCATCATCACTGGCCATCAGAGAAATGCAAATCAAAACCACAATGAGATACCATCTCACACCAGTTAGAATGGCGATCATTAAAAAGTCAGGAAACAACAGGTGCTGGAGAGGATGTGGAGAAATAGGAACACTTTTACACTGTTGGTGGGACTGTAAACTAGTTCAATCATTGTGGAAATCAGTGTGGTGATTCCTCAGGGATCTAGAACTAGAAATACCATTTGACCCACCCATCCCGTTACTGGGTATATACCCAAAGGATTATAAATCATGCTGCTATAAAGACACATGCACACATGTTTATTGCGGCACTATTCACAATAGCAAAGACTTGGAACCAACCCAAATGTCCAACAATGATAGACTGGATTAAGAAAATGTGGCACATATACACCATGGAATACTAAGCAGCCATAAAAAATGATGAGTTCATGTCCTTTGTAGGGACATGGATGAAGCTGGAAACCGTCATTCTCAGCAAACTATCGCAAGGACAAAAACCCAAACACCGCATGTTCTCACTCATAGGTGGGAATTGGACAATGAGAACACATGGACACAGGAAGGGGAACATCACACACCGGGGTCTGCTGTGGGGTGGGGGGACGGGGAGGGATAGCATTAGGAGATATACCTAATGTTAAATGATGAGTTAATGGGTGCAGCACACCAACATGACACATGTATACATATGTAACAAACCTGCATGTTGTGCACATGTACCCTAAAACTTAAAGTATAATAAAAAAGAAAAATCAACATCCTGGCCAGGACCAAAATGCCCACTTTCAGCACTTTTATTCAATATAATACTGCAAGTCCTTGCCAGAGCAGTTAGACAAGAGAAAAAAATAAGGGCATCCAGGCCAGATGTGATGGCTCATGGCTGTAATCCCAGGGCTTTGGGAGGCCACTATGGAAGGATCACTTGAGGCCAAGGGTTCAAGACCAGCCTGGGTGACAGAGAAACCCTGTCTTTAAAAAAAATGTATCCAAATTGAAAAGGAAGAAGCTAAATTAGCCTTGTTTACGGATGACATGCTCTTATACTTAGAAAAACCTAAAGACTCCACCAAAAAAAACTGTTAGATCTGACAAACAAATTCAGTAAAGTTGCAGCATACAAAATCAACATTCAAAAATCAGCAGCATTTATTAATATATACACCAACAGTGAACAATCTGAAAAAGAAGAAAACAATCCCACCTTAACTAGCTACAAAGAAAATAAAATACCTGGGAACCACTTTAACCAAGGAAGTGAAAGATCTATATACTGAGAACTATAAAACACTGAGGAAAGAAATTGAAGAGGACACAAACATATAGAAAGATATGCCATGCTCCTGCACTGGAAGACTTCTTATAGTTAAAATGGCAATACTACCCAAAGCAATTTACAGATTCAATGCAATCTCTATCAAAATACCAACAACATTCTTCACGGAAATAGAAAAAAAATTCCTAATATTTATATGAAACCACAGAAGACCCTGAATAGCCAAAGCAACACTAAGCAAAAAGAACAAAGCTCTAGGTATCACACTACCTGACTTCAAAATTTACTACAAAGCTATAGTAACCAAAACAGCTTGGTACTGGCATAAAAACAGGCATATAGACCAATGAAATAGAATAGAGAACCCAGATTTAAATCCACACATTTACAACCAACTCATCTTTGACAAAAGTGCCAAGAACATAAAATGGGGAAAGGACACTCTTTTAATAAATGGTGCTGGAAAAACAGGAGAACTATATGCAGAAGAATGAAATGAGACCCCTTTCTCTCACCATACACAAAAATCAAATCCAAATGGGTTACAGATTTAAATCTAAGTCCAGAAACTATGAGACTACTAGAAGAAAACATTGAGACAATGCTCCAGGCCACTGGTCTGGCCAAAGATTTTTTGTGTAAGACCTCAAAAGCACAGACAACCAAAGCAAAAATAGACAACTGGGATTACATCAAGCTAAAAAGTTTCTGCACAGCAAAGGAAACAATCAAGTGAAGAGATAACCCACAGAAAGAGAGAGAGAGTATTTGCAAACTGTCTGTATAGTTTGGATGTTTGTCCCCTGCACCTCATGTTGAAATCTGATCCTCAATGTTGGACGGAAGTGGAGTCTAATGGGAGGTATTTGGGTCATGGAGATGGATTGCTTAATGAATGGCTTAATGCCATCCTCTGTAAATGAGTGCATTCTCACTCTATTAGTTACGGAAGAGCTGGTTGTTAAAAAGAACCTGGCACCTCCCTCCCCCTTTTTCTTTGCTTTCCTCTCTTGCCATTGGATCTCTGCACATGATAGCTCCCCTTCCATCATGACTGGAAGCAGCCTGAAGTCCTCATTAGAAACAGATGCTAGTGCCATACTTCTTGTACAGCTGGCAAAACTGCAAGTCCAATAAACCTCTTTTTTTAAATAAATTACCCAGCCTCAGGTGTTCCTTTATAGCAACACAAGTGGACTAAAATGCCATCTGACAAGGGATTAATAACTAGAATATGTAAGGAACTCAAACAATAGCAAAAAAAAATCCAATTTAAAAATGGGCAAGTCCATTATAGTGGCTCACATCTATAATCCCAACACTTTGGGAGGCTAAGGTGGGTGGATAGTTTGAGTCAAGGAGTTCAAGACCAGCCTGGGCAACATGGCAAAACCCCATCTCTACCAAAAAAAAAAAAACAAAAAACTATTAGCCAGGAGTCATGACATGTGCCTGTAGTCCCAGCTACTGGGGAGGCTGAGGTGTAAAGGATCTCTTGAGTCCAGGAGGTGAAGGTAGAAGTGAACCAACATCACACTGCTACAGTCCAGCCTGGGCGACAGAGTGACGCCCTAAAAAAAAAAGGGGGGGGAAGATCTAAATAGACATTTCTCAAAAGATATACAAGTGGCCAAAAAGTGTATGATAAAATGCTCAGCATCACTAATTATCAGAGAAATCCAAATCAAAACCACAATGCGATATCATCTTATGCCAGTAAAATGGCTTTTATCAAAGACAGTGAATAACAGATGCTGGTGAGGATATGGAGAAAGGGAAACCCTCACACAGTGTTGGTGGGAGTGTAAATTAGTACAGCCATTATAGAGAACAGAATGGAGATTCCTGAAAAAACTAAAATTAGAACTACCATATGATCCAGCAATTCCACTAATAGGTATATCTCCAAAAGAAAGGAAATCAATACATCCAAGAGATATTTGCATGTCCGTGATTATTACAGCACTGTTCACAATAGCCAAAATATGGAATCAACCTGAGCACCCATCAGTGGATAAATGCATAAAGAAAATATGGTATATACACAAAATGGAATATTAGTAATGAAAAAGAATGAAATCCTGTCATTTGCAGCAACATGGATAGAACTGGAGGTCACTGTGTTAAGTGAAATAAGTCAAGCACAGAAAGACAAATACATGTTCTTACTCATGTGGGAGAGCTAAAAAATGTGAATCTCATGAAGATAGAGAATACATTGGTGGTTACCAGAGGCTGGAAAGGGTAGAGGTTGGGAGGTGGATGAAGAGAGGTTGATTAATGGGTACAATATACAGTTAGATAGAAGCAATAAGGCCTAATGTTCAATAGATCAGTAGGATGACTATAGTTAATAATAACCTATTGTGCATTTCAAAATAACCAGAAGAGAATAACTTGAATGTCCCCATGGTAAATAAAAGATAAATATTTAAGGTGATGGATATCCCAAATACCCTGATTTGATCTTTACACATTACATGAATGTATAAAATTACATGTACCCCCAAAATATGTATATTATGTATCAATAAAAATATTATAAAAAGATAGCTATAGATAGGCTATAAATAAGTGCCAAACCAGTGATCATGAATATGTTTTAGGAGTTCAGGGAAAGAAAGAGAAATGTAGGGAAAGAAAGAGAAATGTAGGGAAAGAAAGAGAAATGTAGGCAAGGATGATCTAGGAAGATTTCACCCAAAGGGGAGAACATTTTTCAGTTAGGGTAGAACAGCAGGAGCTAAAATGCAGACGTCAGAGAACAGGAGTGTAGCCAAAAGAGAGATGTGAATGGCTGAGAATGGGAGACAGGGTCAAGGACTGGGAGTGTGCCCACAGCCGAGCACAGGAAGCTGTAAATGGTGGACTGAATGGATAAAAGCAAGCAATGAAGTAAATCCATTCCTTGGAGCCTTTTTCTTTTTTTCTTTTTTTCTTTTTTTGAGACAAGAGTCTCACTCTGTTACCCAGGCTGGAATGCCATGGCTTGATCTCGGCTCACTGCAACCTCCACCTCCCAGGTTCAAGTGATTCTCGTGCCTCAGCCTCCCAAGTAGCTGGGATTACAGGTGCCTGCCACCATGCCGGGCTAATTTTTGTATTTTTAGTAGAGATGGGGTTTCACCATGTTGGCCAGGCTAGTCTTGAACTCCTGACCTCAAATGAGTCACCCGCCTCAACCTCCCAAAGTGCTGGGATTACAGGTGTGACCCACCGCACCCAGCCATGCCTTTTTTTAAAGCAGTACCTCCACCAACAAAAATCAGCATTATCAAAAATATTAACCAACAGCCATAAAATTAATGAGGACTGATGTGCATTCTGGGACTCCCTCAGATGGTCAAGAGGCCAGAACAAATCCCATCTCTGCCTATAGTTGTGAAAATATAAGCTTAACTACTCTGCACTTCGTTTCAACACTGTAACTCCACACACACACCACGGCATGCTATTCTCGCTTCGTTGCCTTTACTCAAGATGTGCTCTCCTCTAGGAAAGCCTTTTCTTTGCCTGACAAAAATTCAGTTCAGACATCATCTTCAAAAAGGTCTGCTCCTCACCACCAGACTGGGTAGTCCTCTGTGCTGCTCTCCACTGCTGTACCTTCCCACTGTATGGAAACTCTGGTCACCTGTTTCAGCCTCTCCCGGGGCAGACGGTACCTGGCTTACCTTGATGCCCCTAGTGTTCAGCTGTGGTGGACACTAATAAATCCTAAAAGGCCATTGCATGCTTCCCTGTGACAGCACAGACACTCACTTAAACAGTCTTCCATACCATGTTTCCAGAACCTGATGTTAGGGTATTTTTTCTCAACTGATATTCAAGACTGGTTCTTTGTTGTTATTGCTGCTGTTGGAGGTCAGGTTACCAGCAGGCTTTTAAAATATGTCTACGCACTGAGGCCTCAATGCCTGTAACTTTGGCACATTCTGCACGCAATTTTCCATCATTTTTGCGTTGAGGGTTGTGGTTTCTGGATCCCTTGCCAGCATCACTGGTCCTGGCATGGGTACAATATGTATGCTATAATCAGATCAACTCAGGAGTGTGCCTCGTAGCTTGGGTTACTGGAAGCCATTTGGTGCTCTGCTCAAATGTCACCTCCTCAGTTTCCTTCACCACTCAATCAAAAATAAAAATAACTGGCCAGGCACAGTGGCCCACACCTGTAATCCCAGCACTTTGGGAGGCCAAGGCAGGCAGATCACTTGAGGCCAGGAGTTCAAGACCAGCCTGGCCAACATGGTGAAACCCCGTCTCCAATAAAAATACAAAAAAAAAATTAGCCAGGCATGGTGGCAGGCACCTGTAATCCCAGCTGCTTGGGAGGCTGAGGCACAAGAATCATTTGAACCCAGGAGGCAGAGGTTGCAGTGAGCCGAGATTGCACCACTGCACTCTAGCCTGGGCGACAGAGCAAGACTCTTGCCTCAAAGAAAATAAATAAAATAAAATAAAAATAAAAATAACCTATCAATCAATCAGTCACTCTCATTCCCTTTTGTTGCCTTATTTTTTTCACAGCATTTCACACTGTCATAATCCCGATTGTGATTTCCACACCTTTTATACAGCATTTTATTAACATAAGAATTATTTTTATAAAGTTCTTAATGTGCTATAGATGGAAAGCCAACTTTTTCTCAACATTTCACTTTTTTCCTTCTTTATTCTTAAAGGAGGATCCTCTGGATCACCCTTCGGACATGGAAGAAGTTTGTAAAATTTATGAAAGAGGAAAGAGTAAAAGAAGAAAGGCGACAGCAACTTCGTAGGAAGGTAGTTGAAATTCTTCCAGACTTCCAGGTACCTGGAAGGTACCACGAGCTATATCAGCAATCAGATACTTGGTCCTTGAGTAAGACAAGTCTGGTGAACGAATGAGCCAGATTAGTGTAATATTTAGGACAGGAAGCTCGACTAGTCTGTATGTGTGTTATCTCCACCCACCCACACACATACATACATACACCTGGTTTATTCTCTACGAGCTACTTCTTAGATCAAAGGAATTATTTTGAGAATTTTTATTCCCTTCTTTGACTTTTCCTGGATTGCTAGTCATTCACTATAGCATTTATCACAGTGGGATCATCCAAAGGAACATTCTAGAGATCGTCTGTTCAAATATATCCTATATATTTTTAGCATAGTAAACTTTAAAAAGGACAAGTGTTTGCCTGACTGAGCCTGTGAAGAAAATGTGTCCGTATAGCACGACAGGAGTTGCTGATGTGACCTTAATGAAACAGAAATAAACAGGGGTGAGTGCTCGGAAAGGAAGGGCGGGCCAAGGCACTCAGCCTTCTAGTGCAGTAGCATCAGTGACACGCACCCCACCAGACCTCGTCCACTTTCACCACCCCTGAAGGCAGACCATGTATGAAAAGGTTCTCTACACAGCTGCTGCAGAGGACAGCAGCTTATCCTGATTTCAGAGAAACTGAGGCACCAGAGATGCTTCTCTTCCGTGCACCTTGATAAGCATGAAGGACATTCCAAAAGGTAATAGCTCTATCATGACAGTCCAGCAATTCATTAAATTATCTGTTCATGCTCCCACCTGCAACTGCTGAATAATACACTCAGTTTGTCTTCTAGTACTCAGCTCAGTTTGATCTAGATATTGAGATACCTATCTTGAATTCAAAGAATGTTTTCATCTTTAAGATGCTATAAAGACTGATAAAATGCTCTCTTCTATGAATTGTGTTAGAGAATTACCTGCTAGAAAAATAATTTTTCATTATAAAATACACATTTATTATATAACAAATTCAAGTAGTCCATAAATGCATATGGTAAAATGAGAAAGTCCTGTGCAGTCCTGAGATGATTACTCTTATTTGGTGTGCTGAAAATTTGAGTTGACAAAATAAAATTCTGTGGTTTTTTAAGTGAATGTTCTTGTTACTGTCTCATACTTCCTAGAAAGGATATCTAGCTGTACCACCTGCTACACGACTTAAGATACTTTTATCACGGAGGATGTGTGATATGACCAAACACCTTGAATTGAACTTTATTTCTTCTACGACATGGCTGTTCCCACACAGCTTTTCCTTTAATAGGATTATACAGTTGTCATTTAAAAAAAAAAAAAACCTGTGTTTTTCAAGATGAATGGCCACTAAAGAAAATGTAACTAAAAGTAATTCATAATACATCACTTTCCATCAAAATCACTAACAGTTTAAACCTAACTACAGTACATTTACAAAATACTGGCTGATATTAGCACCCGGAAATGAAATACCAATTTTATTATTTTGTTTGTTCTGTGTTTTTTTTGTTTTGAGACAGGGTCTCACTCTGTCACTGTACTTCAGGCTGGAGGTAGAGTGGCCTGACTATGGCTCACTGAATCCTGGACCTCTCAGACTCAGGTGATCCTCCCACCTCAGCCTCTCAGATAGCTGGGATTACATGCCCAGCTAACTTTTTTTTTTTTTTTTTTTTTTTTTGGTAGAGATGGAGTTTCACCATGTTGCCCAGGCTAGTCTTGAACTCCTGGGCTCAAGTGATCCTCTCAGCCTCCCAAAGTGCTGAGATTACAGGAGTGAGCCACCACACCCAGCCACCAGTTTTCTTTAAATGCCAAGCCTGTACATAAGGTTGAGTTCCTTAAGTCAACATGCCAGGCGCATAAATAAATCCCACAAAGCTTAAGTTTTCTACCTTAGCTTTATTTTTGCCTCACCTCAAACATCAACTAGAAATTGAGTCTTTAGCAGCCCATATTCCAATGGCGCCAGCTAGACTTTTTACCGAATACAGAGCCTTCTAAAGAGATACAATGGAAATAGTTTTGATGCTGTTTTTTGCTGGACTATCATGAAAGTATGTTTCAAAATGTTACTGTTAACATAATGCCCCAACAAGCAGTATCCCTGACCCACAAAACTGGAGAAATTGCCACCGGGAACATAACAGTTTAGGGCTAGGGACAGGGCCACAGGATAGAGACATTGAGGGAGCCACAGAGGCAGCACAGGTATAATGCAGGGTTTTCAGAAATCAGAAGACTTCAGGAGACACTCCAAGAAACACCAGCTATTTTCCTTAAAGAAAGCACTTTATTTTCCATTTAAACAACTTGGTCACAGGACGTTATTTTACATAAATGGAAGTAATTTGTAAAATTTCCATGTAAAAGGCCTTGTGTCTGAGTCTGAGGTGATAAGAGGATATGAATACAAGTATATAAAAACAGTGCAAAATGTGCAGCCCACAGCCTCCGGAGTTGGCTTCAGAAATCCCCCTTAATGTTGCTAGACCAGTTACATTAAATATTAAATGTAACACCAGGTAAATATTCCTGGGTTTCCTTTAGTCTAACATCCAACCCAGATATGCAATAAAATGAAAAACTCAAAATCCCTAACAACTCAAACCATCCAATCACCCAGACCATTAGGATCACAATGAGTTGAGACTGCAGGCTCTATACTGTGACATCTCGTCAGTGGCTCCATCTTAAGAAATACAGAATTTTAGTTGCATCAGTAACTAGAATAGACTAGCTCTGCTTTTAAAGCTTTGCCTTTTAAATGTAGATTTCTAGAAGTTCACTTTCAAGGTGCCATCAAGAAGGCTAGGCCACTAAGAAGTCACAAGCCCAACCTAGACATCGCAGCCTCTTAAGACATTTGTCTTCACTAACCGTTCAGTCTTTAACCTGCTGCTGATCCTACAATGAAAACACTTAGTGCCAGCTGAAGCGTGGATGCTTGTCTATCAGCAACATAATTAAGTGTAGCTGATTCTGCAAGAAATTTATATTAGTCACAGCAGACATCCACAGGAACATACTGAATCGTACTCAGTAGTGAGTTTAGGATGGCTTTCCTGCTCCCCTGCATCACCCTTGCAGTGTTTAATACAAAAGGGTGCACATGTCAAGCTGCCGCTGAGAAAACCAGATTCCAAACAGGTGCCTCAGGAAAAGTCTCTTATTATCCATTGCTTGCTTAAGCAACCTCTACTTTTCAAAATGGAAGGTACCAGAATATGGCTACAATTAAGTTAGGTCATATAAACTTACCTAGGTTAAAAAGACCCTTAAGTCTCACAAAACTGTAATTTTTAAACATCCTGGCTAAAACTGTGCTTCTAGATGTTATATTTTTGCTTATACTAGTTGAGCTTTATAATCAAAAGCTAATGTCCTACTCAAAGGAAATACATGTCTATTAAGCAGATGGTCAGTGGTATGTAGAACCTTACTGGCACTGTGTTTTCTGGCAGTGGAAGATTCTAGTACAGAAAATTGTCTCTTGCTAAAAATATTAGAAGTACCAAGGACTATTGCATAAGAGAAAGTTTGTAGCAATTTTTTGCTAGGCAGATGGTACACTTGAAGACAACAATGACTTCATTCACCAAGGAAAACACTACTTAGCAAAGATTTACAATATCCTAAACACAAACACATATGTGGCTGAGGTGGAATAAGCAGCACGTTGTCCCAAAAACACACTTAAGGCTTTACTTTAGCAGCATCAGGGTAACCTATCAAAGAGGCGCTGTTAATGGTCAGTTCATTTCAGGAACGCTCGGCTGGAACCATAAAAGTGCTCCGTGGGTATTGTAAGAAACATTTTAAATATTGAAGGATTTTCTTCTTTCATGCAATCCTGATCCTTAATCTTTCTCCCTTGAATCTTTCAAATCGGTCTGTTCTTCTCCCCCCAGGAACAGTCCACAGTGGTGTGATAATAATCTAAGTGGCCAGATGATAGTAGGTAATTTATTAAACTCCACATCCAGTATGTTCATTAACAGAGACTAAGGACGTGAGATGAGAGAAGAGGACCTGCTTGTTTGAAATCATGTTCGAGGGGCTTGCTCCTCTGCCCAAGAGACTGCTGATTTATAGGTTCACCGGGCAATCCTCCACTGCCGCCACCACCAAATGCTTCCCTGGGACTGATTCATTCACAGAGGCCTTGTCCTTTCAAAGATTCCACAATAAACTCATCTGGCCCCTGGAGAGAACCAAGGCCTATAATGAAACCCCTCAAATAGTTCCAGATCATAAAAGGCTCCAAAATCCTATAAACCAAAGATGTCACAGAGCCTACAGAACACTGCTCATGGATTAGCCCCTTGTTTGCTGCTCCTTTCGGTACAGACGCCTGGGAAGGCTTTTCCCACACAAGATCACTCATCTTTTGACAGGTTTAAGCATTCTGTCAACTGTCCATCATGGGTTCTCAAGGAACTTAAAACAAGTATCTTCGTGCCAATAAACCTGAATAATACACAGAGTCCCTTCCTATCCATGGGAAGGAAGCGGAGTTGGCTCATCCAAGTAACCCTATTAGAGGTAAGTTGTTAAAAAAAATTGTCATCATTCCTAATTCTCCCAAATTATTTTGGTCTCTTTGTACTACTTATCTTCATCACATCACATTACATTTAGATGTTGTGAACAATTTGGCAAGAAGCTAAAATTACTGACTAATGTTTCTATCAATTTGTATGATCAATGGCTAGATAATCAGAGTTGGCTCTACAGCTGACATTCAAAAGCACGACTACCAATTTCTGCCCACACAGGCTATCCTTGACATTATTACTGTCTCTCTTATGTAAAACCTGTATAGAAAGAAATTTGTTATATCAAATCCAACTTTAATTCTAGATGAATATTCAGCTCTGGGCCAGGGAGAAGGCATCACTGTACAAACCCCAGAGTCTGCTAACATCCCCAGGCACAGAGCCTATCATTCGTTAAACAAACCATCTCTGGGGAAAATGACAACAGCCTGAATAAGAATATGGTGACCATCTTAAGGACAGCTCCAATTAATGGCAACAGTAGGGACGGTGCTGGCTGCAGAGGGTGGAAGTGCAGGAAGTAGCAATATTTCCTCTCAACAAATATAAATCTCTTGCTTAAAGCAGCATGCACAGAATGACTGAAAACGCTGGCAATATTTTCCCTATATTAAGCTATAAGCCAAGGCAAATTTAAGGAGTCATGAATTATCTTTGGGATTGCACAACAGTACATGTTCAAAACTAACATTTCAAAAGGGTATTTTCCTCATCTGAAATTCCCTCATCTTAATTCTATAGTAGAACAACCCATTGTACATAAATATTTAATCTTTTATACATTTTCGGTTTTAAGATATGATTAAAGAAACAACTTGTTATTGTCGGAAGAGCCAGGGAAGAACAGTAATCCATTAATAGTGGAAACCACATATACCCTGTTTCTTCTCTCTTAGTGAGATACTGTTATTTAGGGAGGGGTAATTGAGAATTAATGTGCAAGTTAAGTGGGAAGATGTCACTCAACTCCTCAAAGTTCATACCAGAATAATGTGAATGCCAGAAGGCTGATTTTCACAATTTAGTGCTATAACTGACAGCATTTGAAATACATGAAGAAAATAATCGAGCCCGTGATGTTACTCAGCCTTCCTACCAGAAAAGAGAGTAAAGCATCCCCACAGGAGTGTCTGTTCTCCTCTTCCAGCCACAGTCACAAGTGTGCTAGCACCTTACCTGGTGAAACATGGGAAGAGGAAAAACACATGAATGCCTGTTGGAGTTATTTATAAGAAACCCAAGCAGAATTTATAAAATATAAATAGAAGAACTCATCACCTAAACTCATGGCCACACTACATTACACTAGCAATAATTATCTTTATAACTGTTGTCAACTGTCTTTTCAAGATGAGACAACTTAGCATCAATCCATCTGGTCATCTTCTCTGTTTGAGTAGTTCATGTCTAATAAGAAGGAGAAATTCTCATAACTGTACAACAAGGTATATGCTGAAAACTGATTACCCTAATAATATTGGCTTCAATATTCTAGACTATAAACGTTTTTCTTCCATCATAATATTTTCCTAATACTTTGTATTTCCATGGCTCTTGAGTTGTTTTTTAGTGCTTTCCACATCCATCTTCCCTCACGTGACCCTCATGACGGCTCTGTGAGGTAGCCAGGGCAGGCATCAGTACCCCACTTTGCAGATGACCCTGAGACTTGGGAAAGTGACTCAGCTAGGGGTCACATGGCTATTAAGAATCGAAAGAGGGACTAGAAACTATCCTAATCCAACACTCTTTCCTCCATACTAATGGATGGGAATTGCTTCTATCAATTTGTGCATTAGCAATCCACATCCTTCTCAAGTTCAGGCAACTGAGTCAATTAAAAAGGTGACTGGAAAGGAATGGCTCTACTTTTACTGCCTCAGTATAAAAGTCTCTTAAGTTGTGGCGTCAGAAAAATTAACTTCTTCCCACTCCAGTCTCTAAACCTGAGCATGGCCCTATAATGCCTTTAAGAAACTGGGGATAGAAATGGACACTGAAGTGTAAAATGGAAGGGAGACGGAAGGAGGAGCCATCATCCCTCAGAGAGCCACATAGAAGGCACTTCAGACAATGTCCTCGGCAGGGTGGTGGAATGCACGTGTGCCCAGGGTGGAGAACTGGTGCCAGTTCCGCAGGAAGCCCCTATTGTACTGGCCTGTGTCCACGATGAGCCCGCAGAGGAGCCGGCGCCCAGTCTTCTGTCGGAGGGCCTGCTGGACTTCCCGCTCAGTCACATTGTAGCTGATGTTGATCAGCTGGATCAGGAAGATGTAGGCCATGCCTGCTGTGATGATCACAGAGTACCACACGCAGGTGAAGGACAGAGCCGAGCTAGGAGAGGGAAAAAGGCTGTCAGGGCTGCCGTTTTTGTCAAATTCAGAAAACTGTCATCATTCTCACGTTTTACACATTTTTTTACTTATTACTAAAGACTTTGGCATCTTCCCCAACCCTCCGAACTGGAAGATACTCAGAATGCCAATAACCTGCTTAAGTAGGAGAATGTGTGTGTTTATTCTATAATTACTGGTGCCTATTTTCTAGTATATTACACTAGAATAGCAGGGACTGTTTTTTGCATTTTGTACCCTCCACACACCCAGCACGCTGCCTGACATAACAGCGTTCAACACCTGTTTGTTAAATAAACAAGTAATTCGTAAATTACATCTAACTCATGAGAAAACAAAGGCACCAAGGGACTGCTATAAATGTCTTCTAGGAAGCTGCAGGTGGATGCCGAGGAACAGTGCTAAAGTTACTAATCTCCATTCTTTCCAGTCCAATGCTGAGGAATGAAAAGACGATGGACGACTCCCAACCCCAGCAGCCCTGTGCTTACCTGGATGTAGGAACACCGAGACATTCCAAATTCACCCTCCTAAAGCCCAACACAATCACACAAGGTAGGGAAGCTCCTCTCAGGCTCACTAATGAGACAGGCTGCCAGTTAGCCTCTGCCATTTGATGATTTTCCAACATTCGCAAATTAAGAGTTAGTTAGAAATAAGTTCATTCAGAATCTTCATTTGTAAAAGCTGAAGGGACCTCAAAGACTATTAAATCCAAGGACCTAACCAAAAAGATGAGGTGCTGTGAATCGCCTGCACAGAGCAGGGTGAGAAGCAATGGCAGGACTGTATTCCTCGGTTCCCTCGCCTCCGCACCGAGAGTGCACAGACATGCTGTGCTTCAGGACGGGCCTCACCTGCAGCGTTAGCAGAGAATTTCATTCACATGCTGGAGATACTCTCCACACAGTGAGGAAGGAAACTTAATCTGAGGAAGACCAATCTATTCTAATAATGCCCACAGGTGTCTGGTTCTAGGATGACAATGGGGAGATCTGTCCACAGGCTAATAAAAACAAATGCCACAAAGGGATACTTTGTAAAGAAAGCAAGGATTGTTCTGAAAATGAAGAGTGAGAATAAAGAAAAGGGCCAAACCACAGATACCCCAGAGCACTTATGTCAGAGAGGATGATGAAGGGAAGGGAATAAAGAGCATGGGCAGAGGGGGGCCCCAGCATTCAGGGAGGGGGCGCTGAGGCCGAAGCGGAAGAATCCCAAATTTTGCCATGGCCTGGAAATCTTCACAATCTATAAAGGGGCCTAAGGAAATTTTGACCTACATATCACAGTAATCATCAGTGGTGATTAAAAAAAGAAAGAAAGTAGAACAGGAAAAACCAAGAGAGGTTAGAAAGAAAAGCAAGGTTATAGAGATGTCGAGCACATCTCAAAAGGGTCGGAAGCAGTAAATTAAGATTGGACTAAAAAACATCAGAAAGCAGCAGTAAAGTGAGAAGGTTTCTGATCGTTATGACAAAATAGGCACATATGTGCCCTGGGGCTGCTAGTTTTTGTTTATTGTTTCTGTTTCACTGTTGCGACTTTTGAGCCTATGAGTGGTCATTTGACTCTGGAAGTCCCTGATTAGGCCTGGTCCTGTTTGTAGAGAACTAGTTCTTCACTTTTTAAAGGTCAACAATCCTTTTAACAGCACCCTTGAAAAACACACATCACCAATGCACAATTTTGCTGGCAATTCCAGGGATACCCAGCATTTCCATAGCCTGGCCTATGTTTTGATTGAGAACTCCTAACCAAGTAGTAATAGTCCCTGTCAATGGCAACACCCATTACTTCCCAGGGGGCCTCCATACTGTGGTACCCACTGCTCACCTGTAATTTGCATAAACTCCAGGACAATAGAAAAGAGCTGTGAAGACACTTCTGTCTCTACAAATGGTGTCCAAGGTCAGTGTGATCCCATACACCGAGGTGAGCAAGAAGATCAAAAGGGCAAGTATAAATGCTTGATGATTTGATTCTCCAACGCAGCTATTTATCCTCAAAACAGCATAGAGAAATAAAAAAGCAAACACATTTTTAAGAGTTCTTGATATAACTTACATAATAAACATGAAAGCTTTATTTTTTTTGAGACGGAGTCTTGCTCTGTAGTTCAGGCTAAAGTGCAATGGCGCGATCTTGGCTCACTGCAACCTCTGCCTCCCGGGTCCCGGTTAAGCAATTCTCCTGCCTCAGCCTCTCAAGTAGCTGGGATTACAGGCACATGCCACCATGCCCAGCTAATTTGTGTATTTTGAGTAGAGATGGGGTTTCACCATGTTGGCCAGGCTGGTCTTGAACTCCTGACCTCATGATCCACCCACCTCAGCCTCCCAAAGTGTTGGGATTACAGGCATGAGCCACTGCGCCCAGCCAAGACAAGGTTTTAAATAGGGAAAATGTAAATTCCAGTTATTAAGAAGTTCTCTTATTTTTCAATTTTAGGGAATTAAAAACTTGCACCCTGAGGAATGCAGTCTTATATTCTCTACTCTTCGCAAAGTGGAATCATATCGTCAGTTTAAGGACAAGACTAAGTATAAAAAGCAGAACCTGGCTAACAAATCTTCCTAAATATCAATATTACCCAGCTATGGAGATCTAACATTGTCCTCACCATGTTAAGGAAAGGGAGATAAATAGAATTATGAAAACTTAAAAATGCTAAATCAGAAGTATTACATAGTATGGGAAAATTCATGTTAAATATATGAAGAGTAATATAAAGATCCAAAGAGGTTAGAAACATAGCGTAGGGGGAAGAACAACTTGATAACATGCAGGCTCTTTGGCAGGTAAAAACAGTTCTGTGTCATGGCCATTTGTGGGGCAGAATGTAGAGGGAGTGCCTTCTACCCACTGCATGCCAGGATGCTCCAGTGGGCACATATCTGCTGTTAGGTGAGCCTTCTGCAAACCAGCATTTGTAAATGGAACACACACGCACACACACACACACACACACACACACACACACGAATAAGTGAAGACACAGAAGTAGAACATCTAAAAATGAAAACACCTGTTTACTTCTAAAGACAAGGACCCAGAAAAGAGCTGCCCTGCACTTGAGCCATGCACTTGAGGCCCACGCCAATGCCTCTCAGCCTTTTCTGCACCCTCACCCTCTCCTGCATCCCCTTCTGAGGAGGAGGTACGCTACAGGACCAGAATCCTAGACACGAAAAGCATTAATTCATTGATCACGACTGCCTGAAGAGCAATAAACTGCAAACATGCTACTTACAGCATTCATATCTGAATTAATTATAGTCCCTTTAGTTTAGATGTATTTAGTGAAGCTGCAACATTATCTTTAAACATTGCACTTCATATTTTACGGAGCCTTATGTACCTTCGTTTGTTACTGGCCAACTGGCAGGTACAAAAGCCCATTTCTCTGCAAATAATCAAATAGAGAGTTTATCTGGTGGGACCTCGATTCAATAATGTTAAGTGGAAATCATCGGTAGCATCAAAAACGATTAAGTATGTATGGCAAGGGGACAAAAGAGTCACCTAAAAATAGGGGTACACTTTCTTGAGCTTTATGTTTAAAAAGGAATAGCACAGGGAAATATGCTTATACTGTTTCTGATCAATTCTTTTTTTAAAAAATCATTCAACTGTAGATATTTCTCTATTAGAAAGGAAAAGATAAATGAGGAGTCATTCAAAAGAAAATTGAGAAAAAAAAAACCCCACAAGTTTTCTGTTATTCTCCTTCAGGAAATGACTGAAGGAACTAAATTTGTGAAACTCGAAAAACTGATGACTAAGTGGGAACATCACAACAACCCACAAATATCTACAAGGTGTAAAGCTGGGAAGGAGAGAAATTTTGGGATAGCACAAGGGAAGATAAAATGTAACTAGAGTTTTACATGAATTTACACTTTCCAAGTCTCCAAATGTTTCCAACATACCAGACACAATGATGATCCATTCTCCTCACACAGATGCCACATATCCGGCAGTGCCATGCCCGGGCTGGTCGCACCAGCTGGCACTTGGCACACCAGTCCTCCTTCGCTTTGGTGGGGCTTCCAGCTGGCATCTTGGAAGAGCCCTTGGGGTCATCCTTTGTTGTGCGATTGTTGAGACTGCCCGACATGTCTGCCCCAGGGAACCCTTTGGTCTTCTCCTGCCCTTTTCTGCTCAGGCACTCCAGCTGGCTGCTGCTTAGAGATCTGTCACCGCTTGCTGGATTGCTGAGGTAGCCTGGATTCTTCTTGGCTCTGTGCAAGGCTAAGAGTATCAGAAATAACCCGCAGGTAAGAACCGCCAGCTGAACGGGACCCACACGCCCTTTGGGGACCACTTCCTGCAGGAACACATAGTACATGTAGCCCAGAGAGAACAGTCCAAGGCTCAGGAAAAACAGGGTCTGTTCTTTCCTTCTGTGAGTGAGGTAGTAGTACCACAGTGCCAGCACAGGAAGGGAGGTCAAAACCACCACCCCCAGGAGGAAATGCCAGGAAGCCACATGAAGGAAGACAGGCAGCAGGACAAGCGGAGGGATGATGCTGATGTTCACTTTTTTGGCTCCCCTAAGCCAAGGAATTCGGAGGCGATCAGAAATTGTATCCATGATTCTTTCACAAGTCTCTGGCTGTAAAGATTTACATGTAATCCATCTATTCAGAAAAAGCACAAAGAGGAGGGACTTCATGTGGGTTTGTTGAATTAAAAGCTACAGAACACTGAATGCCAAACAGTGGGATAAACGATAAAAGCTACCAAAGACCAAGCATTTTACTTCCTTACTACTAAATTAAGCTTTTCAGATTCACATGTCATTTTTTAAAATAGGAACAAGATGTTTAAAAACTTAAAGTCAAGATTATTTCTCCCCTAAACAAATACATAGGTACAGACACATGCTGCAAGTAATGTTTACATCTTATGACCTGTACGGTCATAAGAATCTCAAAACAAATCACAATCTAGTTATGAGGACAACATGGGAATTTAAGAACTATTAGGTAAGTGACAAAGCAGCAATAATCAATAAACTCTTGTGATCAAACATTATAAGGAGTGCTCAGACTAGCATCAATACTTCTGGGTGGAGTCTTCAGAGGGGTCTTTGTGGAAAAGGTGGGATCTGTGCTCAACCTTGATGTCCAGCTAGCATGTGTATGAATAGAGAGGGAGTAAGGAAGGCCTTCCAGTGGAAAGAAATGTGTGCAGCACATACCTGGCATGAGCCCAGGGAGTAGACTAGTCCCACAGGGACAGGGCTACATAGAGAAGAATGGAGATCAAACTAGTATGAGTCAAATCACTGAACTTGGTGAATGGAATGATATTGGTTGACTGTTTTGCACACTTAGGCTATGCTATGTTCTAAATGTTTATGCCCCCAAAATTCATATGCTGAAACCCAATCCCCAATGCAAGAGTATTAAGAGACGGGGCCTCTAGGAGGGTATTAGGTCATGAGAGCAGAGCCCTGATGAGTGGAATTAATGCCTCTAAAAAAGAGATCCAAGGGAGCCTGTTTGCTCCTTCCACCATGTGAGGACACAGCAAGAAGGTGCTGTCTATGAAGCTGAGGAGACCTCACCAGACACTGAATCTGCTGCTGCCTTGATCTTGGACTTCACAGCCTCCAGAACTGTGAGCAATAAATATCTGTTGTTTATAAATTACCCAGCCTAAGTTATTTTGTTACAGCAGCCTGAACAGACTAGGACAGAAATTGGTACTAAGAAGTAGGATGTTGCTACAACAGATATCTAAAAATGTGGATGCAGCTGTGGAACCGGGTAACGGGTAGAGGTTAGAAGAGTGTGGAAGTGCATGCTGGGAAAAATCCTAGACTATCTGAACAAACTGTCAAGGGTGATTCTGGCAGAAGAGGAGAGCTGCAGAGAAAGCCTCAATCTTCGAGAATCCCTAAGAGGTAATGAACAGAAGGCTCGCAGAAATATGGACAGTAAAAGCCATTCTCATAAGATCTCAGATGGAAGTGACAAACATGTTATTGGAAATTAGAAGAAAGGTGATCCTGGACACTTATAAAAAGAACTCAGTGGAATTGTGTTTGTGTCCTACTGTTTGGTAGAAAGTAGAACTCAAGAGTGATTAAACTGAATATTTGGCAGTAGAAATCTCTAAGCAAAGTGTTCAGGGTGCTGCATGGCTTCTCATAAATGCTTAGGGTAAAATGCAGGAGAGAAATTTTTTTTTTTTTGAGACAGAGTTTTGCTCTTGTTGCCCAGGCTGGAGTGCAATGGCGCGATCTCAGCTCACCGCAACCTCCACCTCCTGAGTTCAAGCGATTCTCCTACTTCAGCCTCCTGAGTAGCTGGGATTACAGGCATGCGCCACCACGCCTGGCTAATTTTGTATTTTTAGTAGAGACGGGGTTTCTCCATGTCGTTCAGGCTGGTCTTGAACTCCTGACCTCAGGTGATCTGCCCACCTGGGCTTCCCAAAGTGCTGGGATTACAGGTGTGAGTCACCGCGCCCAGCCAAAGAGAAATAATTTAAAGACAAAACTCATAATCAAAAGGGGAGTAAAACAAAGATTTGGAAAATTCTCAGCCTGTCTATATTGTAACAAATGAGAAAGCATGTTTGGGAGAGAACAGCAAGGATGTAGATGAGATCAGTATGGATTAGCCCCGTGCCAGTCATCAAGACAATGGAAGGACCCTGAAGGCATTCGGAGATCCTTGGGGCTGCTGCTCCCACCACAAACCTGAAGTGCCAGGGCTTTGAGGGCAGACAGTTTCATAAGAGGGCCCAGGGCACCCATGGGGCTTCAGGGTGTACTGCTGAGTGCCATCTGAAGTCTCTGCTCCCTACATTCTGGTGCACCCTCCATGGCAGCTCCAGGTGTGGCTCCACTGGGCCTAGGTATGCCATAGAGGCCACCCCTCTGAAGGGCATAGGTGGTAAATCTTGGTGGCATCCACAGGGTGCCAATGCTGCAGGCATCCAGAGTGTAGGAGCTGTAGAGGCCTGGCTGCCTCCACCTAGACTTCAAAGGATGCCCTGGAGAGCCTCGGGACCGAGGCAGAGGACTGCCACAGGGGTGGGGCCACCACAGAGAGCCCCCACTAGGGCACTGCCCAGTGGAGCTGTCATTGTGGTGGGGCCACTACAGAGAGACCCCACTGAGGCAATGCCTGCTTGGAGCTGTGGGGACAGGGTCACCCCCAAGAGCCCCGTAGAGCCACAAGCATACAACTCCAGCCTGGGAGAGCTGGAGGCACCTGTAGGAACTCCAACCCATGAGAGCTGCAGTGTGGGCTGTGCGCAACAAAGCTGTGGTGGCGGGGACACCCAGAGCCTTGGGGGCCCAACCGCCAACCCAGTGTGTCCAGAAGGCAGGACATCAAGTCCAAGATTATTCTCAAGCCTTATTAAGGCTTAACATTGTTTGCCCCACTGGGTTAGGACCTGTCAGTAACACTCCTTTCTTCCTGTTGTTCCCTTTTGGAATGGGAATGTCTATTCTATGCATGTCCTACCATCGTATTGTGGAAGCACCTAACTTGTTTGATTTCACAGGCTCACATGTGGAGGAGAACTTGTCTCAGGATGAATCGTATCTTGAAACTCATCCATATCTGATTTGGATGATGATATTCAGACCAGACTCTGGACTTAGACTTCTGAATTGACACTGGGATGAGCTAAGACTTTTGGGGCTATTAGGATGAAATCAGTGTATTTTGCATGTGAGAAGGACATAAATTTTAGGGAGCCAGGAAGTATCTGTGTCCCTCCAAAGTTCATTATGTTGAAACCTCATTCCCAATGCAATAGTATTCAGAGGTGAGACCTTAAGGAGGTGATTAGGTCATGAAGGCACAGCCCTCATGAATGAGACTTGTGCCCTTATAATAGAGCCCTATGAGCTTATTCACCCCTTCTGCCATGTCATGACACACCAAGAAGGTGTCATCTATGAGGAAAAGGGCCCTCACCAGACACTGAATCTGCCAGTGCCTTGATCTTGGATTTCTGAGCCTCTAGAACTGTGAGCAATAGATGTATATTGTTTACAAATTACCCAGTCTCAGGTATTTATTTTATCATAGCAGCCTGAACAAATTAAGACAGGCTAGTAAGAAAAGGTAGAGTTTAAGGAAAGGTAACTTTGATTTTAGACAATTTTTAAAGGTAAGACTAGAACTTAGAGATAACTAATTGGGAATCATACAGAGCAGCAGGCACGGTGGAAACACAGAGGAGAGGGGTACAGAGAGAGCAGAGGAGATGCCTCAGGGGACAGCCAAGGTCTCCAGGGCTAGGAGGGAGGAAGAGTTAGCAAGGTTAATGGAAGAGCTGCGGTCTTGAGTGATGGTGGTTATGGAAACAGCATCATTTCTCCATTCATTAGTGCAAAGTGCTCTATTTTCTCAGTATAGATTTCAGACTAAATCTAAAGAACCTATATTCAAAGACATCCATAAAAAAGACTACACAGTACACTGTCAAGTAAGAACGACAAAGGGTTCACTGGGTTTTTAATAGTCAAGGCTGGTACTAGACTGCAGACCCCAGGGAATGCTTTTCATGGCTGTATTAATGTATCAAGTTCTAAGTCAACAAATTGGCAGTTGCAATGACTTTTTTAACCAGAAATAATTATTAATGGGAAAAGCAAGTTTCCAACATCCCTATCCTTCCCACATTATGACTTCCATTGACAGTGATTTTTAAATATATAATTACTCAGAAAATGGATTAAAACCAGATTATTCACTGTCCGACACCAAATTTTTTCAGTGATGTTAAAAATTCTCTTTTTGGATAGTAATTTCCATCACTTGGAAAATAAAAGCCAAATACAGTATGATCAATCAAGAGTGTTGCTGGTCGCACTGAAAACTGTGAATCCAGGGGAGATACATGCCTTCTGGCTGGAGTTCCTCCCCAGAAACAAGGGGCAAGACCAGTACTAACAGCAGGAAAATGAAATTTCAACCCACAAGGCCCTCTGTGGTCAGGTGCCACCCAGTCCCAAGTAGTCAGTCTCTAAATGCTGAGACCTCTGAGAAGGCAGGAACTTTCTGGAACTATTGTGTTCATTTTAAACTTACAGATTCTGCTGGCTTGCATTTTATTTTATACTAACTTGCCTACTATCCCTTTAAACTGCCTGTTCTCTCCCTCATCTCTCTTTAAACGAAAAATAATATCCTATAAAACAGAGCAGACAGACAGCTGTGCACTACTGCGTAATCCATCTTTCTAAAATCCTCACACTTGACACAGAAGCCAACTCTCATTTTAGATGCTTGGAAATAGAATCAAGAGCAAATTCTAGCATTCTGGGTGGCTAGGTTGAAAGTACACATGGCAGTTCTCAGAAGGGTGATGGGGCCAGCGTCAAGAAATGCTCTGTTCTTACCGATCACACCCTTCATCCAGATCTTGACAATCACACAAACAAGTAGCCACGTGGTTCTTTTCCCCATTCCGATCTATGTACTCGCAGCAGCACAGGGGCTCCAATTCAGGTTCTTCGGTTTTCTTTTTCTTCACAGGCTTCATACTGCCCTTCTGTGTCATGATTTGCACCTGTCACCATGAGGCGTAAGAAGCCCTCAGAAGGTAAAGGTGGAAAGAACACAACTTACATCTCGTAAATAGGTCCACGCCTCTCTCTCTCTGCTTAACCTCCAACGCCTGAGCAATCAAAAATGAGAAGAGAGAGGGGGAGGGGGTCCCGTTTTCATCAGGCTTCTGTGGCTCCGCCTGGCCACACAGGGGGCTCCAGGGTTCTTGGAGGTCTGAGCTGCCTTCACCGCCCCTTCCCAGCCTGGGCAGGCGCCGTCTGGGCACCAGCCGTTCCTATGGCGACAGCCGACCACGCGTCCGGGACAGCCGGGGCGCGGGCGGTTGCGCTCACCTGCGGGTGCAGGCTGGGAGGGCCGAGCGGTCTCCGCTCCAAGCCTGGGCGCTGGTGGGAACTCAGCCTCGGGGCTATAGGGAAAGGCGAAGCATATGCCCGCTAGCAGCGGCTGACACACCAGGCTCCCTGGCAGTGCTCAGGGGTCGCGGTCCAGCCCAACTGGTCGGGCCCCTTGCAGGGTGCGCCTCTCCCGCCCCCGCCAATCCGGAGGACGTGGGCGGGCCTCGCGCACCACCCCGCCAGGAGAATGACCTTGGAAGGGAAGTTACCTGCCCTCTGGCCGGAGGTGCAACTGCAGCCAAAGAGGCGGAGGGGAGATGGGTCGGCTTCCCCGGAGGCACAGACGCGTCTCCCGATCTCTGCTACGCGGAGCCCCGGGCGTGACGGCAGGAGTCTCCGGGACCCGGGCTCCGCTCGGCCGCTCCCTCGCCGCAGCCGCCCACCTGTGACCACAGCCCGCCGCGGCCCGGGCGGCGCGCCCGCCTCCCCGCGCCGTCCCAACCGCCCCTCCGCCCGCCCGGCTCGGTGCGCCAGGTCCACGCGCGCTTCCGGGTGCCCCGCCCCCGGCGCCGGGGTTCCCCGCCTGTCCGCACGTGCGCCGCCCGCCTCCCCGCGGTGCCCGCGGGCGAGGCTCCTCCTCCTGGCCCGCGGCCCTGGCGCCGGGAAGGGGAAAATCGGCTCCCGAGAGCGCGTCCAGGAGGCAGGGGCAGGAGGTGGGTCCCGCACCTCCGGCCTGCCCCGCCACGCCACGCCCCGCCCCGCCCCAGAGGCGGCAGCCGGGCGCCGCCGGTGCCTGCGGGCGGCGCGCCGGTGGGACAGCCTCCGGAGCCCCGGGGTGCGGACGAGGTGCGGAGACGGAAATACGGGAAACCCGGGAACCCGGAGGATTTCCGAACTACGTGAGACCGTGGAGCCGCCAGCCTTCATTCAGACTCCGGCAACAGGCGGTGAGGGAGCTTTCCACCGCAAAATGTTATCCAAGTACCTCCCCCAGTTTCGCTGACCTTCTCTTAAAGGCCCATCACTGCTGCCGGATCTGTTCATTTAGCAACCTGTTCGTTTCATGATTTCTGGCTAGCAGCCTTTACATTGGACCAGCAGGCCTCGCTAGTACTTTTGTTCCAGTCGTCTGTGTATTTGAGATGAAACTGCCCTGAGATGAGAGTCCTTTTTGGGTTTTATTATTGCACAAAATTTCTTTAAAGAGTGTGGGCCCATGTACACGTTTCACTACCGCAGGCTTTCTAGTTTTGTTTTTAAGTAGAAAAAGAAGAAAAACTACAACTCAGAAATTTTCAATTTTATTAATATTCAATTTACGTAACAGGCTCAAATTTTATTAATTGAATTCTGCATCCATACGAATTTAGTCTTAATTTATAAAGCAACTTACTTCGATACTCTTCCTTGAAGTATGTTATAAAATACAACGTTTAAATAAACATCACAAAAATATTGTTTGTCGATCATTTTTGTGACTTTAACAGAGAAATCTTCAAGTTTATAATCCACTCATTCTTGCTTACAGCCAGACACTACATAAATCCTTACCAAAACAAAACAAACCCAGGTAGGTTCACTGTTACCCCTAGGTATGCTTCGTTGGAATTCACCCAGAGAAACCCATTTTCCCTCTAACGGAGTCAATACTTTCATTCTCTACAGGCATCTCAAAAATGACTATAATAATGCCATGTGGCTTTGGGGACTCTGGAGAAAAATGAAACATTTAATTAAAGGCAATAGTTGTTCAAACAGTAAGAATGTATACACAGTTTATATATAGATAGATAGATGGATATGTATTTTTTCCCCAGAGAAAGGGCTCAAGAGACAAAACAGTAAAACACTTCAACTTTCCCTAACTCTTGAAAAAATATCTGATTTTAAGTCAGTTTACAAAGTTCTTATTTTAATGAGCCACTTGTATGGAGACACATATGCATAAAAACTTTTTATGAAAGAGCCAAAGCTTGCATCTGAGTTAAAACTTGATAGTCAGTACACTTGTACTGGGACATACGTGCCCCTGAAGTTTTTATTAAAGAGCTAAAATCTATGTCTGGCTTATAACTTACCAATCAAAACAAGTCACACACATACATAAAGAAGGAAGCCATACATGGTTACTGAAAATACACAAATTATTTTCAACCAGATGTGTCACTTCCACCATGAAAGACTGCTAAGCTGAAGCCAATCTTAGTTCAAGTATGCATTTGATCTGTCACTAAATGCCCAGATTTTAACATAACCTTCTGGTTTTTAAAACTCAGAGGATGGTTCTTCCTTTTGACTGTTGGTATTCTAAGTGAGGAGGCAAGATAATCCCACCTCTGATAGTTACCTTAAGAAAAAACAACTATTTCTTTCATAAAGATACAGCATGGCAGAAGACCCTTTCTGATAATCATCATCAACATGCAGATTCAAAAAGTTTGACTATTAAATTTGCATGCTAAATAAATGAAGACATTATAATCTTTACAGTACACAAACCTGGAAATGTTATATGCCTGAAAACAGAACCTTTAAAATCAGTAATGACATAGAGGTTTCTTCTTATATTGTCCTGTTTATCCTCTTGGTCTTATCTCAGTTACAAAAGCGACCTATTGGACATGTACGGATTCTGTGCTAACAAAGCATCAGACTTCACTGTAGAAATGAGACCATACCACTCAATTCAGGGTGTGTCATTTTCTTTTTGTATCAGAGAAATTCAGTTCTATAATATATTTCATGGTTCACTGAAGAAATTCACAGCTTAAAAATATCTATAAGAAGTGAAAGGATGGATTATTAAGGCCAGCAGAAACTAATTATCAAATAAATGTTACTGAAAGAAATGTTCATATTAGAAATCTCAATAATGAAAAAACATAGAAATGTTCTATGCCAAAATCCTTCATTCGTCTGGTTTTCTTCCAGGTATTTTCTTTAAGTTCCAAGTATCTCTGCGGTTTTAGTCCTTCAGATCACTAGCTTTCAACAGCCATGCCAGTCTTATTCTTATTTAGTAGATCAAACGTTTTCTGAAGCATAATGAGTGAGCTCTTCAGCTGTAAACAAAGTTAATTTTCAAAATCAGATTAATTTTTCTAATCAGATTTGAAAATTTCTGTTTTTTATGCCCAAAATTTACAGTGACACTTAATATAGTTTTGTTTATACTGATGCCCAAATAAAACGTTAAATACAAAATACCTGATTCTTTGGGGTATCTATCAGTATGATTGCTACAGAGTTCTTCCCATTTGCTGGAGTATTGTACTTCTTCCTACTGCTACATAGTCTACCTCCCAATAGGTCCATTAATCAAATTAAGCGTAGTGACAGACTCGTTTTCCTAAAAGATTTCTGAAGTTGCAGTGGTCTCCTCACTATCCCCTAAACAACTCAAGTTTGCTTCAGTGCCTTTGCATGCTCTCATCCTCATGTTCTTCACCTAAAACTTACTCATATTCACACTCTTCATGTAGTTTTCCCCAGTCATTCTGCCTATAAACTCCCAAAGCATTATCCTTACTACTTAACACTTTGACACTGAATTTTGTAATCTTTGTCATTAACAATACACCTGGACATCTCATTTCTCTAAGAAAATTGTGTGCAACTCAAGAGCAGGAATTATGTCTTACTCTTTTTTTGTATTCATTCAACAAATATTTGTTGCTTGCCTATCACATGTTGGGCAGTGTTCTAAGCACTGGATATACAATGGAGAACCAAATAGGCACTGTCCTGTCCTTCATGGAGCTTACAGACTAGTCAGGGATCCAGAACTATTAATAAAACAAATAATCACATACATAAATATATACTTAGATATTTTATTAAGTTTTTGACTTGAGCAGCTGGTGGATGGTAGCATCATTTTCTGAAATGAGACCCACTAGAGAATTAGGTTTTGGATTAGAGGAAAATTGACTTCTGTTTTGGACATAATCAGTTTGGGAATCCTGTTAGTCATCCAGGTGAAGATGCCAAGTAGGCAAGTGACTGTATGAGTCTAGAGCTCAGGTCGAGGTGAGAGATACGGACTTGGGAGTTGCTGCTATCTGAACATTTGTGTCCCCTTCAAAATTCACGTTCAAACTGAATCCCCAATGCAACAGCATGAAGAGACGTGGCCTCTGGGAGGTGATTAGGTCATGACGGCTCCTATGAATGGATTAGTGCTCTTATAAAAGAGCTTCAGGGAACTAAATAGTCCCCTTTTTTGTCCTTCAGTCCCTTCTGCCAGGTGGACACCAAACATGCCAGAACCTTAATCTTGGACTCCTCAGCCTCAGAACTGTGAGCAATAAATTTCTGTTCTTTATAAATTACCCAGTCTCCAGGATTTTGTTATAGTAGCACAAATGGACTAAGACAGGAGTCATTGGAACGTGTGGTTATTTAAAGTTAGGGGTGTGAATAAGATCACCTAAAGGGAGAGTAATAGAGAAGGAAAGAGAATCTAACACAGAGCCCTGGAGCATTTGGGCCAGGAGGAAGTCAGGCAGAGGAGATATTTTTATTTTTTATTTATTTTTATTTTTTGGAGACGGAGTCTCGCTCTTTCACCCAGGCTGGAGTGCAGTAGCATGATCTCAGCTCACTGCAACCTCCGCCTCCTGGGTTCAAACAATTCTCCTGCCTCAGCCTCCCGAGTAGCTGGGACTACAGGCGCCTGCTACCACCCCTGGCTAATTTTTTGTATTTTAGTAGAGACGGGGTTTCGCCAAGTTGCCCAGGCTGGTCTCAAACTTCTGAGCTCAGGCAATCTGCCTGCCTTGGCCTCCCAAAGTGCTAGGATTACAGGTGTGAGCCACTGTGCCCAGCCAAGGAGATGTTTTTAACTAGCAAAAATTAGTTTTACATTTTTCTAAGTGAAAGAAGCCAATCTCAAAAGACCACGTATTGTATTATTCCATGTATATAACATGTCCAGAATAGGCACACCCATAGTAATGGAAATTAGATTAGTGGGTGCCAGGGGTCAGGGGGAGTGAGGGATGGGAATTAACTACTAATGTGTACAGATTTTCTTGTGGGGTTATGAAAATGCTCTGGAATTAGATAGTGATGATGGTTGCACAACCTTGTGAATAAAAACTTTTATTGTATGTAAATTACATCACAAAAAGATTTTTTTATGGTTTTAAAGAAAGCAAGATTAGATACATTAGATACATTTCAAGAAAGAAGTGTTTAGCTCTGTCAAATGCTGACACTGTAGGATGAAGACTGAAAAAAGGTACATTCTTTTTACAAGCCAGATGTCACTGGGGACCTTGGCTCAAGCAATATTAGTTGGGGAAACCATGCGGGAAGAACATCAGGCAGGAGTGAGCTGAAGAGTGAATGAGTGGAATAAATACACACATCCAACTTTGCTCCCTCAAACTCTACTAATAAAGAGATTTTTTAGAAGGCATAAAGCTATAAGGGCAAGGAAAATGGAAAAGGAGACAACAGTAATGCAACTTTGGAAACTGGAAAGCAGATGGATGACTCAGCAGGCCTGGAAAAGCTGAATTCTAAAGTAAAAGTAATGCTGAGAACCAACAAAATTAACCCTAAAGAATCCTCAAAAGGCTCAGGTGTTAATGACCAGGAAGCTCTGGAAGTGAGAATAAAGAGGAAGAGCCAAAGGAAGGATTGCATGAAACTTTCGGCATCTGACCTTTCCTACTACCTAGGCAGAAGTCTGGAATTTTATTTTCCGTGCAGGATAAAACAGAGGGTCTCTGGCTGCCTGGCTTGAGGGACACCAAGGCATTGTTAAGGATAGCAGTACATACCAGAAACAAGGGTAATACAGGAAAATGTATGTACTGAATCCTGGGACCATCCTTTCTGCCTTTCCTTCCCCTATCCCTCTTCCGCTCAGCTCCTAAAACGCTGCAGCCAGCCCTAAATCCACCAGGTTGGAGACTGGAGGAGTCTTCTCTGTGGACACTGACCCAAAGGTGCTGATAACCAGGATTTCTCAGCCAAGAGCCCAGCCAGATCTACAGAGAAGTTTGGGGTACACCAGCCCAATCCATATGTAAAGAGCTTCAGATCCACACAAGAAGATAAGCAAGGGCTACCAAACACTAAAGAAATTCTCTAACCTTAAAGATAGAAATTAAAACGAGGGTGAAGATCTTGATGCAAAATGAGTATGCCAGAAGAAGATTTAAAAAATGTTAACTATCAGTAATATCTTCAGAGAGATAAAGATATGGTAGCCATTAAAAAAAAAAAAAAAATTGCAGCTGGGAGCAGTGGCTCATGCCTGCAATCCCAACACTTTGGGAGGCCAAGGCAGGTAGATCTGCTGAGCCCAGGAGTTTGAGACCAGCCTGGGCAACATGGCAAAACCTTGTCTCTACAAAAACTGCAAAAATTAGCTGGGCATGGTGGCTCACACCTGAAGTTCCAGCTACGGGAGGGTGAGGTGGGAGGTTTGCTTGAGCCCAGGAGGTCAAGGCTGCAGTGAGCCGTGTTCATGCCACTGCACTCCAGTTGGGTGACAGAGTAAGACTCTTGTCTCAAAAAAAAAAAAGATGGCCGGGCACGGTGGCTCATGCCTTTAATCCCAACACTTTGGGAGGCCGAGGTGAGAGGATCACCTGAGGTCGAGAGCTCAAGACCAGCCTGGCCAACATGGCGAAACCCTGTCTCTACTAAAAATACAAAAATTAACCAGGCATGGTGGCACGCGCCTGTAATCCCAGCTACTCAGGAGGCTGAGGCAGGAGAATCACTTGAACCTGGGAGGCAGAGGTTGTGGTGAGCTGAGATTGTGCCACTGCACTCCAGACTGGGTGACAGAGTGAGATTCCATCTCAAAAAAAAAAAAAAAATTGCAACACCACAAAGAAAAGAAATCATTCAGAAAAATGATAGCTCTTTGAAACTGAAAATTTGTTAGCGAAAACTGAAAAACTCAATGGAAGAATTTGAAGATAAAATTGATAAAATATCCCAGAAACAGACCAAAAAGACTAAGAGATGGAAAGAAAAGGTAAGAATATTACATAACCCATCCAACAGAAGGCTGACATCTGAATAACAGGAGTTGTAGAAGGTCAGGAGAGAGAAAATGAGGGAAGGAAATAATCAACTATATGACTCAAGAAAAATTCCAGAATTATAGGCATGAGTTTCCAGATTAAAGAATCAAGAGTGATAATAGCCTCAGAATTCTCAATAGCAATACTGGAACCAAAAGATAATGGAGCAATGCCTTCAAAGTTCTCATCAAACCATTTATAAGCAAGAGAAAAAGTAGAATGAAAAATTTTCAGTTAGGTGAACTCTTAAAATATTTACCTCCAAATTCTCTTCTCAGGAAGCTACTGTTGGATGTGCTCCATTAAAAGGAGGAAGTAAACTAAGAAAGGAAAACACAGGATATAGGAAACAGAAGACACACACAGACAATAGGAACCCCAGAATGATAGCTGTGCACCCGGCATAGAGGGCCACTGGACCTGACTGGAGCCATCAGAAGACCTCATCAATGGAGTACCTACGTGAATAAAGATTCTGAGAGATTTATAAACAGAAAATTAGGGGATTAAATGTCTGCAAATATTAAATGTCTGTAAAGATAATTGGCAATAGTGGTAAAAATACTAGTAAGATAATTATGGTACATTTATACAGTTGAATCTTATGCAGCTGTTAAGGGGGTTTGCTTTATATACTGAGATGGAAGTATCTCCAAGATATATGGTTAATAGATAAAAGTAAAATAATGGACAGTGTATGTAATAGCTACCATTCCTGTAAAAAGAGCTTAATATTATGCATCGAATTTTATTTAGAAAGATCAATAAAAATGAAGTAGATGTATACACACTGATATGGAAACATCTTCAGAATATATTACTAATTGAAAAAAGATATACAACAGTGTATATTGTATACTCCCATTTTGTAAATAAATAAATAAACAAAAGTGACTACATAATAAATGTAATACCCTTGCATACTAGAGACTGGCAGGGGTAGTTGGCTCTAGCAGGGGGATTTTTTCAAACGATAGTAGGGTAAATATTCTCTCATACACAGAAGAGCAACTAATTCATACTGGGACAAAGATACTAAGTACTGTGATGTATCGAGTTGCCTACCTGTTCAAGCATCACTATGGAGTCTCGGAGCACTCCCTTTAAACGATGGGCCTGATCTTTATTCTTCTGAATAGTTTCTGCTCTTGACACCATATCAGAGGCTAAACTGAAAGAAAAATGCCATCTTCAAAATCTGGAGAATAGCTTCTGATCTTTTTTTCATTTCCAGAAATCATCAGAGCCCCATAAATTTGCAAACAAAACACAAAATTAAACAAACAAAAACAGGCTGTTTATGGCTACAGGATAGTTAGCAGACCACAGTCTCTGAAACTGAAATTAAGTTTTCTGCAACTGAAGAATTACTGAAATAATATGGTGAATACAGGTCAGGGGGAAAAAGACTTACTTTAAAGATTTCTCTTCTTGGAGGCGGAGACGGTAAAAGGACTGAGCAGCATGTTCTATCTTTGACAGCTTCAGAAACAGTGTCACATTCAACAAAACTAATAACAACACACTAGGCAGAGCAAATTATATGTTAATCCACACTTTTCCAGACCTAAAGCATTGCTAATGCAGAATATACATGCAAAAGCTTCAAAAATGTGTATTGTCTACACTGTTTTTCATTGTTGTTATTATTTAAATCAATTATCCCTATTTTATTATATGAAATAATTACTTGTAAGTATTAAGTGGAGGTTGAGGAAAAGATGGAAGGTAATTAGAGTGACAATACAAGTCCTTGAATAATCCGAACTCACAGGTTTGGGGTATCTGTGACATCTCTCCCCTCTGCTAGGAATACTAGTCAGTGTTGATGTGAGACCACCAGCTTTGAAATCTACCAGATAAGCTTTTAGGATCTATTTTTGGGTGCCTTTGGCTTAGGCAATTATACGCTCATAATGCTGCCTTTCAGAAAAGGAAATGAAGATCAATATGTAGCTGATCTCAGGTAGAGCATGATGTACCTCTTACTCCCAGTGGAAGTCAGAAAAAAAAAAAAATTACCATTCAGCAAAAATTATTCTAGTTCATCTTGCACAAAGGAAGTATCAAGTCCCAAATATACATTAATGGTGTCATATATAAAATGTTACATGCTAAATGAACTTAATGTATTGGTTTTCACAGCAGCCTTTCAAGTGAATGGTTACATACCATATATATATATATGCAAATATACAGGTGGCATCATATCTGTCTACTTTTTCTATTAAAATATTAACTTGCCCTTATTCACTTTTACCCATCAAGAAGATTTATTTTTAAAAACTTAAGATAGTAGCAAGAAAATCCAATCTTTGAAGTTATTATGGCATTGAAATGGTATACAGATTAATATTCCAACTTTTGAGTAAACATTTTCTGTAAAGTAATGCAAAAGAACACTGATAATATTTGCTATTCAGAACTGTCGTAGAAAACTGATTTAAGCAGAACATAAAAATCTTCCATAAAGCCCAAAGGAACAACAAACATCTTCTATGTTCTGAAATCTATAATTAGACAAAAAAAAGCTAATATTGAAGCTCCAATCCAAAAATTATCACCTTCAATATATCACTAAGTCAGAACCAATTCAATTAAATCTAACATAGTGCCTCAAGATTCATATAGAGGCATATAGATATTAGTGTTCTAAATATGACTGGCTGAGTGGATTCCTATAGAATACCCTGGGATTCAGACATTGTCCCAGTATTTTTCACCATGTAATGCTCATATCACTTGCATCAGAATAACCTGGGGTGTATGTTTAAAAATACTGATTCCTGATGCCTACTCAAGAATTACTGAATCAATCTCTGAGACAGGGGTCAAGAAATCTGCATTTTAGCAAGCACCCCAAGTGATTCTTAGGCACAGCAGAGTTACGTAAGAACCATTTGTCCAATCAAATAGAGTAAAATAGTATTATTGGCACTTCCCCAGCATGTATATATAAATATTCCCTTTAAATTTATGGAACTTCCCATAAAAACCTATGATGATAGAAATTAATCAGATTAGCTAAAAAATAAAAACATCTGTTGAATGAGTACTTTGTATTTCCTCAAATTTAACAATTCTTCTGAAAATCATATATAAAGCTAAAAATCTGAAACCTATAAAATTGCTATTTTTGTAGGCCGGCAATAGTCAAATAGTGGCAATTTCTACACAATAATATACAAATACATTCAAATTCTTTTGGAAACTAGTTAAAGATAAATGCTGAAACAAGCAAAATAAGCATTCACAACAAATACTTACAAAATACTCATTACCACAATAAGAGTGACGTTATAGTTTTCCATTTCCTTTTTCTTTCCTGTAGATCACAAGAAAAAGGCTGCATTAGAATGAGAATTGTGATTACAACTGATCCAAATTTTTTTTTTTTTTTTTTTTGAGAAGGAGTTTCGCTCTTGTTGCCCAGGCTGGAGTGCAATGGCACGATCTCAGCTCACCGCAACCTCTGCCTCCCAGGTTCAAGCAATTTTCCTGCCTCAGCCTCCTGAGAAGCTGGGATTACAGGCATGCGCCACCATGCCCAGCTAATTTTTGTATTTTTAGTAGAGATGGGATTTCTCCATGTTGGTCAGGCTGGTCTCGAACTCCTGACCTCAGGTGATCCACCCGCCTTGGCCTTTCAAAGTGCTGGGATTACAGGCGTGAGCCACCGCACCCAGCCCTCAACTGACAGAAATTTAATACTCATTTGAAAAGAACTGAAAAAGAACTTTTAAAAATTATTTGTAAAGACAAAGTGATTTAGGGTAAATTCCCTGCACCCCTTTTTTTATTTCTGACATCCTGAGTAATATGAAACAAATCTACAAAGAGAAAACTTTCAGCACTCCTTAAAATTTGGCCTATATTGCAAATTACTTTACTCTAAAATTAAACAAGCAATTCAATACAACATGCTTGATAGCTAAGTAGCTAATAATCAATAAGCAAATATCTCTCCAAATAATATTTGAACTGGGCTTACATAAAATGCTTCCCTAGTTAAAAAACAAAACAAAACAAAACATTATCACCTATTCATTGTTACCCAAACTTTTAAATTCCAAAATTAAAGAACCATTAATCTTAAATAGTGGATAAACATAGTCAACACTAAGCTACAAGCCTCAAAGGAAGATCTGATAATGTAAGAGGATGAGAAGTTATGACAGTTTTATACCTCTGAGAGGAAGGGAATAACAGTTATTAAAAGTAAGATGTGTTCAAAATTGAGAATGAAGATAATAAAAGTCAAATGTTATCTTTGCAATTTTGCTGGGCTGGCCCTGACAGTATATAAGGATTAAGAGAGCAGTACACTCAAACGTAGAAATTGAATTTCTATAAATGCTAGGCAGCAAATAAATAAGCAAAGTGGTTCAGAAGTTGGCAGGGTGGTGATTGTGATGGGGGCTGTGGCAAGCTGGGGCGCACTCAGTCTAACAGGGCAGCTACTACTATGCTCCAACAAACTGCTGCCATGAAGGGATTTCAGTGCTGGACTGTCAGATCTGAGTTTTTATATAAAAAGGTCCAATTTTAGCCAGGTGTGGTGGTGCACACCTGTAATCTCAGCTACTCAGGAGGCTGAGGCAGGAGGCTCACTTGAGCCCAGGAGCCCGAGGTTACACTGAGCCATGATTGTGCCACTTACAGCATGGGCAACAGAACGAGACCCTATCTAGAAAAAATAAATAAAATTTTAAAAAAAGTTTAATGTCCAATTCTTAAAATGACACATGGGCCAAATAAAATATATTGGTTATATGCTTGCCATTTTGCAACTGCTCCTTTATACTTATATATTAGTTATCTTAAAGGAAATCAGAGTTTGATAAACATTATCCAAAAAGGAGGGAAGAAAAGGAGACCTCCTGACATATTCTTACAAACAAGAGGCACATTCTGCTTCATATAACTAAAGTAAAAATCTTTCATCTCTGTTTACCAGGTGACAACTACCTGTAATATCCCCTTTGGCACCTAAGCCCACATCTCCAGAGGAATGCTGAGAGGAAAGTTTAGGAACTGTTTCTGCTGTTCGGTTGAAGGTTCGCCTTCTCCTTCGTAGGCCAGTAAGTTTTCCAGGGTCTTCAATGGCCTGATTTAATACAGATTCTTCAATTAACAAATCTGATTCTAAGAAAAAAAAAAACAATCTTTATATAGTGAGGAAAGCTCCTCAACTATAAGATACAATGGGTTTTGGTGGTTATTTTTGATAATTTTCTTTAACAAATTCCTTAGGTTCTTATGACCTAGATTCAAATTTTACACTTAATGAAAAGCTTTAGAGAGTACAGTGACCCCATAATGAGGTTTCATTATTCCAGGAAGAATGTGTATTAATAAATGATGGGCTCATCAGAGCAAATTTGCCATGTGCTATGTTATTAATACATATTAATGTAATAATTTCAGTTATGGAAACAACAGGCTACCCACTTACATTGGATCATTAGAAAGATTTCAAAGACAGATTATGGTACTTCTCAACCTTACAGGAAGGAGTAGCATATACTAGTTCTAATTTTCAACAAAGGTTTACAAGAAAGGAAGCACTCACAAAGAAAATCTGTAAACAACCTATAAACCTCATTTTTGTCATTTGTTTCAAACTTTTCCTCTGCCAGAATTTTTATTAGAAACTTATTCAGTGGCCAAACTAATTTTTTTTGAGTTTCATTTTTCTCTGCTCCTGATGAAGAATTCAATAATGAAATAGACAAGGAAGAAAGGCAAGAAAAATTATCAGCAAACTAGATGATAAGCCTTAAATTACCTTGAGTTGACTGACCACCAGCTTTTCTTCAACTAAACTTAAATTATGCTTGTGTATATATATGTGTATATATATATACACACACGTATATATACATGCATATATGTGTGTGTGTGTGTGTATATATATATATATTTCTCGCATGTATATGTTAAGAAATATCCAAAGAGAACCACCGTATCGTTTTCCCCAGTCAGTCTCTAGTACCCACCTCCAACCAAATCCATACATGTACATACTACCATTGCCAAGTGGGCTGCATAAGCCCAGGAAAGCTGCATCTGACAAGGAAGGTAGCCCCGAGGACTCCCCAGAGCTTAGACAGCACAGGTGTATATCTATGATCAGTTTATGCAGTCTCCTTGGCTCCTTACAGAGGCAAAGGGGTATGAGAGCTCTTAACTGTGTGATCTTGATAAAAGTCACTTAACCTCTCTGTGTTTCAATTTTCTCTTTTAATAAAATGAAAAATAATAATTTTAACTTGTTCTGAGTATGAAATGAGTTAATATCTGTAAAGCACATAGAACTTTATTATGTATGTCTGGGATATAATAAGCATTATGTAAGTGTTTGTTCGGCCAGGCACGGTGGTGCCTCACACCTGTAATCCCAGCATTTTGGGAGGCTGGGCGGGTGGATCATGAGCTCAGGAGTTCGAGACCAGCCTGACCAAGATGGTGAAACCTCGTCTCTACTAATAATACAAAAATTAGCCGGGTGTGGTGGCACACGCCTGTAGTCCCAGCTACTCGGGAAGCTGAGGCAGGAAAATTGCTTGAACTCACGAGGCGGAGGTTGCAGTGAGCCAAGATCGCACCACTGCACTCCAGCCTAGGCAACAAAGCAAGACTCCATCTCAAAAAAAATAAAAAATAAAAAAAATAAGTGTTTGTTTGACCAATGAAAATTAAAAGTTTTGAAATTCCCTAAGTGGCAGAAAAAGTGGGACAGTGGGAACCACTTTCATGGGAGTCTTTCCAACATCATTGACCAGTTTTCTGTTACAAATCTAAATGAAGAATCAATCCATTTTGTTAATAAATCCCATCTTTACAAAAATAGATAAATAAAAAAATTTACAAACCAAGCTGTTTGAAATAGTCCTCCAAAGAACTCCAGGAATTCTTTTCAATTAAAGATTTGACAAGGCCCCATGGCTGTTTTCTGTATTTCAAATCTGTGGAAACTCTAGTAGAATAAGAAGGAAAGAATATTTATTTAAAGAGCAGACTTTAGTTATATTCATGTTACAGTTAAATGTAAGATTGTATTCAGTGGAAAGTCAAAAAGATTCAAAGTCATTAATATCATAAAAGAAAATGTGTTCATTGATAACTTTTATTTAAAAAATTAATGTGTGCTGCTAATAATTTCATCAAATTTTCCTTCTAAGTACTTGCCATTTTACTTATTTCCTTTCTCTAGCCCTAAATTTTATTTATCTAAATAGCAATGAAGGCTCAAAATAAATACTAAATTTTCTAAATTCCTTGTATAAAAAATCTCTAGTGGTCATACACTAGGTGAAAGTAACTACATTAACCAGAGTAGGCCAAGTACATGATGGCCCATCTCTCTCTGTAATGCACCAACATTTCTCATTTCCCACTGCAGCAGAGCCAATTACCGCTCACTGAGCACTCCCCCAAAACTCCCAGCCCCTTTGCCATTAAACAAGGTCACATGACTGGTTCTGGTCAATGGATTGTGAACACAATTCTACAGCTTTCTCTTCCTGTGGCAACTGAAACAACACATATTCTGGATCACGTAGCTCCGGGTGTCAAAGCCTTCATCAAGCGGGGGCCTTAGGTGAGAAGCCCCACTCCTCTGCTCACCCCTGTTGGAAATGTAATTTAAGCAAGAAATAAAACTGTTGTGTAAAGCTACTACTAAGAATTCAGGATGAATAAATTACCAGGACATAATCTAGCCTATCCTAACACATTCATGTACAGCAGCTCACCTTAGCCTGCATTTCTGTTTTGAAGATCGGATGATACAGTATCTGTTCACGGTATAGAAGTAATCATGGTAGGGGACATCATGTGTCAGTACTTCTGAATCTACCAAATAAAATCGTGCTTCCCGACTTTCTTTATACAGTGTCTGCCAAAGTAAGATAAAAAATGTTTGTATGTATATGCTTAATATATGAATCTTCTTGCCAATTTAGAACATGTATATTAGTATTCCTTCTCAAAAATTACAAAAAACATGAGAAACCTATATACAAAGCTAAAAGAGCCTACATGCTGACTCTGTTGTCCATAAATTGAGAAAAAGAGGGCCGGGTATGGCGGCTTATGCCTGTAATCCCAGCGCTTAGGGTGGCCAAGGTGGGAGAATTGCTTAAGGTCAGGAATTCGGGACCAGCCTGGCCAATATAAAAACACCCAGCCTCTACAAAAAAAATTTTTTTTAATAAAAAATTAGGCCAGACGCAGTGGCTCACGCCTGTAATCCTAACACTTTGGGAAGCTGATGTGGGTGGATCATTTGTGGCCAGGAGTTCAAGACCAGCCTGGCCAACATGGCAAAACTTCGTCTCTCTTAAAAATACAAAAATTAGCCAGGAGTGGCGGCACATGCCTGTAATCCCAGCTACTCGGTGGGAGGCTGAGGCAGGAGAATCACTTGAACCCAGGAGGCAGAGGTTGCAGTGAGCAAGATCGCCTCACTGCGCTCCAGCCTGGGAGACACAGCAAGACTCTGTCTCAAAAAAAAAAAAAAGAAAGAAGAAAATATTAGTTGGGGTTGGTGGCACACGCCTGTAGTCCCAGCTACTTGGGAGAATGAGGTGGGAAGATCATTTGAGCCCAGGAGTTTGAGGTTGCAGTGAACTATGACTGCACCACTACACTCCAGCCTGAGTGACAGACTGAAACTGTCTCTTAAAGAGAGAAAGGGACTTACAGAAATTACATTTGCTGCCCCTGTGTCATTTATTTCACTGGCAAATTATTTTTTCCTTTAGGCATGAGGACAAACCACATAATCTCTTATGTGTATTATAAGTTTATAGAGTTTTAAGTGTTCCTGTTAGGTGAACAATTCAAAAATCAATTGAATGAAGTAAGGATCCCACCTCAAAATTAATCAAAGTTCAACGAAACCACCCTTCACCAAAAAAGTCAAGAAGGGTAGTAACCAAACAAAACACTGCTTTTCCTAAACAGGATTTTAAATGGTCATTGGCCAAACCTTTCTCATTTTAACCATACCTTTTCTACCTATCCTGTAAGGGGGTTGGGGGGGCTTCCAAAGTTTTCAAAGACCCTCCAATACCAAAATACCAGACTTTTCTTACGTTTGATAATCTTTTAAGAATTGTTTAAAGGTATGGAAATACGTTCTTTTTAATGATAATGAACAAAACTATTGTTTTGTCCATTTGTTTGCTCTTATAAGCACAACTAGTTCAGATGTTAAGAGATGTTTTCAGACTATTTGCAAATCAGATACTCAGCACAAATTGGCTAAACACACATTCCACTGTAAGACACTGCCACTCTGGTCACAGATAAAGAGCATTAAATAGCTCATACAGTATTTAATTTCAAAAACTCATTCTCTTCCCATGTGTCAAAGCAGCCATCTAGTTATTTGGCCCCTAACTCTTGAAACAATTCTGTAAACCAGATTTGAGTAGTGTTCCTTTTTATGTCTTCTTTTGTTTTTATTTTTTATTTTTGAGACAGAGTCTAGCTCTGTTGCCCAGGCTAGAGTGCAGTGGCTAGATCATAGCTCGCTGTAATCTCAAACTCCTGGGCTCAAGCGATCCTCCTGCCTCAGCCTCCTGAGTAGGTGAGACCACAGGCACACACCATCATGCCTGGTTAATTTTATTTTTGGTAAAGACAAAGTGTCACTGTGTTGCGCAGTCTGATCTCAAACTCGTGGTCTCAAGTGATCCTCCCACCTGGGCCTCTCAAAGTGCTAATATTCCAGGGATGAGCCACCATAACTGGCCTGGTATTCTTTTTAAAAAAATATTTTCTTTGGGAGGTTGAGGCAGGCGGATCATGAGTTCAGGAGTTCGAGACCAGCCCAACCAACATGCTGAAACCCCGTCTCTACTAAAAATACAAAAATTAGCCAGGCATGGTGGCGTGCGCCTGTAATCCCACCTACTCAGGAGGCTGAGACAGGAGAATCGCTTGAACCTGGGAGGCAGAGCTTGCAGTGAGCCAAGGTTATGCCACTGCACTCCAGCCTGGGCAACAGTGAGACTCCGTCTCAAAAAAAAAAAAAAAATTTGAATATATGAAAGAGAAGAAATGAAGTATAATGACCCTCAGGAGCTCATCAACTAGCTTCAGCAACACTAACTCCTCCCCAGTCTTGCTTCCTTTGTCCTCTGTCCCATATTACCTGCCTCTATCACCATCCTCTGCCCAGCTAGATGACTTCTAAAGGAAATCCTAGACATCAATATAATGTCATCCATAATACTTCACTATATCTCTTTATAGATTCTTCCATATATCTCTTTTAAAATAAATATTATTTTCTTTAATACACAGCTGTAATACCATTACTATACATAAAAAATAAACAATTCCTGAAATCTCATAAATACCTTTTAACAAGTGGTTTGTTTGAATTAGGAGTGGGTTGATACGATTCATATGCCTTTTAAGTCTCTTTTAACCTGTAACAGTTTCTCCTCCCTTTTTTCTTGCCACTTGTTTATTGAAACTGTCTTGTAAATTGGTGAACTATAATAGGCATCTTCTCTCTTCCCCCACACATGACTCTTCTGGACACTGACAAAGCAGACGTACCTGCTTTTCAGTGGCAGCAGTGCATTTTCCAGTAAGTGGACTATTAAGGACTATAGTGTAGGTCATCGTTCTCAGCTGATCACCTCCAAGTTCTGCAGTCCAAGGGGTAGATACTACATCTAACAACAACAAACACAAAATGAGTTAGTTCTAGAAACTTAAACAGTATGACATTAAATGAAATCAAAGGAGCTTCTGAATTATTAAAATTTCTATTTTTGACTAGTGCTAACTTCCTTATAACTGGGTATTATAAGTTTAACATTAAAGAAAAGAGAGATTAAATGTTAAGCACTCTCCTTAAATGTGGCATATTCCCCATCTCTGATCCATTTATTTCTAAATTGTTTATTAATATCCTTTTTCCTTTTATTAGAAGATAAAATTAAAAGTTGTTTCATCTGTAAGCTTCCTTTTAAAGTCCTCAGTACCTATGAAGAGAAGTAATGATGCCAGGTTTATCAGAGACGGAACAACACTTTAACATTCCCATCACTGAGGACAAAACTTTAAAATATTTTTGTCATTAAGAAACCATATGACCTTGATATCAACTTACATAGAAATTATGTCAATGTTATGAGAAATCATGTAATGTCAGTGGCTTGTCTGCTAAAATCTTTAGTCACAGTAAGGCAATGGAACATAAATGATTATATAATCTGTCTTAAGAAGACTATAAGATCATATCTCTATGTTTATAGCAAGATCCTGGTAAAAATTCTCTTTTATTTGCTTAGGGACAATATAGTGATTAAATACCCACTTGAACAGAAATATAGTTCTAGAACACAGTGAAGGTCATTTCATGAAGCCAAAAACTTAAAAAGTATAAATAAAAGCATTAAAAACTCTATTCAAAGACATGATTGTATCACCTAATGCCCCAGCACAAATCGACTTAGGCAAGTACTAGTATGTTTGACTGCTATTCACCAATATCCTAAAGCATAGGAGCCTTTATCTAACCCCATTATACTCATCATCAAAGGAAGGAAGTGAGGCTTTAGAATACAGCCAATTTTACTCAACTTCTTTTATATTGCTAGATCTGAGGATTTAATGAGGGATCCTGAAATTGCCTTCTGAGTATCTGGCAAAGTCTTATAACTAAATTAAAAAGGCAAAATCACAAATCATAGAGTCTATCATCCAGGATTTTCTGTAAAATGATTTATTTAGGTATATATAAAAGAAGATATACAACTAATTCTAAATTACTTTTCAGAAGATTACTTTGGTCATATGTCAGCCTGTTTCAGGAAAATGATACAACCAGTCTGTTGTTAATCAGAAACAAAATTTAAAGATGTAATTTAATTCTGCTCTTAAAACTGCACACTACTCAATGAAGCAACTATCAACAAGGATAAATGAAAACTATTTGTCTTCCCATGAATGTTACCCTTGTAGTTTCAGCAATGTTACCAATAAGGTCTACTGAGTATTGCTTACCAGAGCATCACCTAATTAACATCATCTTGAAACAGTCAATCCTCCAATACCTAAGTAAAGCTTATCATAATGTAAAAAAAACCTGGAATGAATTGTAGGAAAAATGGCTAGTACGCAAAAGGACATATGAACCATTTTGATATATAAAAGGCAGGAACTGCAGAATTTTAAAAATCCTTTGATGTAATAAAGTTTTAAAATTGGTGAACGTTCGTGCCCATTAGGATAGCTATTATAAATAATAATCAGTGTTGGCAAGGATGTGGATAAATTGGAAACTTTGTACATTGCTTGTGGAAATGTAAAATGATACAGCCAGTATGGAAAATAGTAGCCACTCTTCAAAAAAGTAAAGATTGAATTACTATATGATGCAGCAATTCCATTCCTAGGCATATACCCAAAAGAACTGGAAGCAGGGACCTGAACAGACAGTTGTATGTCAATGTTCGTGGTGGCATTATTTACAGTAGCTAACATGTGTAAACAACCCAGATGTCATTAATGGATGAACGGATAAACAAAATGTGGTATATACATGCAATGGAATATTATTCAGCTTTAAAAAAGGAATACATTCTGATACATGCCCCAACGAGGATGAACCTGGAAGGCATTATGCTAAGTGTATTAAATCTGTCACAGAAGGACAAACATTGTATTATTCCACTTATGCAAGGCACCTTGAGTAGTCAAATTCACATAGACAGAAAATAGAATGGTGATCATCAACAATGGAAGAAATGGAGCGTTACCATTCAACAGGTATAGCATTTCAGTTTGGAAAGATTAAAAAGTTCTGAAGATGGATGGTGGCAGTGGTTGTACAATAACGTGAATGTACTTAATGCCACTGAACTGTCCACTTAAAAATGGTTAAATGGTAAATTTTATCTTATGTACATTTTGCCATAATTTAAAAATTGATGAATCTAGGCAAGTGGCATATGGATGTTATCATACTATTCATGCAATTTTTCTGAAGCTTTACATATTTTTAAATGTAAGAGTTGGGTAAAAAGACTTAAAACTGAGCTTTAATTAAAGGTAGTGTCGGGGGTTGGGTGGGTCAAGATGGTGAATTAGAAGCTGCTCGTGTGTGCCGCTCTCACAAACAGGAAACAACAGGGTTGATGAACACTGACCCTACTAGCTGATCATCTAAGAAACCATGTCAGAATCCATCCAGGCAGCAAGGGGACACAGAGGGCAGAGAGGAGCAAAGCTGGGCAGCGGCCCCTCTGGGATCAGCACAGAGCCAGGAAAAGCTCCTCAATATGGGAAAGGATGAGTGAGTGAGAGCTCCCTGGAGGATTGTACACAGGCACCTGTGTAAGACTAGTAATGGGAGAATTCCCTGGTTCCCCTGGCCCTACCCCCACACTTCTAAACTGAGGCAGAGAGACACCCAGAGTTTCTGCGGCGACAACTCTCAAGTCCATGGGGACCTCTATAAGCCTTGGACCCTGGAACGGAATGACACCAGTACCATATCCCCAATAGCGGTCACGGTCCTGCCTGGGAGCAGTAAGATTGCTTCACTCCACCTTGCCAGACAAGACTTGGTGCTAGCCTTCAGCCCAACAGTCCCACTTCTGCCTGAACTCAGCTGGCAGCCACAGCTTCCTGTTGCCCCAGGAAACACCTTGACAGCAGGGTAGGTGACTCCCACCCATCCCTGCTGCTGGTAGCCAGACAGGCCATGCCTGCTAGAGTGTCCAGCCCAGTGGTCTCACTTCTGCCTCAACTATGTGGGCAGGCACAACCCCGTGTTCCCCTAGGAAGTACCCAGACAGCAGAATAGGTGACCACATCCAGTCCCACAGCTCCTAGCTGAGCAGGATGTGCAGGCCTGAGTGATGCCCAAGGAGGGAGAAGCCCTCCCTCTAAGATCACTGAGAGAGTGAGATGCCCAGGTTTGCAAGCCAGTGGAGGGGCAGAGTGTAATTCTTGCTGCAGGGTTGACCTGGCAAGCATATGGCCTGTCTGCCAACCATGGCACCTGCTTAAAAGAGCCCCGTGGTCCAAAACACCCAACAAAAGAAACATGGGCACAGAGCCAGTCAAAGGGGGCTCCTCCAAGGCCCAAGAGCCAACCAGGGTAGGGGGTCATCACTTTCCCTTTTCACCCCAGAACACTACTACAAACCATGCCAAAACACAAATGAGTTGTGCTGCAGCGTTAAGAGCCTATCTGCCAGCTAATACTCTTAAACACTACCTACTAGATCACAGCCCAAAACATAACACCAAAATATTCTGCCAGTATACAACACCTGTGAAAACAAAGGTGACACCTGTGAAAACAAAGGGTTCCCACCAGCGCCCCTGCCCCAGCCAGTGCACAAGCACCCCACCATGCCATCCTGGCTGCTGGCATTCATGAGCAGCACAGATCCTACTGCCACCACCCCAGTGAATTGCTTTGGCCAGCAACCCCATTGGAGTATTGTGGCCAGTGGACCAGGAACACCTCCACCCCTCCAGTGCAACATATTTCTAACCTCGAAGGGCCAGAGAACAAAGCTGGGGACACACAAAACTATGTGTTCTAACTCTAGCCCCCCACAGTTAGAGCACACAGTCCAGGAGTTCTGAGCTGAGCCTGGGCCCCCTGAAATCTTCCAGAAGTGAAGATGGTCAACTGAACCCACCTTATTCCACAATCAAACCCCCACAGGCATCAAAGCAAAAAAACCCCATCCAAAAGACAGCAACTTCAGAGATAAAAGGAACATCAGTCCATACAGATGAGAAAGAACCAGTGCAAGAACTCTAGCAACTCAAAAAGTTGGAGTGTCTTCCTACCTCCAAACAATTATACTAGTTCCCCAGCAATGGTTCTTAACCAGGCTGAAATTACAGACATAGAATTCAGAATATAGATAGGAATGAAAATCATTGAAATTCAGGAGAAACTCAAAACCCAATCCAAGAAATCTAAGGAATACAAAAAAATGACACAAGAGCTGAAAGACAAAATGGCCATTTTAAGAAAGAATCATACTGATCTGAAATTTCATAATACAAATTGCAAGTATTAACAGCAGAATAGACCAAGCTGAGAAAAGAATCTCACAGGGCTGGTTCTCCAAATTAACTGAGACAAAAATAAAGAAAAAAGAATAAAAAAGAACAAAACCTCTGAGAAACATGGGATTATGTAAATAGATCAAATCTATGCCTCACTGGCATCCCTGAAAGACAGGGATAGAAAACAAGCAACTTGGACAACATATTCGAAAATATCATCCACAAAAACTTCCCCAACCTCACTAGAGAGGCCAACATTCAAATGCAGGAAATGCAGAGAACCCCTATGAGATACATACAAGACAACCATCCCCAAGACACTTAGTCATCAGATTCTCCAAGGTCAACGTGAAACAAAAAATATTAAAGGTAGCTAGAGGGAAGGGGCAGGCCACCTACAAAGGGAATCCTATCAGGCTAACAGCAGAAACTCTATATTTGAGGGCTTGAGGGCCTATATTCAACATTCTTAAAGAAACTAAGACCAAGAATTTCATATCCAGCCAAACTAAGTTTCATAAGTGAAGGAGAAATGAGATCATTTTCAGACAAGCAAATGCTAAGGGAATTCGTTACCTGCCTTCCAAGAGGTCTTCAAGGTGGTGCTAAACATGGAAATGAAAGACTGTTAGCAGCCACCACAAAAACACACTTAAGTACATAGACCATTGACACTATAAAGCAACTACACAATCAAGTCTGCAAAATAACCAGCTAACAACACAATGACAAGATAAAATCCACATATATCAATATTAACCTTGAATGTAAACGGGCTTAATGCCCCAATTAAAAGGCAGTGGAAAGTTGGATAAATAAGACCCAACTGTATGCTGGGTTTTGTTTGTTTGTTTGTTTGTTTGTTTGTTTTTTGAGACACAGTCTTGCTCTGTCACCCAGGCTGGAGTGCAGTGGCATGATCTCAGCTCCTGGGTTCAAGCAATTCTGCTGTCTCAGCCTCCCGAGTAGCTGAGACTACAGGCAAGTGCCACCATGCCCGGCTAATTTTTTGTATTCTTAGTAGAGATGCGTTTTCACCATGTTAGCCAGGATGGTCTCGATCTCCTGACCTTGTGATCTGCCTGCCTTGGCCTCCCAAAGTGCTGGGATTACAGGCGTGAGCCCCCGTGCCCAGACAACTGTATGCTGTCTTTAGGAGACCCATCTCACATGCAATGGCATCCATAGGCTCAATGTAAAGGGGTGGAGAAAAATCTGGCAAGCAAATGAAAAACAAAAAAAGCAGAGATTGCTATTCTAATTTCAGACAAAACCAAAACAGACCTTAAACCAACAATGATTTAAAAAGACAAATAAGGGCATTACATAAAGGTAAAGGGTTCAATTCAACATGAAGACTTACCTATCCCAAGTATATATGCAATCAACACAGGAGCATCCAGGCTCATGAAACAAGTTCTTAGAGACCTACAAAGAGACTCAGATAACCACACAATAACAGTGGGAGACTTCAACACCCCATTAACAGTATTAGACAGATCACTGAGTCAAAAAACTAACAAAGATAGTTGTGACCTGAACTTGACATTTAACCAAATGGACCTAACAGACATCTACAGAGCTCTCCACCCCAAAACAGCAGAATATACGTTCTTCTCATTTGCACCTGGCACATACTCTAAAAATCGACCACACAATCAGCCATTAAACAATTCTAAGCAAATGCAAAACACCCAAAATTATATTAACCACACTCTCGGACCACAGTGCAATAACAATAGCAATCAATACTAAGAAGATCACTAAAAATCATACAATTACATGGAAATTAAACAACCTGCTCCTGATGACTTCTGAGTAAACAATGAAATTAAGGCAGAACTCAAGAAATCCTTTGAAACTAATGAGAACAAAGACAGAAAATACCAGAATCTCTGGGACACAGCTAAAGCAGTGTTACAAGTTTATAGTGCTAAACACCCACATGAAACAGTTAGAAAGATCTAGAAATAACAATCTAACATCACACCTAGAGGAACTAGAAAAACAAGAGCAAATCAACCCCAAAGCTAGCAGAAGACAAGAAATAACCAAAATTAGAGCTAAACAGAATGAAATTGATATGTGAAAAACCATACAAAAGATCAATGAAATCATAAGTTGGCTCTTTGAAGAATAAATAAGATTAATAGACCACTAGCTAGACTAATTTAAAAGAGAAGATCCAAATAAACACAATCAGAAATGACAAAAGGAACATTACCACCGACCCCACAGAAAAAAAAAAAAAAACCCCAGAGACTATTATGAACACCTCTATGCACAAAAACTAGAAAACCTAGAAGAAATGGATAAATTTCTGGAAATATAAAACCTCCCAAGATTGAGCCAGGAAGAAATTAAAACCCCGCACAGACAAAGAATGAGTTCCAAAATTGAACCAGTAATTAAAAACCTATCAATCAAAAAAAGCCCAGGACCCGATGGATTCACAGCCAAATTCTACCAGACATGTAAAGAAGAGTTGGTACCACTCCTACTGAAACTATTCAAAAAAATTGAGGAGGAAGAACTTCTCCCTAACTCATTCTATGAGGCCAGCATCATTCAGCATCATTCTGATACCAAAACCTGGCAGAGAAACAACAAAAAAAGGAAACCTTAGGCCAATATGTTTGATGAGTATTGATGCAAAAATCCTCAACAAAATACTAGCAAACTGAATCCAGCAGCACATCAAAAAGCTAATTCACCACAATAAAGTAGGCTTTATCCCTGGAATGCAAGGTTGGTTCAACATATGCAAATCCATAAGTGTGATTCATCACATAAACAGAACTAAAAACAAAAACCACATGATCATCTCAATAGATGCAGGAAAGGCTTTCAATACAATTCAACATCTGTTCATGTTAAAAACCCTCAACAAACCAGGCACTGAAGGAACATACCTCAAAATAATAAGAGTCACCTATGACAAACCGCACAGCCAACATCATACTGAATGGGCAAAAGCTGGAACAATTCCCCTTGAGAACTGGAACAAAACAAGGATGCCCGCTCTCACCACTTCTATTCAACATAGTACTGGAAGTCCTAACCAGAACAATCAGGCAAGGGAAAGAAATAAAAGGCATCCAAACAGGAAATCAAACTATATCTATTTGCAGAAGATATTGTTTTTATACCTAGAAAACCCCATAGTGTGCCCAAAAGCTCCTAGATCTGATAAGCAACTTCAGCAAAATTTCAGGATACAAAAATCAATGTACAAAAATCAATAGCATTTCTATACCCAACAACACCCAAGCTGAGTGCCAAGTCGAGATCACAATCCCATTCGTTATAGCAAAAGAAAAAAAAAAGTAAAATACCCAGAAATACAGTTAACCAGGAAGGTGAAAGATCTCTACAACAAGAATTATAAAATATTGCTCAAATAAATCAGAGATGACACAAATGGAAAAACATTCCATGCTCGTGATAGGAAGAATCAATATTGTTAAAATGTTCATAATGCCAAAGCAATTTATAGATTCAATGCTATTCCTCTCAAACTACCAATAACATTCTTCACAGAATTAGGAAAAAACTATTCTAAAATTCATACAGAACCAAAAAAGAGCCCAATAGCCAAAGTGATCCTAAGCAAAAAGAACAAAGCTGGAGGCATCACAATACCCAATTTCAAGCTATACTATAAGACAACCGTAACCAAAACAGCATGGTACTGGTATGAAAACAGACACATAGACCAATGGAACAGAATAGAGAGCCCAGAAATAAAGCCACACACCTACAACCATCTGGTCTTCGACAAAGTTGACAAAAACAAGCAATGGGAAAAAGACTCCCTATTCAATAAATGGTGCTGGGATAACTGGCTAGCCATATGCAGAAGATTGAAACTAGCCCCCTTCCTTACACCATATATAAAAATCAGCTCAAGATGGATTAAAGACTTAAATGTAAAACTTAAAACTATAAAACCCTTGAAGAAAATTTAGGAATGACTGGGCGTGGTGGTTCACGCCTGTAATCTCAGCACTCTAGGAGGCTGAGGCAGGCAGATTGCTTGAGCTCAGGAGTTCAAGAGCAGCTTGGGCAAGATGGTGAAACCTCATCTCTACAAAAAAATATAAAAATTAGCCAGGTGTAGTAGTGTGCACCTGTAGTCCCAGCTACTTGGGGGGCTGAGGCAGGAGAATTGTTTGAGTCCAGGAGGTTGAGGCTGCAGTAAGCTGTTTGCGCCACTGTACTCCAGCCTGGGTGACACAGTGAGACCCTATCTCGAAAAAGAAAAAAAAAAGAAAGAAAATTTAGAAAATACCATTCTGGACACAGGCCCTAGCAAAGATTTCATGATGAAGACACCAAAAGCAACTGCAATAACAATAAAATTGACAAATGGGACATAATTAAACTAAAGAGTATCTGCACAGCAAAAGAAACTATCAACAGAGTAAACAGACAACCTACAGAATGGGAGAAAATATTTACAAACTATGTGTCTGAAAATGCTCTAACATCCAGAATCTATAAGGAACTTAAAGAAATTAATAAGCAAAAAACCAAACAACCCAATAAAAAAGTGGGCAAGGGATATAAACAGACACTTTTCAAAAGAAGACATATATCTAGCCAGCAAGCATATGAAAAAATGTTCAACATCCCTAATCACTAGAGAAATGCAAATCAAACCACAGTGAGATACTATCTCACACCAGACAGAATGGCTATTATTAAAAAGTCAAAAAATAACAGATGCTAGTGAGGTTGCAGAGAAAAAGGAATGCTTGTACACTGCTTCTGGGAGTGTAAATTAGTTCAGCCATTGTGGAAAGCAATTTGGCAATTTCTCAAAGAACTTAAAACAGACTACCATTTGACCTGGGAATCCCATTACTGGGTATCTACTCACAGGAATATAAATTGTTCTACCATAAAGACACATGCACAAGTATATTCATCGCAGCACTATTCACAATAGTAAAGACATGCAATGCATAAGAATGTTCATCACAGCACTATTCACGATAGTAAAGACATGCAATCAACCTAGATGCCCATCAATGGTAGACTGGATAAAGAAAATATGGTACATATACACCATGGGATAGTATGCAGTCATAAAAAATAACAAGGTCATGCCCTTTGTAGCAACATGTATGGAGCTGGAGGCCATTATCCTGAGCGAACTACTGCAGGAACAGAAAACTAAATACCACGTTTTCACTTACAAGTGGGAGATAAACATTGAGTACACATGGCCGCAAAGAAGGGAACAGTAGACACTGGAGCCTACTTGAGGGTGGAGGGTGGAAGGAGGGTAAAGACTGAAAACTACCTATTGGGTACCATGCTTATTACCTGGGTCACGAACTAATCTGTACACCAAACTCCCATGACACACAATTTACCTGTATAACAAATCTGCACATGTACCCTTGAAACTAAAAGATCAGAAACATTTAAAAAGTAGTGTCATATAACTGTAAACAATGATTTAAAAGAATATAGATTTAAAAGACCCCCGAATTTTGGCCAGGTGTGGTGGCTCATGCTGTAATCCCAGCACCTTGGGAGGCCGAGGCAGGTGGATCACCTGAGGTCAGGTGTTCAAGACCAGCCTGGCCAACATGGTGAAAGCCCATCTCTACTAAAAATACAAAAAAATTAGCTGGGTATGGTGGCGGGCACCTGTAATCCTAGCTACTCAGGAGAATAAGCAGGAGAATCACTTGAACCCAGGAGGCGGAGGTTGCAGTGAGCCGAGATCGCACCATTGCACTCCAGCCTGGGCAACCAGAGTGTGACTACCTCTCAAAAATAAAAAATAAAAAATAAAGACCCCCTAATTTTATTTATTTTTCTCACCCGAAAATTTTTAATGTTTATGCTGATGCACATCTGAGTGCTTATCATCAAAGTGTGAAGTAAAAACAAAAAAGGCAGTTTAAGAAAGTTCCAGTGTTTCAAAGAGAGCATTTTTTAAAATGTATATACATGGAGAACATTTCATTATACCGTAAAATAAATGCAGCACTGTAAGATAAAGGAAGACTAATATATATGGAGTTTTGCTCTTTCTCCCCTCTACAGCTGCAACCATCTTCAACCTGCTGAACTTAACTCAATGGTTACAGGAATTTGTTGCTTTTTTTTTTTGGTCTCCTATTCAGTTCACATTTCAGGCTGTTGAGCAGATGCCTGTGATTCTGGAGATTCAAATCACTGGTGAAAGTTTTTTCTCTGTTTCCTCAGTTTTTCAGGAGCTTTTCTTCATAAAATGATCTCCTGCTGTTTGAAGTACCTTCAGTCTTCCTCATCAACAAACACTAAATTCAAAAAGTACCTTACTGAAACTTTTTGGTTCACATCTGATTGTTGGAGTAGGGTCATATCCCACTAAAAACAGTCTCATTGGAATTGATTCACCTTTTACTGGTGCACCATCCATTATTTCATATTTGGTGATGTTTCTGTTTCTGCTGTGGTACTGGGTCCAATTCCTGTGATCTCTTTTTTGATCAGTTGTAACTCCATATGTTGTATTTTTATTCTTACTACTAAGAAGTAAATTTTTCCAACAATTACATGCTTTAAATGATACTTTGACTTACTATATTCAAATTATATATGTAGACAATCTTCAATGCCCACTTCTATCTTAATACAGTTGTTAACATCAGGACAGGTGGCAAGCTGGTGAACAATAAGATCACATTCTTTTACTAAATCTGTCAGTCTTCTCACTATTGTCACTTTAAGAAAATACCTCAAGTGAACACTGGCACCGATGTCAGATGCATATGGCTTTTTAACTTGCATAAACTCAAAATCATAACTTCTTCTCTGAGTCAGTTCTCCAGGTAAGGCTAGTTCTTTCATTAGGTTTATAAATTCATGAGCATTACTCTTGTCATTGTAAAGTTCCATTTGACCTATAAATTCAATTCTAATTCCTTGGTGCTCTAGCCTCTATCCAGGTTGCTTAAAGGCTACATTTACCTTCCCTGAAACAGATTCTCCATTATAAAGAGATGGTGTTTTTCTACTTTGCCATCTTCAGTTTTCATTTCTGTCATTTTCCTGGCTTCTCCATCATTAAAGACATATCAATCTCACAAACTGGACCAAAAAAGCCTTCAAGAAAACTCATTGTCAGCACGGCCACCACATCCCCGCTACTTTACTCCTTTTCACTCAGGAGAACTGTCAGCCCCAGCTCCTTCTGCTCAGCACCCCTAATTTGGAAAATTTAGATCCAGTGGTAGTCATTTGAGTGCTGGAATTAGATTTAATCCACAAATAATTGATTATTTAAAAAAATCATTAAATTCTTAATATTTTTAAAAAGGAGCCTTTGAAACTCGATCTCAAGAAATACCAGCCCAGGTGTGGTAGCTCACACTTGCCCAGCACTTTGGGAGGCTGACGTGGGAGGATCATTTGAGGCCAGGAGTGTAAGACCAGCCTGGGCAACATAGGGAGACACTTGTCTCTATAAAAAATGTTTTAAAATTGGCCGGGCATTGTGGTGCACACCTGTGGTCCCAGCAACTGAGGCTGAGGTAGGAGGATCACTTGAGCCCAGGAGGTCGAGGCTACAGTGAAGTGTGATTGCACCACTGCACTCCAGACTGGGCAACAGAGCAAGACCTTGTCTCAAAAAAAGAAAGAAAGAAATACAACTTTGATTACCAGGTAACAAGTCAGAAGATAGCAGTATGCTTTGCAGTCATGATCAGATTCTCTTTTGTAGTAAAGCTTCTGACTAATTCTAGGTCTAGCCAGCAACATACTCATAACTGTTTAGGTTTAGAAGTAGCTGGAAGCCTTTGCTTTGCAAAGCCATTTATAACATCAGACAGTTGATATAATCATTGATATTGAAGCCAGATATATCAGAAAACAAATGCAGTTGTGTTTCAAAAAGCAAACTTCATTTATCACCAGCATACAACAACGTCCTAATTCCTCCTGGGTCTTTTCAGCCATAAAAATGGCAGTGTAACATTAACAGGTATCCTCTCAAAAAATTCAGGGAAATAATGTATCCAGTTCTTCTGAAATATCAAGTTCTCTAAGTAGAAATGACTAACAAGTAAATACAAAATAGATTCCGAAAAAATATAATAAGTTAAATATTAGCTACTGAGTAAAGAGGAAGATTTATATCTCAGGCATCCCACATTTTCAAAACTGGAAGAACAGAAAAGATAATTTTTTTAAATTACAAAACTCATAATATAATCACAGGAGAATAGCTACTGACTGCAATCTCTTTGCTACTCTATCATCAATAATAAGAACAAAATTGATTTTGGTTCCTAGTATTCATAACAATGATATCATCTATGAATATATAATTATGTCTAGGCCAGGCACAGTGGCTCACGCCTATAATCCCAGCTCTTTGGGAGGCCAAGGCAGGTGGATCACCTGAGCTCAGGAGTTTGAGACTGGCCTGGAGCAACATAGCAAGACCCTGTCTCTACCAAAAAAAAAAAAAAAAAAAAAAAAAGCCAAGCATGGTGGTGCACGCCTGTAATCCCAGCTACTCGGGAGGCTGAGGTGCAAGAATCGCTTGAGCCCAGGAGGCGGAGGTTGCAGTGAGCCGAGATTGCACCATAGCACTCCAGCCTGGGTGACAGAGCGAGACCCTGTCTCAAAAAAAAAAATTATGTTTACATAAAAGTTTCAAATAAAGGAATAATATCTAATGGTTAATAAAATACTTAGATTATAAACTAAATTGCGGCTGGGTGCAGTGGCTCATTCTTGTAATCCTAGTACTTTGGGAGGCTGAGGGGGTTAGATTGCTTGAGCCCAGGAGTTTGAGACCAGCATGGCCAACACGGCAAACCCCTCTACTAAAAAAATACAAAAATTATCCAGGCGTGGTGGCGCATGCCTGTAATCCCAGCTACTCAGGAGGCTGAGGCACAAGAATCGCTTGAACCTGGGAGGCAGATGTTGCAGTGAGCCGAGATCGCACCTCTTCACTCCAGCCTGGGTGACAGTGCACAACTCTGTCTCAAATAAATAAATAAATAAAATTGACTATAGAATAACTTTCTCTTTGACTATGTCAAATGACTCACTTTATATGAATCTCTGCTGCTGCTGCATTCTAATTTTATGTAGCAAGCTAAATCATGTGCTCCCAAAGTTAATAAAATATCAAAAACATTTAGGATAAATTCAGTTTCAAACTTTATTTATTTATTTATTTTGAGACAGAGTCTCAATCTATCACTGGATAGAGTGGCACTGGAGTGCAGTGGCACAATCTCAGCTCACTGCAACCTCCAACTCCCAGGCTCAAGAGATCCTCCCACCTCAGCCTCCCAAGTAGCTGAGACTACAGGGGTGCACCACCATGCCCAGCTAATTTTTGTATTTTTTGGTAGAGATGGGTCCAGGCTGGTCTCAAACTCCTGGGCTCGAGCAATTCACCCACCTCAACCTCCCAAAGTGCTGGGATTACAGGCATGAGCCACCATACCCAGCCCCAAAATAAAACTTTTTAACACATAATCAATGAAATTCTTCTTATGAGGATTTAACCATTAATTTCCAATTAAGAAATTTAACCAATTTCTTAAATGGAACTTTTAAAAATATATTTTCTTTGAAGTAGTCCATAGATACTGCAATCTCAAGTGTACAGCTCCATGATTTTCACAAAGGGAATACATACATGTACCACCACTCTGATCAGGATATAGAACTTAAACCAGCATCCCAAAAGCTCCCTCCCAGTCTTCACCTACCTGACTCTCCACAACAGTAACCGCTATGCTGACTTTATGTCCATAAATTTGTTTGGCCTGGTTTTTATCTTTATATAAAGAAATTATATAGCATGTACTCTTTTGTATCTGGATTCTTTTGCTCAACATTGTATCTGTGAGTTCTACTCATATTGTTACAAGTATCAGTACTTTGTATTTTTTTCATTGTTATATAGGATTCTTTTGTGGGAATATACACAATCTATTCACCCATTCTATTACTGATGGACACTTGAACTGTTTTGAGTTTGGGACCATCATAAATAATGTTGCTATGAACACTGTAGTACGTCATTCAGAGTACAAATGTACCCATTTCTGATGAATGTATACCTAGGAGTGGAACTGCTGAGTCACAGAGAATTCATACCTTTAGTAGTTACTGCCAAGCCTTTTGGCAAAGTGGTTGTTCCAATTTACACTCCACCAAAATTCAGTTGTTTCACATGAAACCATTTTGAATTGAGTTCAACCTAATCGAATTGGTACCTTAATGAATAAATATACTTTTAGTTTTCAAAAGTCTGAACTTAATTGTTGGAAGCATGTGCCTAATTAAATAATTATACTGTTCACATGTGAATTTAACCAAACATTTGAATACCAGTTTATATACTGTCAACATAAAAGCAAAGCATGTCTAATTCTTCCTCCTCACAACATAAATCAGTTTATATATGCTCAATATTCTAAGAATAATAGCATTCTCCCAAATTTATCATTAGGTAAGAACACAAGGACTAACCTATTATATTTCTAGAACTGGCAAATTTCTGCATAAAGCGTGAACTGGTAAAGAGCAATTCAAACATTCTGTCAGCACTGATATGAAAAATACGGTTGATAAAAAGTCTTCCATGAAGATCTTTCTCAGGAACATTTTCTGGAAAAACAGAAACACAAACCAAAAGAGAAGAAATCAAAGAAAGTTTATTTTAAGGCTTTAGGGGGTTTCGTGGGGTTTTCTTTTTTTATTTTGGGCATAAAATGGTTTTTAAATATGATTACAATGAGGAGAACATTCTAGGACACTATTAAAACTCCAAATAGGAATTAAATATATACATATGTATGACCTATAACTATGCATAACAATATATAGTTAACTAAACTACATATAATCAATATTTCAACTGTCAAAACCCAAAAGATACAGAAATATTTCACTTGAATGGTATCAAATGGCCATAATATGTCACTCAAAAGAATATTTCAAAAGGGACAAGGACAATATAGACACATAAGATAGTATCTAACATAGAAATTAGCAACTTCTACCTCTGAATGCTCACTCAGTAAATATTAATTTATCAATGGCTATAATATCTGCTGCACTTAGCTTATCAGCCTGAATAATGTTTCAACTTGACTTAATGTTCACTACCCAAAGACAAGAATGACTGTAATCACAACCTATTTTCAACATCACACATTAAAAGAACTAAGAAATCCTTCTGAAAAGTATTCATCAAAGCTAACAAATGCCCAATGAATTATTACATTTTTTCTGGGAATTTGATAATCATAGTGATGTTGAAAACTACTAGTGACAAATGAAGAAGCAATATCTTGCTCACCTATTCTCATATGCCCTGGAAATATTATATAAAATAGCCCATACTTACATAGTGCTTACTATATGTTAGACATTGTGCTACATACCTTACAAGTATTGACTCATCTTATTCTCACTGCAATGCTATGAGATAAGTGGTATTATCATCATTATTTCCAGATGGGGAAACAGAATCACAGAAATAATTGCCGAGGCTCCATGGCTAGTGAGTGACTGACCTGGAATTTGAACCCACTCCAGCTCCAGAGCACATAAACTTAACATCTATTTTATACCGCCAGAAGGAATTTAACTTAGAAGAACCAAACAGAAAAGAAAAAAAAAAAACCAAGGAACAGAAGCCTGGCATAATAGAGGAAGTAACATAAAGCAATTCAATATGAAATTGTAATGATTTCAGGACCAAGATTACTTACTATTATCTCAAGGATGATGCCCCATCGATACAGAATAAAAATTGCTGCAAAAGCTCCCCATGTTTCAGAAATCAAGCTCTAAGAATGATCTGGGTAAAGCATCTGTCAATATTAGTCAGGTTAAATCAAAGGGCAATAGTCTATGGATCAGAAAAACTCTGCTAGCTCTGGCTTCATCCCCAACTACTGCTGTTTATCCCTCATTGGATGATTTGTGTCTCCCTATTTTGCTAGAGGCATAAAGGACTTATGGATATCAGATAGATATTGATTTGCTTCTCCCTTCAACAATACTCTACGTAGGCAAAAACTCTTTACTGCAGTTTCAAATAATGGCTCCTTCAGCGTAGAAATGAATCACAAAACTAGGCAATTTTGCTAAGCTTTGTGAGGTAACTTTCCAATTAGGCCTGGGAAACAGCTTTTTCTGACACAGAAGTATTATATGTTCACTGTAAAAATAATTCAAATATTCACAAAGGAAGAAAACAACTAAAGGTGATTCTGTTGATCTTGTTCATTTCCTTCACAGAACCTATCCTGACTTGTAGTTATATTTTTATTGATTTATTGACTTGTTATCTTTCTCCTGCTTACTATAGTAGATCAATATACTATCACTAAATAAAATGATGTTTGGTTTAAAGTGATCTGCAATCTCCCTCACTCCCTCTAAACCCACACACACATCCCCAGTCTCCTGGGATGGTTTACTTTTTGTGACCTTTTCAAATGTCACTTCAGTTCATTGACTTCAACCGTCTTCATAACTTCACAACTTTAAAAAAGTAAAAACACAGATTCATTATTTTACCCATTTAATACATATGACAAGTCCAAGATTTTGGAACGTGCTTAGGGAAACCAGTAGGAGCGCTTGATTTGCTATCTAATGATAATCTAATAAGAAAAAAATCGCCATACACTTTAAATAAAACTCCCCAAACAGAGGTCTGAATGTTACATATACCTTCTTACTGCTATAAAGCCAAACAGCCTTTGCAAGGAGCAAAGTGTGATCAGAGCTCCTGTGCAATAATGAATCTATACACTATTATTCTTTATTTCTAGATATGTACAATTTTTATCAGTTTTATTGTTATCCTTTATGCAACTTATAATGTTTCTTTTATAGGATTCTTTTTTTTTTTTTTTTTTTTTTGGAGACAGAGTCTCACTCTTGAGATTAAAAGCGTGTGCCACCACACCCAGCTAATTTTTGTATTTTTAGTAGAGATGGGCTTTCCTCACATTGGCCAGACTGGTCTCGAACTCCTGACCTCAGTTGACCCACCTGGCTCAGCCTTCCAAAGTGCTGGGATTACAAGCGCGCGCCACCACATCCAGCTGAAACTACTTTGGAAGGACCATTCTTATAAAAGAAGCAGGTGAGAAAGAGAAAACAAAAATCCTGGTTTTGGTGCTACTTACCTATTTGGCCACTGGGGGCCAGAGTAGATCTTCCTAAAGTCCTAAATTCAGGTAAACAGCGTATGACTAATCCATGCCCAGCTGCATACTAAAGCAAGAATGGTAAGGACACTAATAAAGCAGTCTCTATGTTACCCTTCATCTTTCCAAATGTCTCCCACTACATTGACTTCAATGGCAAGGATCTTACAATTTTAAGAAAAAGAGTCCTTAAAATGCCTACTTAATAAGTACAACAAGCCTCAAGTAATTTGTACTAAATTTTCCTTTAAACAACTACTTTTATTATATTTTTTGCTTTCTCTTTCTCTTTCCCTTTCTCTCTCCTATTGGTGGTTACAAGAAAGTAACACAATCATAGTGTCTATAACATCTATCCTCAAAACTGAAACATAAAAAGTATTAAATCTTTTTTTTTTTTGAAGAGACTGGATCTGGCTCTTTTGTCGCCCAGGCTAGAGTGCAATGGTGTGATCATAGCTCACTGCAGCCTTGATCTCCTGGGGCTCAAGTGATGCTCCTGCTTCAGCCTCCTGCGTAGCTAGGACTATAGGCATGCACCACCATGTCCAGCTAATTTTCTATTTTTTGTAGAGACAAGTCTTGCCCAGACTGGTCTCAAACTCCTGGCCCAAGCAATCCTCCCACCTTGGCCTCTCCAAGTACTGGGATTACGGGCATGAGCCACCGTGCTCAACCAAGAAAAACCAAAATCTTTTATCTTTCTCAAACCTAAAAGCAGTATAACACACACAATCTATATTTTGGAAGTTTTTAAAATATGTTTTAAAAAATTAAATTTTATATTAAGGAAAACACATTAACATAGTAAACTTACATCTACATAAAATGGTTGGGAAATGGGCTTACATTGACTAACACAATATTATTGTGTGCTGGGTATTATATATAATGCAGTGGAGATGTCTCTTCTTCAACCCTTCCGAGTTAAAGGTGCCCAATTAGGGTAATTCCCAGCCTCTCTCTACCCCTTTAACTCACTCTAACCATAGGAAGTAGATTATTGGTATGGACTGAATGTTTGTGTAGCCGCAAATTATTCTGTTAAAGCCCTAACTCCTGGTGTGGCTGTACTTGGAGATGGGGCCTCTAAAGAAAGTAATTAAGTTAATTGGCCAGGTGCGGTGGCTCATGCCTGTAGTCCCAGCATTTTGGGAGGCCGAGGCGGGCTGATCACGAGGTCAGGAGATCAAGACCATCCTGGCTAACATGGTGAAACCCCATCTCTACCAAAAATACAAAAAATTAGCTGGGCATGGTGGTGGGCACCTGTAGTCCCAGCTACTTGGAAGGCTGAGGCAGGAGAATGGTGTGAACCCGGGAGGCAGAGGTTGCAGTGAGCCGAGATCGTGCTACTGCACTCTAGCTCAGGGGACAGAGCAAGACTCTGTCAGGAAAGAAAGAAAGAAAAGGAAGGAAGGAAGGAAGGAAGGAAGGAAGGAAAGAAACAGAGAGAGAAAGAGAGAGAGAAAGGAAAAGAAAGAAAGAAAAAGAAAGAAGGAAAGAAAGGAAGAAGGGAAGGGAAGGAGGGAGGGAGAAGGAAGGAAGGAAGGAAAGAAATAATTAAGTTAAATAAGGTGGGTCCCAGATCTGGTAGAATTAGTGTCCTTATAAGAATAGACACCAGACACTCTGGAAGGCCGAGGCTAAAGGATCAGTTGAAGCCAGGAGTTCAAGACCACCCTGGCCAACATGAGGAAACCCCTTGTTTACTAAAATTACAAAAAATTAGCTGGGCGTGGTGGTGCATGTTTGTAATCCCAGCTACTCCAGGTGTTCCAGAGGGTGAGGCACAAGAATCGCTTGAACTCGGGAGGCAGAGATTGCAGTGAGCCAAGATCACACCACTGCACTCCATCCTGGGCGACAGAGCCAGACTCTGTCTCAAAAAGAAAAAAAAAAAAATACCAGAGAGTTTGCTCATGTATGCTCTCTCTCTCTCTCGTGTGCGTGTGTGTGTGTGTGTCTCTCTCTCTGTTGTTCCCTGCTCTGCTCCTCCCTCACACTTTGCTCCTCTAACCATGAGCATGTGCTAAGGAAAGGCTATGAGCAGACACAGTGAGAAAGTGGCAAGCCAGGAAGAGAGCCCTCACCAGAAACCAACTCTGCCAAACCTTGATCTGGGGTTTCTATCCTCCAGAATTATATGAAATAAATTTCTGTTGCTTAAGCTACCCAATCTGTAGTATTTTGTTATGGCAGCCTGAGCTACTAATACAGTTAGTAAATGTGGAAGGAGTATGTTGGGTAGGCTTGGCACACCTCTGTCCTTCTCTCTGGATCTAGGTGCCCACAGAAGCTGGTTCTCCTCCAGGGGGGATCGTCCCTCCAGTTGGGGAGGAGATTGAACATTGCCTGTGATTGATAGGTAAGTCCACCTCATTCTTCAGCTCCATCAGCAGCCCACTTATCTTTCACACATACCCACATCCGTTGACTTTGTTACTATTAGTATAAAAGGTGATATTTTGGCCTCTATCTGACTTGCTCTTCATTTTCTTTCCCAATTTTGTTACCACCAGGGTGGTCAAGAAGGACTGCTATTTGTTGAGCCCACTCTAGACCTCATGTACACATGGATTACAATACAAAACAAAATGGATTACAATACAAAATGTGAAAAACATCTAGAATATAATACTCTTGAAATTCAGAAGGCCTTTGGGTCATGATTCTCTTTATCATCATATTAGGATTAAGCTTAATCTCTGCTGGCCCTCTAAAACCAAGTAAGTTTTCTGTTTTGTTTTGTTTTTTGAGACGGAGTCTCACACTGTCACCCAGGCTGGAGTGCAGTGGCGTGATCTAGGCTCACTGCAACCTCCGCCTCCTGGGTTCATGAGATTCTCCTGCCTCAGCCTCCCGAGTAGCTGGGATTACAGGCACACACCGCCACACCCGGCTAATTTTTTGTATTTTTAGTAGAGACAGGGTTTCACTACGTTGACCAGACTGGTCTTGAACTCCTGACCGTGTGATCCACCCGCCTCGGCCTTCCAAAGTGCTGGGATTACAGGCGTGAGCCACTGTGCCCAGCCAAATAAGTTTTTTTTAATGCCATATGGAATATTATTATCATTTATCTTTGTAATAAATTTCAAATATAGAATGTTCCTCTGAAAGTGAATTAAATGGAAATTTTTAAAATTAAATGGAAATTGACTACAGTAAAAACAAATCAAAGTCAGGAGCAATTATGATGAACTTTCCATGCTCTTGCTTTCAAAAAACTCATCCCATTATGCTAAAATATAACCACAGTCAAAAGCTTGCATCTTCACACAAAGAAATTTGAGTATTGTTCTGAGTAACATTGATGAGTACACTTTTTAAAAAATCATTTACAGAGAGAAAGATTTCCTTTCCAGAATTTTTGAGAATCTTCTTTATTTCCTTTTGGAGGCTACCCAATAATTTAAATTAATATTCATGTGAGAATGCATCCCTGCCATAACTACTTGCTTTCATAATTATATACAAAACAAGTTTAGAAAAACCTTGCTAAGCTGTCTTTTTTTAAAAGGAGGAAAAGAGAAAATAACTTGGGCAGTATTGAAGTAAAGTAAAAAGAAAACTGGACAGAGACACCTGGTCATTAACTCAAGTTCTGCATAGTTAACTAGCTGTGTGACTTTAGATTTAGCTCCTGTAGGTCTTATTTTCCCTACCAGGAAAATGAGGGATAGCCTAAATGAAATAATATGTCACTCTACCTATGACGTGTGAGCATATCACACTGCCTGGTATATAGAATGGGCATATATGTTTTTATTAACACCACATTTAGAAGCTAAATGCAAAGAAGCTTTTCAGATTCCAGGCTTCTGAAGACAGTGGGATACGTTAGATTTAACAGCCTCTTTCTCCTATTTTCTATAAGCTCCCATTCTTTTTTTGTTTCTTTATAGGGTGAGACTGTGTCTAATAAAACTAAATTCTCAATCTGCACACCCCTATTACAAAGATAAACATAAAAAGACATAACTGAAATTTAATAAAATTTATAAGAAATTATTTACCTTCATCAACAGAATCTGAAGTGCTGCTTTTGTCCAGAGAAAGATATTCATTTTTATTCAAGTCCAGTGACTTTGATGGCACTCTAGTTAACTTCTTTTCCAAAGTTGGTAAGAGACTCTTTTTGGTCTGTTTCTCATTTTGGGACTCCTCTTTGCCTAATCCCTAAAAGGTAAACAATCCAGTTTCAAAATAAAACACAGGTTTAGCTTAGATTTTGCAGTGAGAACTTTAATATTAAAGATACTTTGAAATATTGAGCTTTGAAGAATATTTACAGCATTTTGTTTGTTATACTTGCATCACATTTCCCATGCTATTAAATGTCGGTCCGTAAAATATGAATAAATAATATATACCATTCTAAAGTCATCCTACACAATAATAAACAAGTTTATGAAAAACACCATATAAAAGAGCTTCACAGATCATGTAAATCACTTATGGAGAAGGGAAAGGGGACAAAGGACAAAAATAATAGAACAATCCATTCTTTGGGGTAGACAAGGGAGAAGAACCAAACCCAGTTAGCTTCCCCAGCCAGTGCCTGCCCCATCATCTCAAGGAAGAAAACTCACCCATCTCTCAAGACCTAACAGGGAAATGGAAAGAAAATGGAGAGATAAAAGTCACATATGAGTACAGTGGGAGAGAGAAGATTAAAACAAATTAACTTCATAGCAAACTCATAAAAACACAATTGGCTTTGCTGCAAAGGGACTAAGAGATTAGGCATTAAAATGTATTTAATATATGATGCTATCTATACTTTCTGAGATGGTTTAATAAAGATGATGTCATCTCTATAATAAATTTAATGTTAGGCATTAAAGTATGATGCTATTGCTATGTTAGTATTCAAGTAAAATAGTACTGTATTATAATCAGACTTAGTGGAATAGTACAAAAAGTCTATATAAACTATACAGCAGAATATTTTCTTGCATTTTCTGTATGTACACAGATGGAAGAGAGCACTTTACTTCCTGTCCCATGAGATCCTTGAGAAGCACTAAGTAGCAGAATCAGCTCCAGGGAGGATACAGGTTTCCACTGGCCACCCAGATAGCAGAATAACAACTGGGACCGAGGACACAATTTATTAAAGGATTATATTGCCCTGGTCAGAAGATTGATTCTTCATGCAGAGATTATTGCTAAAATCAAAACTTGATTTATTTGGGAGTTCCACACTATAAAGCAACGTGCCTATTTAGCTAAACCAGGGGCCCCTTAACAGATGCTAAGTAGAGTACATTTCTCTACAGCTCCACACTTACACGTCTCCTCTTGTTGCAAATTAAGTTCTATTTCCTACTATAAAGAATACAGATAGATATTTATAGGAAAAGTAAGAGTCACTATCTTTCAGTGGTTGGTATCTGGATGGCTTTTATTTCTTTGTATACTCTACTGTATTTCATGAAGTTTTACAAAGAGTATTAATTCTATAGCTTAAAAAACATATTTTCTTGGAAAAAAGTTATTTTTGACTTTTTGTTATTTCCAACTTTGTTAGAAGTGAAAATGAGGCAAAGCAAGTGACATACGATGCTTGTAGATATCTGAGAATCTCATCATATGGCTCTTGAATGCAAACAGAAAAAAAAAGGGCTAAACTTCTATACTGCTTGTATTCTATAACCTGAAAACATCTATACTGAACACCAATGAATGTATGATCGATCTTAAAGCATTAAGTTATTCACTTCCCTTGCACCAGTAGTAAGTCACTAAGGGTCTCTAGATGAATAAGTTTTGCAAGAAACACAAAACACAAAACCAGGCTAAGGTAGATGCATGACTGGTAAAAACAAGTTGATAACATGCTGGCCTTCCACATAAATATATTTTCATTCAATGTTTTCCCAACATTTACTCAGAGGAGATACTGGAAGTTCTTGGGGGAGGGTGGAAAAGGATCATTACTGATCACAGGCAGATTCACCTTCAATTATAACAGCTTATGGTTATTGGATATTTAATGTGTGCTAGGAACTATTCTAAGTACAGTCATACATTGCTTTGATGACAGGGATACATTATGAGAAATGTATCATTAGGTGATTTTATTGTTGTGCCAACGTCATAGAGTGTACTTAACAAATTTAGATGGTATAGCTTACTACACACCCAGGCTATATGGTATAGCTTATTGCTCCTGGTCTATAAACCTGGACAGCATGTTACTCTACTGAATACTGTAGGCAGTATAACACAGTGGGAAGTACTTGTGTATCTAAACGTATGTAAACATAGCAAAAGTACAGTAAAAACACGGTACAAAAGATTTAGAAAATGGTACACCTGTTTATACCATGAATGGAGCTTACAGGACTGAGTTCTGTTGTTCTGGGTGAGTCAGTGAGTGAGTAGTGAGTGAATGTGAAGGCCTGGGACATTACTGAACACTACTGCAGACTTTATAAACATCGTACACTTAGGCTACAATAGATTTACCAAAAAAAAATTGTTTTTTCAATAATAAATTAAGCTTAGCTTACTGTAACATTTTTATTTTATGAACTTTTTTTTAAAACTTTTTGACTCTTGTAAAAATACTTAGGTTAGACCACAAACACACTGGACAGCTGTACAAAAATATTTTCTTTCTTTATATACTTATTCTAAAAGCTTTTTTCTATTTTTAATTTTTTCTTATTTTGTTATTTTTAAACCTTTTTGTTAAAAATTAAGACACAAACACACACGTTAGCCTAGGCCTACACAGGATCAGGATCATGAATATCACTGCTTCCACCTTCACATTTTGTACGACTAGAAGGTCGTCAGGGAGAATAACATGCATGGAGCTGTCATCTCCTATGATAACAATATTTTCTTCTGGAATTCCGCCTGAAGGACCTGGCTGAGGCTGTTTCAAAGTTAACTTTTTTTGTATATAGAAGTAGAAAGAGTGTACTCTAAAATAATGATTTATTATTTTATTATCAAGTATTATGTACTTCTATAATTGTTTGTGCTATACCTTTATAGGCCTGGCAGCACAGATTTGTTTACACCAGCATCACCACAAACATGTGAGCAACGTATTGCATTACCATGTTATGATGGTACCTCACTAGGCAAAGGAATTTTTCAGCTCCCTTAAAATGTTATGGGACTGGCTGGTTGCAGTGGCTGACACTTGTAATCCCAGCACTTTGGGAGCCTCAGGCAGGTGGATCACCTGAGGTTAGGTGTTCGAGACCAGCCTGGCCAACATGGGGAAACCCCATCTCTACTAAAAATATTAAAAAGTAGCCAGGCATAGTGGCGGATGCCTGTAGTCCCAGCTACTCAGGAGGCTGAGCCAGAAGAATTGCTTGAACCCAGGAGGCGGAGGCTGCAGTGAGCTGAGATCACACCACTGCACTCCAGCCTGGGCAACAAGAGCAAAACTCTGTATCAAAAAAAAAAAAAAGTTATGAGACCACCACCACATATGCAGTCCATCACTGACCAAAACATTATACAGAGCATGACTGCATTTTCATATATACTAATTCATTTAACTCTTATTAAAAAAGACCTTATAAAGTATAATCCTCACTTTACAGTTGAGAAAAGAAAAGAAAAGGTTAAGTAATTAACTTATACAGTTAGCAAGTGGCAGATGTAAGATTTGAAGCCAAAGCCCTGCTCTAAATAAAGGAATTCAGCTCTGCCCCCAAACTTGCATCCCAATCAGCAGAACAAAGGCTCTGCAGTAGGAGCACTCCTAGTACTCAGAATATGGTCTCTAAATACCATTCTTCACTAAGAAAATCTATGGTTCATTAAGAAAACGGTCTGGAGCAGAAAACATACAAAATGTGCTTAGAAGATATTGTTGTGCCAGAAAGAAAAGACATCATTAAAGATACTGGTCATTTCAAAAGGCCAAAGGAACCAACTTGAAGGGGCTCCCATTGGCAGAGGGAGCAAACTGAGAATCAAATAATGACTGCAAGTGATTGAAGCACACTGGAATAAAAAACTGAAGTGTTGGCCGGGCATGCTGGCTCATGCCTGTGATCCCAGCACTTTGAGAGGCCAAGGCGGGTGGATCATGAGGTCAGGGGTTCAAGACCAGCCTAGCCAACATGATGAAACCCCATCTCTATTAAAGATACAAAAAATTACCCAGGCGTGGTGGCACGTGCCTGTAACCTGAGCTACTTGGGAGGCTGAGGCCGGAGAATTGTTTGAACCCAGGGGGTGGAGGTTGCAGTGAGCCGAGATCATGCCATTGCACTCCAGCCTGGGCAACAGGGCGAGACTCATCTCAAAAAACCCAAAAAACTAAAAACAAAAAACTGATGTGCTTACAATGATACTTGAGAAAATAAAGGAAGAAACTAAGTAATTGAGTATAATGCCTAGTAGTTAACTGGACCTGCCTGCTTAAAAAGCTTAAAAAGCAGCTATTGTTACTCAAGCATGCTGCTCAGGGGCTCATCTCTCCCTTCAAAACAGATTCTTTCTCCATGCTGTTCCCTTCTGTGAAAGAAAGAAAGAAAAAAAAAAAAACAGATTCTTTCCAGCACACACAGTACTTACCCTGGGGAAAATTCTGCTACTTACAAATTTCTCCATCTTATTATTCTTTTAATGATATTTATCCCCCTACAGACTGATGCCCAGGTAAAACTGCTCGGTAGCTCTGCTTTTTATATAGCTCTGAACAAAACCACATATTTTCCCACATAATCTCTGCTACTAACAGACTTTAAACTTTTTTCCTAAAATAAGGTAGGAGTCTGATATCTTATTTTTAACATTTTGTATACTGTATCCTTATTTATCTTGTATTCTGATTAGGACATGACAGTACCAGATATATTTTAAAAGGGATATCATATACTAACTCCTTTTGATGAATTTCCATCGAATGACTCTGTTTCTGAAACCCGACTAATTGATTCACTGGTAAAACTGATTGACTTGGATAATTTTTCATCTCTCTCCCCAGAGTCATCCAAGCTGCTTCTTCCTGGACTTCTGTAAGAAACACATCATTATAGAAATATAAGGTCACCTCCACACAAATAAATGATTTGGTCTCCTCACTGAGGTCATTTCCTATGATAAAACAGTTTGATAATAAATGGACTACTGTAATATAGCAAATAAATGTTTACTTATAACAAGGCTATCTTCTTAAATTACATGCAAGTTGATATCATTTCTGAAAACAAGATACACTCACATGGGATTCTATAAATCTCAAAAACATTAAAAAATTAACAAAGTACAAATGGCCGTAACAGTAACTAATCAAATGAAAATTGCTCCTTTAAATTTCATTTGTGTACAACCACAAAGCTTGGACAGGTACAGAGTAGATGTTTGAGTTAGATACTAGATCGCACAAGAAGGCAGTTTTATATCTCCTTCCTTCTGACTCAGTCTCAGCTGAAATGGCGAAGCCCTCCCAGAAGTGGACGCTCAAGATGTCTGAGCCTAAGCCCATTGGCCACTCCTGCCTCCTCACTCTTCCCAGCCCTAAGAACAAGGTTTAAGAAACAGCTGTCAAATGATCATATGGCCAAGACTATAATAAATGTCCTGGGATCTGCTTTCCCTTTCTCAAGGAGCAAAAAGAAAGGAAAACCTATTAAATACAATGGGAGCACAACTGATCTAATTTCCAATGCTCAACAGGATGGAGGTGAGATGTGGAAAAACAGAGAGGAAAGGAGGAGGAAGAAGGAAGGAGAGATTGCAAATAAAGAGGAAGAAGATGGAAGAACCGAGGAAATAAAGGTTTGAAACAGATATGCTTCTTTCAGAGACTGAAGAACAGGAAAAGAAGTAGAAGAGAGAATGAGGATCCTGCCACACACTTTCTTAGAAAGCATTCAGGCCGACCGGGCATGATGGCTCATGCCTGTAATCCCAACACTTTGGGAGGCTGAGGTGAGCTGATCATGAGGTCAAGAGATCGAGACCATCCTGGCCAACATGGTGAAATGCCGTCTCTACTAAAAAAAAAAAAAAATGCAAAAATTAGCTGGGCGTGGTGGCACGCACCTGAAGTCTCAGCTACTTGGGAGGCTGAGGCAGAAGACTCGCTTGAACCCGGAGGCAGAGGTTGCAGTGAGCCAAGATCACGCCACTGCACTCCAGCCTGGTGACAGAGTGAGACTCCATCTCCAAAAAAAAAAGAAAGAAAGAAAAGAAAAAAAGAAAGCATTCAGGCCAGGTGCAGTGGCTGACACCTGTAATCCCAGCACTTTGGGAGGCCGAGGCAGGGTGGATCACTTAAGGTCAGGAGTTCAAGACCAGCCTCATCAACATGGCAAAATCTCTACTGAAAATACAAAAAGTAGCCAGGCGTGGTGGTGGGCACCGCAATCCCAGCTACTTGGGAGGCTGAGGCAGGAGAATCGCTTGAACCCAGGAGGCGGAGGTTGCAGTGAGCCAAGATCGCACCACTGTGCTCCAGCCTGGGTGACAGAGTGAGACTCAGTCTCAAAAAAGAAAAAAAAGAAAGCATTCAATCGCCAGAAGAAAACAGCAGCTAGTCAAAAATATTCTTTCTTTCCTCAAAGACTAGAAACTTTTCAAGTTGGCAAGGACCTTAAAGATAATCTAGTTCAGCTGCCTCATTTCATAGACGAGAAAACTGAGAATCAAAAAAATGAAAAGATTTGCCTGAGGTTGCTCGGCTGTTTGGTGACCCTAACTAAGATCCAGATCCTGTTTACCATAATCCAAGGCTCTTTGCATTAGAGTAACTGCTTTTCTATCCAAATCCAGAGCCGGCAAGAGGCTACTAAACTTCTCAAGGAGAACAATACAATGGAAATTTTTAACTTTACAGAAAGCTAATAAAATATACATGTGCAACCATGTAAAAAAGCCTATAAAATACTGATGCTAAGCTGAAAAGATATAAATTGGATCAGCATAAGTAGATTACCTAGATGAGTAAAATTTCTGCACATACTTTGAGACTTTCAAAATATTTCCATTTTAAGATTTGCTATAGAATTTCTAAATAACAGCTTTTAAGATATAATCCACACACCACAAAATTCACTTCATGTAAAGTGTACAATTTAGTGGGTTACAGAGTTGGGCAACCATCACCACTAACTAATTGTAGAACATTGTCATCACCCCAACAAAGAAATGCTTTGCAGTCACTTGCAGTCACTCCCCATTCTCCCTTCCTATCAGCTCCTGGCAACTACCATTTACTTTCTGTCTCTATAAACTTACCAGTTCTAGACTCCATTTCACATACATGGAATCATACAATATATGGCCTTTTGTGACTGGCTTTTTTCACTCAGCATAATGTTTGCTATAGAATTTTAATGTATTCTCCTTAATTGTTTTTATTGCTAACAGCCTCAATTTCCACTGGACATAATGCACTTTTACTTGTAGAGGTTAATAAAAATGTCCACTCTTCTAAATGAATCCTCATCAGTCAAAAATAGTCTCTCTGTACTCTTAATTTCTTTATCACATTATCTGTTACTCTGTTATGACTCTTACCATTATCGACCTTGTATTACAATTATTTGCATTCCACGGTAGGCTATATGCTCCTTCCATTAATGTATTCAATATTTATGGAGTGCCAACCACATGCTAAGCACTATGTTAGGGAATTCCTGAGGAAAAATCATGTTATTGTATCCTTCAAAACACCTACCATATAATTTACTTTACTGTCATCTATAAACTCAGAGATTTCACTAGGTACTTCTCCAGATCCTTAATAAACAGGCTTACTAAAACCAGACTTTAAGTCTACCCTAAGTGACATAGCCAACATTTCCTTATATATCTCATATGTGCTTACCTATTTAGCAAACTATTCTCTGTCCCCACCTTTCACCCCATTCCACCACAAAGAACAAAGGGGCAAATGGCAGCCAAAGATAAATTACTAGAAATTCAGAATTAGTCGAATGTAAAATAATTCTGCTTTGATTAATAATTGATAAATTTTGACATTTCAAAACATTTTGCTGTACCTTGGCTGCACATCCTCAATCGACAGTGACAAGTTTTCCATCTCCTCAGCATTTAAACCTAGCTCAGTGCCATAGTTCTGCTGGAGCAGTTGCCAGAATTCCTGTCTAGTCAGGCTCTAAAGTGACAGAAAAATTACACTGAGCATTGGAAAATATAAAATATAATATCACAGTGATTCAAAACATGAGTTTTGAAGTCAAAAATGACCTGTTGTGCAAAGACTAGATATGGGGCTTTGGTAGTTATTTGACCTTTCTGTACCTCCATTTTGCATATCTATAAAAATGAGTTAATAAAAGCTATCTGGCAGAGTTCATAAAAGGAATAGATAAAATGATTTTAAAGTACATATTATAATAACTACTGAAAATGGGAGGTTAAAAATGTTTTAAATTTTCTTTCTGTAAAATAATTTGTTCAGGCCAGGCACAGTGACTCACGCCTGTAATCCCAGCACTTTGGGAGGCTGAGGCAGGCAGATCACGAGGTCAAGAGATCGAGACCATCCTGGCCAACATGGTGAAACCTGGTCTCCACTAAAAAAAAAAAATACAAAAATTGGCTGGGCATGGTGGCGCACACCTATAGTCCCAGCTATTCAGGAGGCTGAGGCAGGAGAATCGATTGAACCCAGGGGGCGGAGGTTGCAGTGAGCCAAGATTGTGCCACTGCACTCCAGCCTGGGTGACAGAGCGAGACTCCATCTCAAAATAATAATAATAATAATAATAATAATTTGTTCATACTTTCTGGTAATTACTGATCTGCAGTTTGTTTGCTTGTTTTTGAGATGGAGTCTCACTGTGCCACCCAGGCTGGAGTGCAGTGGTGCAATCTCAGCTCACTGCAACCTTCACCTCCCAGGTTCAAGCGATTCTCCTACCTCAGCCTCCCGAGTGGCTGGGATTGCAGGTGTGCACCACCACACCCAGCTAATTTTTGTATTTTTAGTAGAGATGGGGTTTCACCATGTTGGCCAGGCTGGTCTGGAACTCCTGACCTCAAGTGATCCACCCTCCTCAGCCTCCCAAAATGCTGATATTATAGGCGTGAGACATGGTGCCTAGCCTCTGATCTTCAGTTTAGTTCTGCAATCTAACCAGTCTACCATGACCACTGAATCACCGTTCAGCCCTGTCAGCTTAGAACCTGTCCTCTTAATCCATAATGTATCTGAATATTTTAACCACTTTAAAAATCTTATATATCAATAAATTTTAAACTATATTTTCCTAATATATAAAATGCAAGAGTCTGGACTTCAGAATTTTTCCTTTGATTTATCTTTAATAAAGTCCAGCTTGTTCTTTCTTTGTAGGCAGAAATTAACAAATTTTTAAATCATCAAATACAACAAACTCACACATTACCTAGCAAAACAAAAACAGTATTATTATGATTTAGGATAATGGCCTCCAGTTGAAAAATAAAATTAAATAACAATATTATGATAACCAATGGTCTGATGTCTAAAAACATTACAGATAGTTAATTACCTGCTTAAGCAAGGTGTAAGGAAGTAGCATAACACTTGAAGCAATTGTTAGTAAGATAATCTCTCTCATTCATTCAACAGATATTTATTTAGTACCTAACAAATGTGCGTTACTGCACTAGATGCTAAGGAGAATAAACATAAAAACATAATGTAGAAGTTAAGCTCCTGGCCCTCAAACAACTTTTAATATAGTTGAAGAGACATGGGATGTTCTTAAGTTATATGACAAGATATAATATGATCATGCACTAAAGTACTGGTACAGTCAACATGATATGAAAGTCTAAAGGAAGGAAATAGGACTGTGGATTAGTGTGATCAGATAAAGCTTCACATTGGAGAAGTGTTTTCAGCTGAGATAAAGGAAGAATATGGGGAAATGGAGAAATGGGAAAAGTTGAAGAGACGGAAACCAACTAAAAATACAGAATAAATACATGAACATAAGTAACATTTGTTTTGAAGTCAGTAGTCTATCAGCCTAACTGAAATAAAAATTTTAAGTTGCGAAATAGTAGAGATAAATATAGACTTGATGGGGCCACAACACAGATGCCTTGAATTCCTCCCCAGGGTTCCCTACAATAAATACCACTTCCTTTTTCTTCCTCCTTTTTTCTTCTCTGTCTAGTAACTATGGCATCTTTGTTTGTTATGTTATACTAGATGACCTTCATTACATTTCATGGACCTTCAAAGATATTAAGAACAAAATGTCTGCACTTTAGACCACTAGTTCCCAATCTACTGTGCCCAGATTACCAGGATTCCACAAGAGCAGATGATGAAAATTCAGATATTATCATCAGATATTATCAGATAATATTTCAAAAAGTCAAAAATATCCAATTATCTAAAATAAAGCTATTCAAGTTAAGTGAAATGGCAAGCCTCTGTTTCGAGCTGAACTATATTAACCTACAATGGATAACACAGGCTAATAAATTCTCACTGGAAATAATATATATCTAACAAGTAGTGATGTTTTAATATTTATTATTTAATGTATACCCCTTATTTGGTAGACAAAGTCTTTGGAAGCACAGTGTCCATAGAAAAAAACATAAAAAGGACCATTAGTGGTAGAGAAAATTAAGAAACCACTGTCCTTGATATTAAAGGAACATACACGTTTATTTTCTGACTTCCACTCCAAATGAGTCATTTGTTGTGAACTTTTTTTCACAATAATAACTCACACTACTAATTAACTCATTCTTCCAAAGAAATTATCTTTGAAATATTTTAGTGTCTTACTAGGATGGTTAACTTTATAATGAGAAGCAAGCAATATTTCAATATACTTGTGTAAGACTAATCTTTTATAAAAACTTTTCTTAAATAATAGATATCAAACGATTACAAAGGCAGACTAAAGCAAAAAGATAAACCAATGATGAATACTCAGGCAGCTTCCTAACAGCAAAAGAAATGAAACTTATTAGTAAAATACTAACAACAAAAATGTAATTTTATTTGACTACATAAATGTTTTGAATATTGTATTAAATACTAGCAGGAAGTTAATAGCAGGGTAATCACAATATACTTTTCAAGCTAGTAATTTAATATATATAACAGGTTAATGGAAAATAAAATATAACTCATGTAATTCACCATCTTGTAGATTTGCCAATTTGTTAAAAATGACGTTTTCTATAAAGTTGTCCAGTTTTCATAAAAATGTGGTTATTTACAGCCATGTTGAACATTCAAACATTCAAACATATGCCCAGCCTGATATTCATAATTCTTTCAATAATCAGCAGCAAAAATAATCTACCTTAGTAGTCTTCAAAACAACCTAAATTTTAAACACAAGCTGACCACCCACCTGCAAACCAAGGAGAGTCTCTCCCTTTCAGCCTACAGAGTAGTTTAACAAAATAAAGATGAACCAAGCAGTAATCAGATAAGGCTCAAAAGTCAGAAGATCAATTTCTGGCCCAGAAAGCTGTGTATTCTAAGTATGTTGCCATCTCTATGCACAGCAGAGCTCCAAATATTTAATGACAACTATGTAAAAATAATCACTGCTTCAATCTCTCAGTTTTGCTATGAGAAGCTTTTCTAATGTAGTTTAAAGCACATTATCTGTCACTTCCTGGTTGTAGTACCAGCACTCTTTCCAAGGTTGCAGGTCAGAATGCAGAATTGGAAGTTATACCTCACTCTACAGGTTCCTAAGCCACTCCTACAAGAAGAAGATAGGTAAACAGGTTTTATTAAAGGGACAGTTCCTAATTTTCTCTGTTCTACGCACAGATTAGAAAAAACAAAATGAAAGTAAAAACATCTTGCTTATGCTAAATTGATATAAAACAGCTACTGCAATATTATTTTAATCTCATCTTTAAAATTAACTATATTACAGGTTAATTTTTCTTCTCCATGCTAGTAATTTCTATGCAATTCTGGGAATGTCATGATTACCTCTTCATATACTACTTCTCTAGTACTGACGTAGTATTCCTATCAGACTCTTGCATTAATCCTTTACAACAACCAAAGATTCTATCTCTGAGTGCTGTAAATGTAACGTAAGGAAATAGCAGGAAGAGCCAGCTGTTCAGGTGGAATAATTCTACTAAGCACCCGGCACATCTCTCATCACTGAAAGGTTTAAGGCAACATTTTGATTACTCAATAATTCTTTTCTTTGAAAATATTTCTGACTTTGGTGTATTTAGAATAATTCCCTGGCAGTGATCTGGACTATAATAGACAGTACAGTTTCATCTACTAATTCCTATTTATTTCTCAGAAGAAAATTTTTCTTCTAAATAAAGAAGCAAAATTTGCCCTAATTTCTACCTAGTCATTCCATTTAATTTAGTGATGTGTGTAAACAAATCAAAGGCTACTTGATGAACTCCACGGATCAACCTTTTGAGGGATGCTAAAATCTCATCATTTTATACAATGGCAGAATGAGATAGAGTAGAGTGATGCTGAAAATACTACTCATTCAAATGAAGAAAGCCCACTGTGGGGGCAGCTTCCGCTGTCTAAAAGGCAGTGCTTTTAGCATATTATGGTAGTTCTCATTGACTGAAATTGTAACTAAATATATTTACGATGGTGAACAAATAGCTATGAGAAAATATACATTAACTGTACCACAACTGATATTTATACACATTTTTGCTAAATATAAAAATCCTTATACCAAACCACTGCTATGTAGGGCAGAGCTAAATTTAGTAGGCTTCAGAGGGAAAAACAGAACCTAAAACTGAACCCCAAGAAAGCCCAACACACAAAGAGAAAATAGAGGAGTGGCCAGCAAAAAAAGATTCAGGGAAATACCAGAAAGGTAAGAGAAGATTCCAGAAAGAATGTCATGAAAGGCAAGGGAAGAAAGTATTTCAAAATAGAGGGAGTATACAGTGGTATCTAACGCTGCCGAAAGGTCAAGTAAGATGAGCACAGGATGAGCACATGTATGTCAAATGCAAGCATCCAGAGGAATGATGCAGCTTGCCAAACCAGTTCCCCATCACTTGAGCATGTGTGTGTCATGAGAGTGAGGCAGGGAGAGGAGATACAGTGGGGAAGGAGGAAGCAGCCAGGTCATGAAGAGCCTTGTATGCCATGCCAAAGAATATGGACTTTACATTGTCGAAATATCAAAAGCCACCCAGTGGTTTCATATAGAAAAGTAACAAGTTCAGAATTATGATTTTAAAAGACATGATTTTAAAACACTACTATTTGACATCAACCTCAAAGACAGATCAGGTGTTAAAAAGAGATAAGAAGACATTGGTAATGGTTCAAGCTAGAAATGATGATGACCTTGGTGACCAACTAGACACGGCTGGCTGGCAAAGAGGCAAGAAAAAGGATACATCTAGGTTTCTGGCTTGGGTGACTGGGTAGAAGGCGGTGTAGCTCACTGACCAAGGGAAAATAGATAGAGGAGTTCTGACAATCAAGAAGGTAAAAAAGAGGGAATTATATAATACAAACACTTCTATACTGCCATGCTATTACATAGCAAACGTGACAAATAGTTACCAATTTCATATTCATTTTTTTTCCAGGTAGGTCTGAATGTTGCATTTATTAGATTGATAGCACTACTGGAAAACTTTTGGAATTCCAGTAACTCCAAAATAAAAGAACAAGGGGATTTGATAATGTTGCGCAGGCTAAAGGAGAAAGCTGGATGACACTCCTCCAAAAGGTCTCAGTGGCTGACATAGGCTTTGTAAACTGACCACTATTTAGAGAAAAGCCTCAGAGCTGTCACTATCCTAGAGTTGGCTCAGGGAGGCCAACTTATATAAGCCACACTCACGAGCTGATACTAGCTCAGTTGGAAATACACTAATGCACGGTGGGGAAGATTCCTTTCTGGTGATCAGAAATCTTTTCTTCTATCGCCCAGAACACCTGAATACCTTGGAAGTCAGATTAGCAATCAGAAAGTGGCACAACAAGCATGGAATCAGAGCAAAAGTAGACAGCTTTAAGGGACAATTTACTGTGACCTTGGTGGGGCATGATGATTCATCTCTGTCCCATCTCCATATGGTTCTCTATTGATCAAAGTCTGCCTCTGCAACTCTACTTTTCTGTCCTAAGTCCTAAGTTCTTGGCCTACGTCTGACCAAGTCCTCTTCAGACCGATATATTCTTTCTTTTTATACACTAATACTTTCAATCAACTGTTTTAAACCCTTTTTCCCCAACACACCTGAGGAATAGGACACCCTTCTGTCAACCTTCTACTTAGTGATTCCCAAAATAGAAGCTAGAGTAACATGTATCAGAATTTAGACAGCGTATATCTGTATACATTTAAAAAGCTCCCCTCATTACTTTACCCCTGAATCTAACATATGCTATCTTCTTCTGCCATTTGGGAATAAGATGAAAAGACATTCTGTCTCTTTAAGCCTTAAAATTCAAAATAAGTACAGATTTCTGCTCTATTAGACCCTGGATTGAAATATTCACTTTCAGAATATACTCTTAAATTTCCAAGGAGAGCTAGCTTCCCCATAGCCCCCATGTGCTGGCAAGAGAGACCACTATTACCTTGCTAAGATAAAAACAGTACAGGCCGGGCGTGGTGGCTCACGTCTGTAATCCCAGCACTTTGGGGGGCCAAGGCAGGCAGATCACCTGAGGTCAGGCGTTCGAGACCAGCCTGGCCAACATGGTGAAACCCCGCCTCTATGAAAAATACAAAAATTAGCTGGGTGTGGTGGCAAGCACCTGTAATCCCAGCTACTCAGGAGGCTGAGGCAGGAGAATCGCTTGAACCTAGGAGGCGGAGGTTGCAGTGAGCCGAGATCATGCCATTGCACTCCAGCCTGGGCAACAGAGCAAGACTCCATTTCAAAAAAAAAACAACAGTACAAAAGTAAATTTTCTGCATACATCCTGCCTATATTATAATATCTGTAATCCTAAATGCAATAATACAAGAATATCAGTAGGAATATGAAATAATTGATTGAGCCTCAATTTTAAAAATCTTTTAAATTTTAACCCTTGTTACTACTGATAACCTTACATACGAACCCTATTTTCTTAGTAATTCAAGTATATAGAAAATAACATTTCTTTGGCAACTGAGGATGCTTTAGTGTTTCAAGATAATCATTTGTTCTCACCGTACATATTGAAGGTTAAAGAAATTGAATTAAATATACATTGAACTTAGGGTGTGCCCTGAATGCTGTTTCTGAAATATTTCAGAAATGTCTGTGTTTTCCCCCATCCTTTGCCTTTTCCTTGAACTAAGAGAATTTATAATATCTTGTTAACAGTAGTAATTATTTGGACTCCAAATCATTGAAGTTCTACTAAATTGAGTCATTCAAAAAGTATTTATTGATCATCTGTTACACGTAATGTATAATTTATTGTCCAAACTGGCACACTTTTGAGAGTAAGGGAAGCGCAATATTTACTTTGACAAAGGCCTAAACCCAGACAGTTTCAGACCGTACTTGGTAAACCAAACTGTATACCAAACCAGCTATGTGGTAAAGACTGAACTTGTCAGTGGACATACAACAGTGAACAAGACAGACATGGTCCTTGTCTTCAAGGGATTTATAGTTAAGCAAGGAGAACAGAAATAGACCATAGAATTGTAACTGTAATGCATATTATAGAAATACAAAATGTTATAGAAAACTAAAAGAAAGAACCTGACTTCAGGTTTATTAATGAGAACTAGAGTGGGAATAAGAGGGTCACAACTTCCTGGCAGAAAGAATATTTGAAGACTTAATAAAAAAAAAAAAGCAGAACATTTAAGATGACAAGAATGAGAGGGTATATTAAGATGTGGGTGGAGAGGTGGGAAGGGTCTTGATTATGTGGTCCCTACAGAGATTTTTAGGTTTTTATTCCAAGGGCAATGGGTATTAAGCAGGAAGCAAAAATAAGCAAGCATTTTTTTTTAAAAAAAGATAACTTTGGCTGTAGTACTGTTCAGGGTTCGACAAACTGTTTCTGTAAAGGGCCATATAGTAAATATTTTAGGCTTTTTGGGCCATATGGTCTCTGTCACAACTACTCAACTCTGCTGTTGTAGTGTGAAAGGCAGCCATAGAAATACATAAACAAATGAGCATGGCTGTGTTCCAATAAAACTTTATTTATGGACACTGAAATTTGAATTTCATATAATTGCCACATGTCATGAAATATTATTCTTTTGATTTTTTTCAGCCATTTAAAAATGTAAAACTAGTCATTGTGTGCAGACCATACAAAAACAAAGCAGGACTGTGCTTGGCTCTGGTATAGAACACGGATGGGGGCTGGCACAAATGAAAAAAAAGAGCTGAGGAGTGGAGTGGGAAGGGCCTAAAACTTATCTTGAACTATGACTGCACAGTTCTTTACAAAGACCAAGAAAACATCAATTGTTTGTATTAAAGAATGGTGCTGCCATTGTCCTCTGGCCCCACAAATCCCAGATATTCAATGCTCTGTCTAGAGAATGGGAGCTAAACTCACAGACTGTGAACTAAGCTGAAGCGCTATAAATTATGTCACGAATGATTGTAGTGACAGAGTGACAGTTTAAACTCACGTCTAAACATGGATGACTTATGTTTCACCAGGTCAAATATTAGAAATAAACTCTCCTTTCTGGAGCAATGTACCAAAGTAGTTTTTTATTTTTATTTTGTTTTGTTTTGTTTTGAGATGGAGTCTCACTCTGTCACCCAGGCTGGAGTGCAGTGGCACCATCTCAGCTCACTGCAACCTCCACCTCCCAGGTTCAAGCGATTCTCCTGCCTCAGCCTCCCGAGTAGCTGGGACTACAAGTGCCTGCCACCACGCGCAGCTGATTTTTGTATTTTTAGTAGAGACAGGGTTTCAACATGTTGGCCAGGCTGGTCTCAAACTCCTAACCTCAGGTGGTCAGCCCACCTCAGCCTCCCAAAGGGCTAGGATTACAGGCGTGAGCACTGCACCTGGCCCAAAGCAGTCTTATGAAGAGAAAAAGATGATTCTTTTAAAAACATTCTTTTTCAAAGGAAACATATTTGGCTCCAAGTCTTTCAGTCTTGTGGATTTATTTTACTGGAAAAATAAATAAAACAAATGCACACAAACATAATTTTACTATCATTTTATAGTACTTTAATGAAAAATCTACTTTCTAGATTAATTTGCTTTTTTAAAGGCCTTCTCATGCAAGAAGCAAGCAGAAGTAACACATACTTAGATTCCATAATTACATGCAACACAAATATAATATTCTGAACTTAATTTTTTTTTTTTGAGACAGTGTCTCACTCTGTCAACCAGGCTGGAGTGCAGTGGCACGGTCACAGCTCACTGCAGCCTCAGCCTCCTGGGCTCAAGTGATCCTCCTACCTCAGCCTTCTGTGTAGCTAGGACTATAGGCATGCACCACCACACCTAGCTAATTTTTTTTAACTTTTTTTTTTTTTTAGAAATGGGGTCTCTCTATGTTGCCCAGGCTGGTCTTGAACTGGTCTCAAGCAATCCTCCCACCTCAGCCTCCAGAAGTGCTGGGATTACAAGCATGAGTCACCATGCTTGGCCAAAAATATTTTTAATATATATCAAATGTATTATTCAAATTACTTATAAAGTTGTTTTAATAGAATTTTGTAGCTATGCTGTATATTTTATGAGGGTTTTTTATCTTTTTTTAAGAGTATTACACAAGATCAAGAAATTTAACCAATGTGGCTTTATGACTTTAAAAAACTAAAAGGGAAATGAGGCTTACAAAATTATAGATAATACCAAGACTATACCAAGCACCTAGCACTGTGCCTGGCACCTAATACTTCATAAATGGGAGTTGCTATCATTGTTATTATAGATATTTATACGTTAAAAATTGTTCTGGTTGAATTCTACAGTGCTTAAAATTCCATTTAGGATAGTTTTGAAACTGAGATCTCATCTTCAACTTTAAGTTCTGTACAGTAGTTTACACATAATATATGCTTAAACATTTTTGTCTTCTTGTGGAGCAGAAACAGACACCATTCTGTTTATTAAAATGAGAATATAGTGTCCACTTGAAACAGAGTTGCATATTCAACATTAAAGATAACCAAATGATCCAAAGATGTAAAAGGTATAACTACTGTGAAAATGGTGATACCTCCGTGTGTATACATCAGAAACACAGATAATATCAGGATCTTTTCAAAGAAGGGTAAATTTTACTTCCAGCCAGTAAATGCAGTGTTTCTTGGCTATGGTGGGTGGCCTCCAGTATTCTGGAATTCCCTTTCTTCTTCTCACTTCAGAGAGCTTTCTTCTTCATTAAAGTGAAGAACTTAGTTTCTCCCTTGGCTCATCTGTAAACCTGAACTTTATCACTTCCCTGGAGATATTTGTTTTTATAAGGACATATCCCAACTCACATGTGTGTGATAAGCACAAATGTGACATTGGAAGGACATTCAATACAGTATATAACCAAGCATAGTCTGCGATGTCGCTGGTGCCTTGCTAGAATGAGAGAATGCACCTCACGGATTCTGAGCACTCAACAAGTTAGTATTTGGGGTGGGGTAGCCAGGTCCCTATGGCAACACTGGAGTTTTCAGCCAGTGCTAGAATAGAGCACCCCACGGTAATGACAATGAATCTGAAAGTGACCGGCCTGCAGTGGGTGAAGGAGGCTTCCTTGCCAAAGTGCAACCTGGGAGGGCAGCATAGAGCTGAGTTGAGAGCAGCACACAGCTATGCATTGCTCCACGCCCTTGTAGTAGACGACATGCACTGCAGGACCTGCTGCCCGTGGACCTGCCCTGTGAGCATCACCCAGGCCAGGAGCAAGGGCATGTGGCTCTGGTGAAGCAGGGCATCCAAACACCCACAGACACTCAGCAGGGGCTTGGACTTGGGGCTTCCAAGCTAGTCACTTCTACTCCCTTACCATGGGTCAGAGAGACTGGGCTTGGCAAGCCCCCTCACCCACACCAGCTTTTCTCCTCTGTCCCTTCCCCATCTCAGACTTGTAGGCTACTTCTCCAAGGGTCCCCACTCCAGTAAAGTGAAAGCATTTGAGTTGGGCACTGCTTAGGAGAGCCTGTCCTCAGCGTTCAGTTCAAAAGGCCATTCAACATGAAGAGCTCTGGAGGCCAAAATGTGTCTGTCCACTTCAGGAAGGTGCTTAGCTGGGGAGTAGGGAGGAGAGGAGGCTAAGTTCCCACCTGCCAGCTTCAAAGAAAGAAACTTTCTTGTCTGGGTGGAGGCTCACACCAGTAATCCCAGTACTTTGGGAGGCCGAGGCAGGCAGATCACCTGAGGTCGGGAGTTCGAGACCAGCCTGACCAACATGGAGAAACCCTGTCTCTACTAAAAATACAAAATTAGCCAGGCTCAGTGGCGCATGCCTGTAATCCCAGCTACTCGGGAGGCTGAGGCAGGAGAATCACTTGAACCTAGGAGACAGAGGTTGCAGTGAGCCGAGATCGCCATTGCACTCTAGCCTGGGCAACAAGAGCAAAACTCCATCTCGAAAAAAAAAAAAAGAGGCTTTCTTATCTGCAGGAAATCTCTACTGTTCCCCTTAAACCATTTCTTTTAACAGCAGCTTTACTGTGCTATAATTCACATACCTGAAAATTCATCCCTCTAAGTGTACAATTCAGGCGGTTTTCACATATCCAAAGTTAAACAACCATCACCGCTAATTTCAGGACACGTTGTCAACCCAGAAAGATAACTGACTCCATCAGCTGTCACTTCTCATTACTCCCTCCTCCAGGCAATAACTTTACTATTTCTGTTTCTATGAACTTGCCTATTCTAAACATTTCATAAGAACAGAATCCTACAGGATGTGTTCTTTTATGACTGGCGTCTTTCACTTAGCATTATGTTTTCAAGGCTCATCCATGTTGTAGCATGTATCACTACTTCACTACATTTTATTACTGAATGATATTCCACTGTGTGGATATACGTTTTTTTTTAGAAGGAGTTTTGCTCTTACTGCCCAGGCTGGAGTGCAATAGCGCGATTTCGGCTCACTGCAACCTCTGCCTACCCGGTTCAAGTGATTCTCCTGCTTCAGCCTCCCGAGTAGCTGGGATTACAGGCATGTGCCACCACGCCCGGCTAATTTGTATTTTTAGTATAGATGGGGTTTCTTCCATATTGGTCAGGCTGGTCTCGAACTCCCGACCTCAGGTGACCTGTCCGCCTCAGCCTCCCAAAGTCTGGGATTACAGGCATGAGCCACCACACCAGGTCATACATTTTATTTATACATTAATCACTTGATGGACATTTGGATTGTTTCTACTTTTTGGCTATTATGAATAATAAATGCTGCTATGAACATTGGGGTACAAGTTTTTGCAAGAACAGATCTATGGTAAACATTTTGAGGAGCTGCCAAACTGTTTTTCAAAGTGGCTGCATCATTTTACAATCTTTCCAACAATGTACTTGAGGGATCCACTTTCTCCACATCCTCAACAGCATTTGTATTTAAAAAATTTTTTTTCAGCTTTACTGAAGTATAATTAACAAATAGGAATGGTACATATTTAAGGTATACAACTTGATGTTTTGATATGCATATACATTGTGGTCGCCACAATCAGGTTAATTAACATATCCATTGCCTCATGTAGTTATCATTTGCTTGCTTGCCTTCTTTCTTTTTTTGTACTGGTGAAAAAACTTAAGATCTACTCTATTAGCAAATTTCAAGTATACAACACAGTATTGTTAACTGTAGTCAGCATGGTGCACATTTGATCTCCAGTACTCATTCATCTTGCATAAATGAAACTTTGTATCCTTTAACCAACATCTCCCCATTTCTTCCTACCCCTGGCAACTACCACTTTACTCTCTGCTTTGAGTTCAACTTGTATAAATTCTACTTGATAATAGTATATACCTTTTCATACATTGCTGGATTTGATTTGCTAATATTTTGTTGAGGATTTTTGTGTCATTGTTCATAAGGGATACTGGTCCAGAGTTTTCTTGTGGTGATGTCTGGTTTTGGTATCAAGGTAATACTGTACTCATAGATAAAGTTGTGAAGTGTTCCCTCTATTTTTAGAATACTGGGTGAAGGATTGGTGTTAATTCTACTGTAAACAGTTGGTTCACCAATGAAGCCACCTGGGCCTGGGCTTTTCTCTGTGGTAGGTTCTTTATCATTAATTCAATCTCTTTTCTTGTTATAGGTCTATTCAAATTCTCTATTTCTACTTGAGTCAGTTTTTGTAGTTTGTGACTTTCTAAGTACTTATCCATTTCATTTAGGGTAAATAATTTGTTGGCATACAATTATTCATAATATTTCCTTATAATTTTCTTATTTTTATAAGGTTAGTAGTATTGTCACCACTTTCAGTCCTAAATTTTACAATTGTAGTCTTCTTTTTTTCTTGGTTGATCTAGCTAAAGGTTTGTCAATTTTCCTTTTTTTTTTTTTTTTTTTTGGAGACGGAGTCTCGCACTTTCACCCAGGTTGGAGTGCAGTGGAGCAATCTCGGCTCACTGCAAGCTCCACCTCCTGGGTTCACGCCATTCTCCTTTCTCCTGCCTCAGCCTCCCGAGTAGCTGGGACTACAGGTGCCCTACCACCATGCCCGGCTAATTTTTTGTATTTTTAGTAGAGACGGGGTTTCACCATGTTAGCCAGGATGGTCTCGATCTCCTGACCTCGTGACCCACCCACCTCGGCCTCCCAAAGTGCTAGGATTACAGGCGTAAGCCACAGTGCCCGGCCTCATTTTTTATAAAGAAGCAACTTTTGGGCTGGGTGTGGTGGCTCACACCTGTAATCCCGGCACTTTGGGAGGCCAAGGTGGGTGAAACACCAGAGGTCAGAAGTTAGAGGCCAGCCTGACCAATATGGTGAAACCCCACCTCTACTAAAAATACCAAAAATTAGCTGGGTGTGGTGGCAGGCGCCTGTAGTCCCAGCTACTTGGGAGGGTGAGGCAGGAGAATCGCTTGCACCTGTGAGACGGAGGTTGTCTGAGATTGTGCCACCACTGCACTCCAGCCTGGGCGACAGAGTGAGACTCTATCTCAAAAAAAAAAAAAAACAAAAAAAAAACAAAAAGGCCAGGCGCAGTGGCTCATGCCTGTAATCCCAGCACTTTGGGAGGCCAAGGCAGGCGGATCACGAGTTCAGGAGATTGAGACCATCCTGGCCAACATGGCGAAACCCCATCTCTACTAAAAATACAAAAATTAGCTGGGCGTGGTGGCGCATGCCTATAATCCCAGCTACTCAGGAGGCTGAGGCAGGAGAATCCCTTGAACCAGGGAGTTGGAGGTTGCAGTGAGCCGAGATCAGGCCACAGCACTCTAGCCTGGTGACAGAGTGAGACTCCATCTCAAAAAAAAAAAAAAAAAAAAAAACAAGCAAACAAACAAAAAAAAACAACTTTTGGTTCTGAATTGTCTATTTTTCTATTCTTTACTTCATTCATTTCTGTTATAATCTTTATTATTTCCTTGCTTCTTCTTGCTTTGCATTTAGTTTGCTGTCCTTTTTCTAATTTATTTTTTTTTCAAAGTTATAATGTGTGGTTTAAAAGAGAGGAAAGGAAAAAAGACACAAAGCTGGTTACAGGTCTGAGGGAGTCTAAGGAGAGAAAAATAGAAGGAAAGTAAAGAGGGGAAAAATTTAGGGAAAATCCAGTGGCCCAAAATCCCAGTATCCCACCCACAGCCCAGCCCTTGGAGCAGGAGTGAAGAATTAGATCAGTTTTGTACAAGAGTTTTTTAAAAAAATCGAATCACAACAAAGCTGACTTGGCTTCTCTTTGAGCCTCCTGGATCACCGTACGTCTGTCACTCTGGCCAGTCCTGCCTCTTCACAAACACTGATTCGGCTCCCCTAGGCTTCCACCTGTGTCCCAGTCTGGGGTTTCCATGGAGTGTGAACATGAAGTTAAGAGTGAGGCTGCTTCAGAGCCCCCAGCCCATGTGTCCATCCAGACTCCAAGTGGAGTGTAGGGCTCCCAGGGCAGAGAGGGGTGGGAGGGGCAGACCCTGCCCAGGCAGTCCTCACATTGGACAGGGCATCAGATGGCATCCCAAGGGCTCGCCATCCCTTTCCCCCCCGCCCCCCCACCCCAACCCAAGTGGAGGGGGATTAGCTGTCACCAGAGCCGATGTTGGTGAAGGTTTCGGCTCAGCACAGAATGAACGTCAGCGGTGAACCTGAGGGCATCCAGCATCGGGAGCAGGTTGAGAAGGGCTGTGTCGCTGGGGTCACTGAACCAGGATTTGATGGGGATGGCATTGTCTGGATGGCTCCTGTAAGCCCCTAGGGAGTTATCCAGGATCACAATGCTGGAGAGGTCACTGTGGACCACAGAGAGGTCCTTGATGTAGCTGCTCAACTGCAAAGTGCAGTGCTGTCTGTAATATCTCCTCTTAAGGATGCTTCTGCTATTGTCCAGTTTACCTGCCACAGCAAAGCCATAGATCTCCATGCTTTCTGTAAACACCACCAGCTCGTACCACTGGCTCACCACTTCCAGGAAGAAATCCACATGGGGCCTCTTACGTACAAAAAACCGGACAGAATGTTTGTCTATTACCACCTTGAGGATGAAGTCAGGAGGCCTAACAGGCCGGACTGCGGCCTCAGGACCCCATCATGGTGGGAGTGAATAAGTGTCTCATCCAGATCCAGCACCAGGATCTTCCTCCTCACCTGGGCTAGCCAATTCCGGGACACAGGAGATAAGGGGAGGATATCATATCGAACAGTTTGGTACTGAATTACCGTGCGGATCTGCCCCCGCAAAAGGTAAATGAAGAAGCTCCAGAGCTTGGCAGCGAAGGCCACGAACGTGCGCAGTCCCAGCAGACACTGCGTCCGCACCATCCGGATGACCCCGGCACCGCCGGCCCCGGAGGCCCCCACGGCCCAGCTCCGCCAGCCCCCCGGGGGCAACCCCCGCCGAAGGGAGGGGGAACGGGGGCCCCAAGTGGCAGGAGAGAATGCAGAGAGGGGCACGGAGCGGGCGGCTCAGAAAGCCACCCCTGGCGAGGGGAAAGCCCAGCGGAATGGGGAGCTGGGGGACAGGCGTGGGCAGCCCGCGGGGGCCCACATGGACTGGGAGTGGCACCGACGCCTTCGGGGAAGTTGCGGGCCGAGACAGGTCGGGCTAGGATGGGGTCCTCCGAGACCAGGAGGGAAGGGGAAGGATAATTGGGGGAGGGGGCAGCGGGGGAGGTGGCTAGGGAAAAGGGAGGAAGGGAAAAGGGAGGGGGAGGGGAAGGGGGGGAAAGCGGAGAGTGGTCCGCTGCGCCTCTCTCTTTTTTCTTTTTTTTTTTCTTTTTTTTGAGACAGAGTCTCACTGTCGCCCAGGCTGGAGTGCAGTGGCGTGATCTCAGCTCGCTGCAAGCTCCGCCTCCCGGGTTCACGCCATTCTCCTGCCTCAGCCTCCCGAGTAGCTGGGACTACAGGTGCCCGCCACCACGCCCAGCTAATTTTTTGTATTTTTAGTAGAGACGAGGTTTCACCATAACACATGTTAGCCAGGATGGTCTCGATCTCCTGACCTCGTGATCCGCCCGCCTGGGCCTCCCAAAGTGCTGGGATTACAGGTGTGAGCCACCGCGCCCGGCCTCTAATTTCTTAAGGCAGAAATATAGGTTATTGATTCACTATCATTCTTTTTTAATATAGATGTTTACAGTTATAAATGTCATTCTAAATACTGCTTTAGCTGCATCCCATAGGTTTTGGTATGTTTTGTTGTTGTTTTCATCTAACCCAAAGTATTTGCTAATTTCCCTCATGATTTCTTCTTTCACCCATTGGTTATTTACAAGTATTCTGTTTAATTTCCACTTTTTGTGAATTTTCCAAATGTCCTTCGTTATTTATTTCTAATTTCATGCCATTGTGCTCAGAGAACGTATTTAGTATTATTTTAGTACTGTTAAATGTACTGACACCTGTTTTTTGACCTAGCATATCGTCTATTCTGGAGAATGTTTCATGTGCACTTGAAAAGGATATATATATATTCTGCTACTGTTTGGTGGAGTGCATCATAGATGTCTTTTAGTTAGTCTATAGTGGTGTTCAAGTCTTATATTTCCTTGTTGGTCTTCTGTCTAGTTGTTCTATCTCTCATTGAAAGTTGGGTATTGAATTTTCCAACATTTTTTGCTAATTATATATTAAATAAATAGAGATGGGGTTTCACCATGTTTCCCAGGCTGGCCCTGAACTCCTGGACTCAAGCTATCCGCCTGCCTCAAGTCCCCCAAAGTGCTGGGATTACAGGCATGAGCCACCACACGCAGTCCCAAGTTTTACTGTTGAATTGTTAGTTTCCCTTCAATTCTGCCAACTTTTGCTTGTATATTTTGGGCCTCTGTACGAGGTCTATATATGTTTATGATTGTTATGAATTCCAGATGAATTGAGCCTTTATTCTTCCTTGTCTCTAATAATTTTTGTCTTAAAGTCTATTTTGTCTGATATTACTACATTCACTTCTGTTCTGTTTTGGTTACTGTTTGCATGGTGTATCATATTTCTTCCTTTTACTTTCAATCTATTTGTGCCTTTGAATCTAATTTGTCTCTTATATACAGCATATAAGATGGATAGATGGATCATGGTTGTTTTTTTTTTTTTTTTGAAACAGGATCTCACTCTGTCACCCAGGCTGGAGTGCCGTGGCACGATAATGGCTCACCGCAGCCTCGACATCCTGGGCTCAGGTGATCCTCCCACCTCAGCCTCCCAAGTAGCTGGGACTACAGGTAAGCGTCACCACACCCAGCTAATTTTTGTATTTTTTGTAGAGACAGGGTTTTGCTGTGTTACCCAGGGTGGTCTCAAACTCTTGGGCTCAAGCAATCCGCTCACCTCAGACTCCCAAAGTGCTAAGATTACAAGTATGAGCCACTGTGCCTGGCTTGGTTCATGTATTTTTTCATTCTGCCTATCTCTGCCTTTTGGTTGCAGTGTTTAATCCACTTATGTTTAATGGCTATTTTGCTGTTTGTTTTCTATATGTCCTGTGTCATCTTTGTCCCTGTGTGCCACCATTACTGCCTTCCTATATGTTAAAAACATATTTTCTAGTGTATCATTTTAATTCCTTTGCTGCTTATTTTTTATTTTTATTTATTTTCTTGGTGATTATCCTGGGGATTATAATTAACATCTTAACTTGTAACTATAGATCTTGCTTTGATTGAAGTTTCTACTTAGAATTTCAATTATCTAGTCAAATTTAGTTAAGAAAAATAAGAAGGAGCTCTTCAATTCACAAATACACTAGGAGGTTCTTATAATAAGCAACTGCCTCTGGTATGAACACTTACCTTATCTAATAATACATTCTGCCACAACCTAAAGATACTGAGGTAACTTCTATCCCTGGCACCAAAAGATGTGAAGAAAAACTGCAAAGAAAAATAATAGGAGAATTTTAGTGTCATGGAAAATAAAAGCAGATTATCTGTCATGAAAGTCTATGCGGACTTGCTTATGGTTAAAACAAACTAGTAGGTCAACACTGCCTACTTTGTATACTATTTTTATTTAACTTTTTGTTATAATAGAAGAAACACGGGTAGTTGCTATATGAACAAGGTGTCTTTACTAATTTTATCTTCCAATAAACACAATTTTGTCAGTATTTACTAGCAATGGGGACTTGAAATAGGTAGCTATTTATGTTTATCAGTTTAATTGTGGAAATCAATCTAAATAAAATTATGAAAAAATGAAACTTTATTTTATTCTGAACTTTGCGAAGAGATATGAATTGGCTGCCACTTGAGCCAAGTATACACAAAGGAATAAGAAAAAAATACATGTGGATTTCAGAGATAGATTTAAGGATCTTAATTTTTAATTATATCAGTTTTCATGGTCTTCTAAAAACTCCAGAAATACCTCTCTCTGCTAATTATAAAGTACCCATGCTAACACTGCACTTTCCTTTGAATGCTATAAGAGAAAAGTAGTATGTTTCAATCTATAATTCTACATTTTTATTTAATTGATTTTTGCAAAGTCATATTTTAACATAGGCTTTTATAAGAAAATGCAACAAGACAGCACTAAATACAGTCTTCTCAGTGTGTTATCTCTTCCAGTTCCCTAGTTAATGACCTTTCATGGCTCAGCAGTTATCCTTAGGAAGGAGAAAGCTCAGTTCTATGCTGGATTAAGTTATTTTATTAAGTAAAATATCAAACAAATAATATTTTGGATGCTAATGATTTTCACAGAAAGACTTTAGAGTGCTATTTTCTAATTCATTAAATTGAAACTTTGCTATACATTATTCATAAAGCAAAACTTTTTACAAAGAAGATATATGCAGGATCTCTTCCAAATAGAATTATATATATAATATGTGATCTAACAATCAATACATGCTGTTCCCTATTCCCTTTTCTTAGGCCAAATTGTTTTGCCTAATCATAATAACCTTACAACCCTGTGTTCAGATATATAGATTTTAAAAATCTCCTAGTCTATCTCATTTTCACCACTGTGTTATGCTTGCTAATTCCCACTTCTTGTACTATATAGCTTAGTATTAACTTTATCCACTCTCACGCACAACCACCACATTCCCAACTCCTTAAAACGCCCAGCTTTCTGGATAATCTACATAAATTACTACCTTTCTTTTATTCCTTGCTAGATATCCAACTTCAAAAACATATTAATAAATCTTGATTTGGCTGGGCATGGTGGCTCATGCCTGTAATCCCAGCATTTCGGGAGGCCGAGATGGGTGGATCACCTGAGGTCAGGAGCTCAAGGCCAGCCTGGCCAACATGGTGATACCCGATCTCTACTAAAAATACAAAAATTAGCCTGGCATGGTGGTGGCATATGCCTGTAGTCCCAGCTTCTCGGGAGGCTGAGGCTGGAGAATCGCTTGAACCCGGGAGGCGGAGGTTGCAGCGAGCTAGGATCGCGCCACTGCATTCCAGCCTGGGCGACAGAGTGAGACTCCATCTCAGACAAAAATAATAAATAAATAAATTAAATTAAATTAATCTTGATTCAATAATAGCCTTCTTATGAGTTTGGGAAGAGTTCTAGATAATGATACCTCTAAGTCGCTGGGGCATAGAACATATTCTAGAACCCAAAACAACTAAAATTGCTATGATTAGCCTTCCTTTAGTCATAGAGTACATAAAAGGGGTGAATATTTAGTAGTACAGAATTTTTTACCATGATGATGAAAAAATGAAATCATTGAGTTAACATAGTGAGGAAGCTAAGACCAGGGTCTCTGCAATTAAATGAACTGGGTTCACATTCTTGTTCTATCACCTGTTGTTAGTACTGTGAATTGGCTCACTTTTCTTTTCTTTAGTTTTCTCATCTGCAAAATGAGAATAATTATCATAGTGGATCTTTATAAGAATTACATATGAAAATATACGTAAAGAGCTTAAAGCAGTGTCTAGATAACAGTAAGTGTTCAGTAAATGCTGACTTACTGTCATTATTAAAATTTAAATGTTTGATCCTGAAATTCCAATACATATGTGAGAAACAGTCACACATGAGCATAAGAGGGCATGGTCAGGCTGTTCACTGCAGCACTGTTTGTAATAATAAAATATTAGAAAGAAACTAACTGTAAAGGAAATCATGGTATATCCATTCTATGAAATACCATACAGCATTTTTTAAAAAAGAGGTGGGTCTATCTACACGTGCAGACCTACAACTACAAGAGATAATGTTGTTTTTTTAAAAAAAAGGAGAGCCGAAAAACAACACATGTAAGATTACATTTACTTTTTTTAAAAAAGAGCAAAACTATACATTTATATATGCATGCCTGTATGTAAATAAAAAGAAAGGAAGTCTGAAAAGATATATACCAAACTGATAGCATTTGCCTCTAGAAAGAAAATGGAATTGGGGATTATGGGTATGGAATGAAGATGTTAGTTTTGAAACTGTTTGATGATTTTGTTAAAAAAAAGAAAAGGTATATTATGTATTAATTGTAAAACTAAGAATATTTAAGTCTTCCTCTTTCCTTCCTGAACAGTTCAGCCCTAAAGCTATTGGTGGAAAAGAGAAAAGTAGGCATCCACACTAGGAGTGTGGGAGGCAAGAGAGGCTAAAAAAGTAGCCTAAAGCAGAGTGTCAAAACCAGATAAGAATGAAGAGGTCAGCCGGGCACGGTGGCTCACGCTGGTAATCCCGACACTTTGGGCGGCCAAGGCAGGCAGATCACCTGAGCTCAGGAGTTCAAGACCAGCCTGGCCAACATGGTGAAACCCCGTCTCTACTAAAAATACAAAAATTAGCCGGGCATGGTGGCGGGCACCTGTAATCTGAGCTACTTGGGAGGCTGAGGCAGGAGAGTTGCTTGAACCTGGGAGGTGGAGGTTGCAGTGAGCCGAGATCATGCCATTGCACTCCAGCCTGGTTGACAAGAGTGAAACTCTGTCTCAAAAAAAAAAAAAAAAAAAAAGGAAGAGGTCATCCCGTGTGGAGTGTCAGAGCCCAAATGAGTAACAGCCTCCACATATGGGGATGACATGGAGAACTGTATTAGAACAAGAATGGGGTGAAAAAAGTATGGAGCAGGAGCACAAGTCAGAGCTCAAGGAGGGTGACCACATAAAGAGGTAGCTTTTTGTGTGGTGTCAAGTGTCAAAGACCAAACATGGTGAAGAGTGGCCACAAATGAGCATGCCCTACAATGACATGTCAGAACCAGAGCAGGTGAGGGTGGCGTAGTGTTACAGAGCTCATGAAGGTGGTCTTGTGCTGGAGTATCAGAGACTGAGCAGGGTGGGGACAGCAACCACACATAGTGACAAACTGGCACAAGCAGGGAACAGAGGGTGTCCCTGTAGAGGGCAATCTGGCAGAGGGTAAAGCAACTTGGCATGGAATATCAGCCTAAGCAGGATAAAGAGAGTCGGTTTGTTTGTTTTTTGGTTTTTTTTTTTTGAGACGGAGTCTCACTCTGTCACCCAGGCTGGAGTGCAGTGGCGCGGTCTCGACTCACTGCAACCTCCACCCCCCGGGTTCAAGCGATTCTTTTGCCTCCGCCTCCTGAATAGCTGGGATTACAGGTGTGCACCACCATGCCCAGCTAATTTTTGTATTTTTAGTAGAGACGGGGTTTCACCATTTTGGCCAGGCTGGTCTCGAACTCCTGACCGCGTGATCCACCCTCCTCAGCCTCCCAAAGTGCTGGGATTACAGGTGTGAGCCACTGCGCCTGGCCGAGAATTTTTACATGAGAGCCTCTGTGTCATGGTGTGATGGGCAGCAACCTGATTCTAAGTGTCAGAAACCAACTCAGGCAATGAGGCATCCATGTGGGAGAGGGGTGGCAGTGGAGATGAAGATTGGTTATACAAAGGCCCAGTGGTTAAATAAGTAACTATATTAAGGATAATGGGAGCCTGGTTTCTCATAGCCACGGAAGGGAGTTACAAATATGGAAAGGAAGAAAACAAAAATAAACTCTGTGGTGTTAGATGGGACTTGGAGGTCCTGATGTGAATTTATAAATCACGTGATTACATAAATCACGCCTGTAATTTATGTTTTAGATGGATGGATGGATAGATGGATAAACAGATGTATAAGTGAGTGTATATATGTGTATGCATTATGCATATGTGTGTGTGATTATATACATTTAATGTACACCATTATTATACCCCCTTAAAGGGTTTGAAAACAGTGATGCCCCTCCCCCAACTCCATAGCAATGAACACACTGGCTTCTTTCAGTTTCCCCTAAAAGAAACTAGGACTCCTTGGAGAAATGGTTGATCCCAGGGCTGGGGGAGGGAAAGCCTGAAACATCTTGGGCCAGAAAAATAGGTAAATGCTCAAACACACTGAGAATACTCAAAAGGATACTGGAGCCAGCTTGAAGGGGCTCCCACTGACCAAATTTGGGACAATGTGAGCATCAAAATAAATAATGATAGTAATGGCTTATAATTCATTGAATAAGGTAAGAAATCACCAGTTCATACTGACATAAGTAAAGGAATGAATAAATTCAAAGTATGGTAAGAATGGTATATCTGCATAGTTTCAAAATACCTTTCCCCAGGCTGGGCGCAGTGGCTCACACTTGTAATCCCAGCACTTTGGGAGGCCAAGGTGAGCGGATCGCCTGAGGTCAGGAGTTCAAGACCAGCCTGACCAAAATAGTGAAACCCCATCTCTACTAAAAATACAAAAAGATAAGCTGGGCATGGTGGTGTATGCCTGTAATCCCAGCTACTTGGGAGGCTGAGGCAGGGGAATCGCTTGAACCCAGGAGGCGGAGGTTGCAGTAAGCGAAGATCACACCATTGCCTTGAGCCTGGGCAATAAAAACAAAACTCCGTCTCTAAAAAAAAAAAACCTTTCCCCAAAATACTTATTACTACAAAGGAAAACAGATTATACTAAAGTCTGCAGACACCACCTTAATCGAACGTTCAAAGTAAATATGACCAGTAATGGTAGAAGTTAAAATCATGTGCCATCTGATAGGATGTAGTGGTGACAGCAGAGCATCATTTCCATGTATTTCTTCCAAAATTACACAACCTAAATTTAATCACAAGGGAACATCAGACAAACACAAATTGAGAGATATCCTACAAAATAACTGACCTGTAAACTTTAAAAGTATCAAGGACATAAAAGTCAAGAAAAGACGAAAGAGCTCTTCCAGGAAATTAAAGAGCATGATAACTAAATGTAATGTGTAATCCTGAACTGAGTCTGTTTGCTATAAAGGATATTATTGGGATAGTTATGGAAATTGAATGGGATCTAAGAACTGAATGGCAGTAACAGATCAGTGTTAATTTTTCGATGTTGAATTATATTGTGGTTATATAGAAAAATGTCTTTGTTGGAAGTACATGCCAGAATATCTAAGGTGATGGAGGATCAAGGTGAGAATTTATTCTCAATTAGTGCAGGAGCAAAAGCTCTTTGTACTGCATTTGCAAGTGTTCTATAGGGATAAGACTGTTTAAAAATAAAAATAGCCAGGCTCAGTGGTGCACACCAGAAGTCCCAGCTACTTGGGAAGCTAAGGTTGGAGGATCGCATGACCCAAATGCTCGAGGCTGGCCTGTGCAACATGGCAAGACCCTGTCTCTAAAAAAAGAGTAAGATAAAATTTAAAGTGAATTTAGAAGAATCTCCACAAGATTAAAAAGTATAATTACAAAGATTTAATATCATGGTACTAATTCTCTCTCCCCTCCTCCCCCAAAACTCTCCCTGTCTCTTTTTCTCCCTCCCTACCCCTCCTCTTTTTTTCTCTTTCCTTTTTTTTTTCTTTCTTTCCTTCCTCTCCTTCTTTATTCTTTTTCTTTCTCATCACTACACTTCTAATGTCTCTCACACAGGGCCCTAACCAATTTTCCAGGTGGTTAAGAAATATTCTTGATATATCCCCACTAAGAAATGGCAGACATTGTAGGTGAATAATAAAAATTATGTCAGTTAAAGATAATTGCCATTTTTTAAAAAAAGAATACAGTGGTTAGTGTTTATGTGTATGCTGTCCAAATCTCTGTTCACCAGGAGCATTTTTTATTAGTTGCTATTGTGCAGTTATTACTGACTGAAAAATACTCATGGGATTATTAGAGTATTTAGAAATAAGGACATTGTGCTAATGTTACCCTGCCTAGAAATGAAAAATATGAGTGAAAGTTATCTGTAAACTATAAAGTACAAAAAAGTCAGCAGTCATTTAAAGTTAACCACTAATATAACTGCATACAGAATTCTAGTATTAAACATATGTGTATCAGATATTCCTAACTCCAGGAAGAACTGCCTAATTTCCCAACATTGATGATGAGTATGAGGGAGATTTTCTTCACATTATGTAATATAACAAAGATAGGAAAGTTTTCACCTTTTCACTTTCTGTAACTATCTGGATAGCGTTTGGGATGAGTCGAGCAGTTTTTTCCTTGGTCATGAAGGTTATATTCTTTAAAGCAATAGAAATCTAAACACACAAAAAATTTTTTTAATGTATTTTTCAGAAACATACACAATACAAAATGCCAAGTATCCCATCAATCTAATCCAGAATATTCAACTTCACAGTTGAATATTCTTCAGGTTTTTCGACTTGAAGGAGTTAATAAGTACACGCTTGTATTCTCTGAGAAAAACAGGGTAAGCAGTTTGCCCTGCAGTATTCTCCCCCAACAACTCCTCTATCTAACATTAGTATAAAGTTTGAAAAGACATGTGGGTGTTCATGCTCCACATTAACACACAAACAAAAATCAGACAGTCTGTCACTTAAGACATGGTTTTGGCAGCCATTAAGATATATGTTCAAGCTTTTTTTCAATTAAAATATCTTTCTCTAACTATACTGGAGCTCAATGTATTAAATCAGAAAAATATATTATACACTTATATATACAACACGTTTGTATTTACATGCACACTAATTTAGATGCACAAATATATATAAATTTACTTTGGAATCATCTAAAGTAGAGTTTTTGGAAGAACTGTATATATCTCTATGCAATTATTTGTATCAACAAATCAAATGCAAAATGTCTTACTGTAGTTTCCCATCTGAAGATGTTGCTATAGAAACATAGCCAGTTTTCTGAAAGGTATAGTCGTCCCTGAAGCAAAATGTCCCTCTGAAGAGCACAAGCATAATCTATATACACAAAAATAAGATACAGCTTATTCACGAAAATCTGAGAAATTAATAGACCTTATACTATATTTCAACAGATGGAAAGTCATCACTTTTTGTTCATTAGTTCATTCATTCATTCCTTCATCTACTTTGGACACCATATGTCAGATATTTTGCTGTGTACTAGGATTAGCAGAAATGGCTCTTGCCTTCATGGAACACAATGTAAGGGAAGGCAGAAAATAAACAAATATGAAAATAAATATGATAATGACCCAAGTGTAGAGAAAGCTATGAGAGCATAGGCAGGTATGAGGAGGGCAGGGCAGAGAGTGTGCATCAGGAAGGATTCTCCTAAAAAAAACTGATCTTTAACATGAAAAGATCAATAAAGGGTCAGAAGGATCATAAGGGAACAGCACATGCAAAGGCCTTTTGGTAAAAAGAAACACAGCACATTTGAGGAACTATTAGATCTTTGGGCTGGAGAAGCTGGAGAAGCTACATCATGTAAAGTCTCACAAGCCATGGTAGACTGTGGTTGTCATGAGATGCCACCGATGACCTTTAAGTGGAAGGAACAGGAACAGATGTATATATTTAAAGATTACTTTATTCACATTGTGAGAATGAATTATGATAAATCAGTTGGAAGTCCAGAGAAAAGTTGATGGTGACTCAGACCAGAAGGTGACCATAGTAAGAGACAGAGTAGTTAGATTAAGACATATTTAGGAGGTAGTACTGATGGTGAATTGGTGATTGATTAGATGTTAGACAAAAGTAAAGAGGGGTCAAAGATGACTCAGAAAATTGTATACATTTTAAGTCAGTTTCAAAGTTGTTTCTCTCAGCTGGGCTGGGCACAGTGGCTCATGCCTGTAATCTCAACACTTTGGGAGGCCGAGGCCAGCGGATCACTTGAGTTCTGAAGTTCAAGACCAACCTGGCCAACATGGGGAAACCCTGTTTCTACTAAAAATACAAAAATTAGCAATGGTAGTGGGCACCTGTAATCCCAGCTACTCAGGAGGCTGAGGTGGGAGAATCTCTTGAACCTGGAAGGTGATGGTTGCACTGAGCCAAGATCGTGCCACTCCACTCCAGGGAGCGAGACTCTGTCTCCAAAAAAAAAAAAAGTTGATTCTCTCCACCTCACCACTAAAGTCCAGCAAAATCAAGTCTGCCTGCCAAACAAGTTAATACCATACCTTTAAGGTTAAGATCTGGCTCTGTGGAGAATGTAAACTGTACTGCTAAATTATTAGTAATATAAGATACAAAGGGCTGCTATGAGGAGATTTAGCTTAACTGCTAAATTTTAAAACTCTATAAACTAATTAGCAATTTTAGGTAGATGTTGAATAAATCTCAAAATGTTTCCACTTAGTCATGTTAAATGTCTAAGCAAATACTAAAAATTGAGCAAAGTAATTCAGTCTTTCACAATGCTTCCATCAGCAAAACAAAAGTGAGGTGCCACCAAACAGAATTTTCTTGTAAATAATTAAGCAGGTTAGGTTACCCATTAACTAGTATTCATCACTAAAACAGAGATTGGGCTAAAGGTCACCTTGAAATATCCTGAAATTTTTTTCCAAACCACCAAACCATTTTATCAATTCAATGCTTCTCAAACTTCAGATCAGAAATACCTGGCTGACTTACTAAAACACATATTGCGGCCGAGTGTGGTGGCTCACACCTGCAATCCCAGTACTTTGGGAGGCCAAGGCGGGCAGATCACCTGAGGTCAGGAGTTTGAGACCAGCCTGGCCAACACGGTGAAACCTCATCTCTACTAAAAATACAAAAATTAGCCAGGTATGGTGGCGGGCACCTGTAATTCCAGCTACTCGGGAGGCCGAGGCATGAGAATCCCTTGAACGCGGGAGGCAAAGGTTACAGTGAGCTGAGATCATGCCATTGCACTCCAGCCTGGGCAACAGAGTGAGAGTCTGTCTCCAAAAAAAAAAATAAAATAAAAAACACATAGTGCTAGGCCTCTGCCCCAAGGTTTATGATTAAATAGTTCTGGGTTGCGTCTGTGTGTCTAACAAGCTCTCAGGTACTGACAGTGTTGCTAGTCTGTGGACCACACTTTGAGAACCACTGTATTATTTTACATTAACTATGTTCAAAGGCATAGTAACTACTTAGATTATTTAACTGAAGACTATTTGATATATATCAGCAGACTTTTTTGAGTGTTTTTTGTTGTTGCTGTTGTTGTTGTTGTTTTGAAACAGGGTCTTGCTCTGTCGCCCAGGCTAGAGTGCAATGGTGCGATCTCAACTCACTGCAACCTCTGCCTTCTGGGTTCAAGCTATTCTCATGTCTCAGTCTACCGAGTAGCTGGGATTAAAAGCGTGCGCCACCACACCCGGCTAATTTTTTTTTTTTTTTTTTGAGATGGAGTCTTGCTCTGTCGCCCAGGCTGGAGTGCAGTGGCGTGATCTCAGCTCACTGCAAGCTCCGCCTCCCAGGTTCCCAGGTTCACGCCATTCTCCTGCCTCAGCCTCCCGAGTAGCTGGGACTATAGGCGCTGGCCACCACGCCTGGCTAATTTTTTTTTTTTTTTTTTGTATTTTTAGTAGACACAGGGTTTCACTGTGTTGCCCAGGCTGGTCTTGAACTCCTGGCCTCAAGCGATCTGCCCGCCTCGGCCTCTCAAAGTGCTGGGATTACAGGTGTGAGCCACCATGCCCAGCGTCAGTGGTTTTTAAAAATGGACTCCCTAAAATGGATATGTTTTATTGTAATAAATTTATACTTCAATACAATTGATTTTTTTTTAATGGCTTCTTGGCTGGGTGCAGTGGCTCAGGCTTGTAATCCCAGCACTCTGGGAGGCCAAGGCAGGAAGATCACTTGAGATCAGGAGTTCAAGACCAGCCTGGCCAACATGGAGAAACCTCATCTCTACTAAAAATACAAAAATTAACCGGACGTGGTGGTGTGTGCCTGTAATCCCAGCTACTCGGGAGGCTGAGACACGAGAATCACTTGAACCTGGGAGGTGGAGGTTGCAGTGAGCCGAGATCACACCACTGCACTCCAGTCTGGGTGACAGGGCGAGACTCTATCTCAAAAAAAAAAAAAAAAAAAAAGAAAAAAAAGAATGAAGTGGATTCATAGTAGTGCAAATAGCAAATAAAAAAGAGATCTAAGCAAGATTCAAAACAATAATCACAGTCTGTTCCCATTTAAGTTTTTTTCTATATATATAATCCTAAATACATATAGAAATTTTCTGAAATTATACCTAAGAAATTACTAACAGTGGTTATCTCCCAGGAAGAACATTGAAGTGGTCTTGGTTGTAAGGATCACTCACTTTTCACTTTTCACTTTATGTCCTTATGTACCATTTGCAAATTTTATCATGGGACTGTATTACTTCCAATAAGCAATGTTTTTAAAAATTGCTTTAATTCATTATGATATTTATTGAGCTGAGCTGTCTAGAAATTCATCGAGTTCTAGACACTGAATTAAACATTTCCTAATAGTACCAAAAATCTGAGAAATTCATATAAATAAATGTTTTTGTTTTTGTTTGAGACAAAGTCTTGTTCTGTCACCCAGGCTGGAGTGCACTGGCATGATCTCTCCTTACTGCAACCTCCACCTCCTGGGCTCAAGCAATCCTCCCACCTCAGCCTCCTAAGTAGCTGGGACTACAGGTGCATGCCACCATGTCCATCTGATTTTTTTTGCTGTTATTGTTGGTTGTTTTTTTTTTTTTTTTTTTTTTGAGACAGAGTCTCACTCTGTTGCCCAGGCTGGAGTGCAGTGGCACAATCTTGGCTCACTGCAAGCTCCGCCTCCCAGGTTCACACCATTCTCCTGCCTCAGCCTCCCAAGTAGCTGGGACTACAGGCATCCACCACCACACCTGGCTAATTTTTTGTATTTTTTGTAGAAACAGGGTTTCACCCTGTTAACCAGGATCTCCTGACCTCATGATCCGCCTGCCTCAGCCTCCCAAAGTGCTGTAGAGATGAGGTCTCACTACGTTGTCCAGGATGATCTCGAACTCCTGGGCTCAAGCAAGCCACCCGCCTCAGCCTCCCAAAGTGTTGGGATTACAGGCATGAGCCACCACACCCAACCTAAATAAATGTTTTCAATTAAATATATACTAAAACTAAAACTTAGCTCTGTAGTTTTATTGTCATGAGTATATATTAAGCTTATAGTAAAAAATAAAGCACTTTTAAAAGAAAAATGATTAAATTTTTCCTCTTAAAGCCTACTTCAAAAAAAAATCCATGTGAACAATTACACAAATAATGATTTAGCCCTAGAACATTTGTGAAGTTTCTCTATGAGTACATCTGTTAGAAAGTGTATTTTTCTGGAGGTAAATATATATTGAACATCAAGTTTAAATTTTCTCTCCAATTTGATGCACCAAAATCATTGTGAGAAATCATTTATTTTTAGTTATATTTTCTTAGTACTTAATATTCCTCTGTGTGTGTGTGTGTGTGTGTGTGTGTGTGTGTGTGTGTGTGTGTGTGTCTTTTATTTATTTATTTATTTGTTGAGCCAAGGTCTCGCTTTGTTGCCCAGGCTGGTCTCGAACTCCTGGCCTCAGGCAATCCTCCCACCTCAGCCTCCCAAAGTGCTGGGATTACAGGTATCAGCCACTGCACCCAGCCAAAAAAAAAAAAAAATTCTTATAAATCAAAAATCACTCCTCCCTGAATTGCAATTGAGTTTTCCATTGTCTAATTATGAAGATGCTGCTTATCTTTTTTAAAATTTTTAATTATTATGGATACTGAATGGTTGTGTTTATGGAGTAATGTGATATACTGGAATAAGCACATATTTTGTAATGATCAAATCAAAGTAATTGAGATATCATCACCTCAACTATTTATCATATCTTTGTATTAGAAACATCCCAATTCCACTCTTTTGGCTATTTTGAAATATACAATAAATTACTGTTAACTATAGTCTCCCCATGTGATACTGAACACTATATCTTATTCCTTCTATCTAACTGTATTCTTGTACCCATTAACCATCTCCTTTTTATCTTCCCTTCATAGTACCTTTCCTAGCCCTCTGGTAACCATCATTCTACTCTCTCTCTCTTTTTTTTTTTGAGCGGGGGTTTGGGGGTGGGTCAGGGTCTCACTCTGTTGCCCAGGGTAGAGTGAAGTGACACCACCATAGCTCACTGCAGTCTCCAATTCCTGGGCTCAGTGATTCTCTCATCTCAGCCTCTTGAGCAGCTGGGACTGCAGGCACATACCACCACACCTGGCTAATTTTTTTTTTTTATAATACAGACAGGATCTCACTATGTTGACCAGGTTGGTCTGGAACTCCTGGGCTCAAGCAATGTTCCTGCCTCAGTCTCCCAATGTGCTGGGATAACAGGCATGAGTCACCACACCTGGCATCATTCTACTCTATCTCCATGAGATCAATTTCTTTTTAGCTCCCACAGATGAGTGAGAACATGGGATATCTGTCTTCTTGTGCCTGGCTTATTTCATTTAACATAATGTCCTCCAGTTCCATCCACACTGTTGCAAATGACAGCATTTCATTCTTTTTTATGGCTCAATAATATTTCATTGCATTTATGTACCACAATTTCTTTATCCATTCATCCATTGATGGCTACTTAGGTTGATTCCATATCTTCGGTATTGTCAATAGTGCTACAATAAACATGAATGTGCAGATATCTCTTCAATATATTGATTTCCTTTCTTTTGGATATCTACCCAGAAATGGGATTGCTGGATCATAAGGATGATGCTTAACTTGAAAATTATATTCTGTCTAGCATAAAGGCTTAAATTTTATTACATATACTGTCACTTATCAGTTTTCTTTTTATAATGAGGTAATAAAACTTTTTTTTGAAAATTTCTATTTTACCTGCTATCAGCCTCTCTGTATCAGGTAGATGTGTGAACTGTCTTCTGTATTCCTCATTCCTGTCTTTATAGGTGGAACTTGAAATCTGCAACAATAAAAAGATTACATTTCTGTCTAATTGTAATTATAGTGTCCTAGAAAATAAATATCAAGTGGAATTTAAAATCATATGCTTTCTATGCAATATTTTGTATGTCCTTATATAAATAAACATTTCAAAAACACCAAAAAGAAGCAAAGAAGACTTCCAGCATGATGAGATGAGGAGTTTGGCAATCCCCTCTGCAAAAGCAAATATATAACTAGAAAAAAAACTGTCAAAAATAATCATCTCAAACGATGGAAAATGACCAAAGGCATACAATACAATCAACTGAGAAGTATTTGTTCATGAAAATCCACTGAACTTAGGTAAGGATGGTGGAAGTCTGTGGCACTCATTCCTGGGCCTGTTCCCATTACCCTTCTTCCTTCACCTGTTAAGTCTTTGTGGTAGTTCTTTGGGGGTGGGAACAGATCATGAAAACTGGCAGCTATCTTGACAGAGAGGGTTGAGCTGTGATTTGGATTGGAGGCAGAAAATCTATGCCCAGGAGTGAAAGGGAAAACTCTGTACCAATCCAAGCAAGTGTGAGGGTCCAGTACCAATTGGAGCAAGCAGAATGGCAAATTAGCAAGGAGCTTAGAAAGATCTTGAAGGAGAGGAAGCCATAGATGGGCCTGATAAACTAGTCACATATTCCTAGCTGAACAAAAGCTCCAATGTGCGTAACACAAACTAGAGAAAGCCCAAGCTATCCACACATTTCCTGGCCAAAGACACAAGAGGTCTCAGGGGAACATAAAAAACTGGGACAAACTTAAAAATGGCCACATTTTTTTAAATGGCCAGAGCTTTGAATACATTCCCCAATCTACACACAGATCTGTCAATAGAAGGGAAAAGCCTTACTGGCTCTATGGATTTAAGTACATTGAGTACATCATTGGCTGACATAAGAGGTGATCCCTAGGAAGCCAACATTAAAAATAAAAACAACAACCATAATAAACAGAGCAGACACATGCCACAGGACAAACAGATTTCATAAATTTACTCTAGGCAAATTATTAAACAAGCAAACAAAAATCAGCAATGACAACCCATGGGACAGGAGGGAATGCAATCAGAATCCAGAGATGCTGCAATATATTATCTAAATTGTCAATATTCCAACAAAAATTATAAGACATGCAAAGAAACAGGAAAATTTGACTCATACTAAGGAAAGAAAAAAACAGAACAAAAAACAGAAATAGCCTTTGAGGGTCCCCAGACATTGAATTTTGCAGACAAAGATATCAAATCAGTTATTATAAATATGTTCAAAAAACAGAACCATGCTTAAAGAACTAAAGGAAAGTATGACAACAATGACTCAACAAGTAAAGAACCTAAGCAAATAGATTTTTTACAAAAAACTGTAAAGAAACAGACATTCTGGGGTTGAAAACTACAATCAAATAAAAAATTCACTAGAGGGTCTCAACAGCAAATTCAAAATGACAGAAAGAATACGTGAACTTAAGGATACATTAGTAAAAATTATCAAATTCGAAGGACAGAAAGGACAAAGACTTAAGAAAATGAACAGACTCTCAGAGACCTACGGGACAACATCAGAGAAACCAAAATACATGTGATGGGAGTATCAGAAGGAAAAAGGGGAAGATAGAAAAATATTTGAAGAAATAATGGTCATAAGTTTCCAAATTTGATGGAAAACATTAATGTATACATCAAAGAAACTCAATGAATCCCAAGCAGGATAAACACAGAGAGTCATGCTAAGACATGACTCAAACTGCTGAACAACAAAGAAGAAATCCTGAAACGAGCAAGAAAAAAATTGACTCATCACATACAGTTGAAAAACAGTATAATTTGCGGGTGACTCTTCATCATTAACAATGGAGAGAACAGACCTGCTTTACAAGAAATACTAAAGGAAGTCCGAGCCTGGCGTAGTGGCACATGCATCCCTATAATTCCAGCAATTTGGAAGGCCAAGGTGGGTGGATCACCTAAGGTCAATAGTTCAAGACTGGCCTGGCCAAAATAGTGAAACCCCATCTCTACTAAAATACAAAAATTAGCCGGGTGTGGTGGTGCATGCCTGTGATCCCAGCTACTCGTGGGGCTGAGGCAGGAGAATCTTTTGAACCCTGGATGCAGAAGTTGCAGGGAGCCCAGATCGCACCACTGCACTCCAGCCTGGATGACAGTGAGACTCTGTCTCCAAAAAAATTAAAATTAAAATTAAAAATAAAGTCCTTCAAGCTGCAAGAAAATTACATATGATAACTCAAATTCACCAGAAGAAATTAAAACCGCCAGAAATATAAATACATGGGTATTTTTAAAAGACTACATAAATCTATTTTCTCATTTCTCTCTTAATATCTTTAAAAGACATAAGGGTGGGCCAGGCATGACGGCTCACGCCTGTAATCCCAGCACTTTGGGAGGCCAAGGCGGGTGGATCATGAGGTCAGGAGTTCAAGACCAGTCTGGCCAAGATGGTGAAACCCCATCTCTACTAAAAATACAAAAAAATTAGCCAGGCAGGGTGGCAGGCACCTGTAATCTCAGCTACTCGGGAGGCTGAAGCAGGAGAATCCCTTGAACTCGGAGGGCGGAGGTTGCAGTGAGCCAAGATCGTGCCACTGCACTCCAGCCTGGGCAACAGAGTGAGACTCCATCTCAAAAAAAAAAAGACATAAGGGTCTACAAAGCAGTAATCATAACACTGTATTGCTGGGTTTATGGGATAATAACATTAGTTGAAGCAAAGGTTCAATATTTTAGCAGAATTAAATTAGTATGAATCTGAAGAATACTATACTCTCTTGAGCAATCACTAAAAACAACCCTCAAAAAATTTTAAATCAAAAGGAATTAAAATGTCACCTTAAAAAATATGTATTTGACACATAAAGAAGGGGAACAGAAGAACAAAAGGTATAAAACATATGGAACATAAATAGCAAAATGGTTATTTGTAAATCTAACCATATTATAACTACATTAAATGTAAACGGAATAAACACAGAAATTGTCAAACTAGATAAAACATAGAACCAACTATATTTTGTCTACAAGAGACACACACCTTAGTTACAAAAACACAACAAAGTTGAAAGTAAAAGGATGAGAAAAAGATATACCATGCAAACAGTAATCACAAGAGAATCTGAGTGGCTCTATTACTTTTTAGCTGAAATACTGCTAGACTAAGAGAGATTTCATAATAATAAAAGGGTCAATAAATGAGGAAGATAATCATAAATGCATAAACAACAGAACCCCAAAATGCATGAAGCAAAAATGACAGAACTGCAAGAACAGACTATTCAATAAGTTGGAGGTATCAATATCCCATTCTTAATAATTGATAGAATGACTACACAGAAAACCAGCAAGGATATAAGAGACTTGAACATTTTCCACCAACTACACCTAACTGGCATTTATAAAACACTCCATCCAACAACTGCAAAATACACATTTTTTTCAAGCACGGATGGAACATTCTCCAGAACAGACCATATGCTAGGCCACAAAACAAGTTTCAGTAAATTTGAAAGGATTAAAGCCTCATAAACTATGTTCTCTATGAACACAGAATAAAATTAGAGATCAACAACACAAGGACTGGAGCCCAACTTCAAATCATCTTAATCCTTACAAATGGAAAGGACAATTCCAGATTGCTTGACAGCTGTATATGAAAATCCTCCCTGGAAGAACACATCACTCTAGGACTCAAAATGCTGCCACAAAAATAATGGAAAATAGAGAAGAAAGGATAAGAGACTGATAATACAGTGAGGAGGTCTAATACACATGTAAACAAAGTCCCAGGAGAAAATGAGGTAGATGCAATATTTGAAACAATAAAAATTTTTTTTAAAATTTAACATTTGAAGTTTCTGTCCTCAAAGACCCCAATTTCTTCTTTTCTTGTAGTTCTCTAAAATCATTTTCAAAAATAGCATCTTCCTATTCTAAGTGATTTGAACACTTTTTTGTGCATATTTATATATGTAAATACAGTAAAACTCAATAAACCATCTTGCAGTCCAAAAATCCTAACAGTTGGCTTCTAATCAAAAATGGTCTGAACGGTCTCAGTGATTCAGTATCTGTGGCACACTCCATAGCCTCACAAGCAGATTTTTTAATGAGTTTTGGTAGTTGCTATGGTTTGAATATGGTTTGTCCCCGTCAACACTCATGTTGCAGCTTGGTCCTCAATGTAATGGTATTGAGAGGTGGTAGGAACTTTAAGAGGTGTTTGGATTATGAGGGATCCCTCATGAAGGGCTTAATACCATCTTGTGGGAGTGCTCTCTGGGTCTGGATTAATTACCAAAAGAGCAGGTTATTATAAACCAAGGTTGCCTCTCATGCTTTGTCTCTTTCAAACGTGTTCCCACCATGTGATGGCATCCATCATATTATGATGCAACATGAGACCCTGGCCGGATGAGACCACCTGATCTTGAACTTTCCATCCTCCAGAACCATGAGCCAAATAAATCTCCTTTCTATATAAATTACCCAGTCTAGGTGTTCTGTTATAGCAACAGAAAACAGGGTAAGACAGAAAATTGGGACCAAGAAGTAGGGTTGTTGCTATTACAATACCTGAAAATGTGGTAGCAGCTTTGGAACTGGGTGATGGTTAGAGGCTGGAAGAATTTGGAGGAGCAGGCTAGAAAAAGCCTAGATTGCTATAAATGGGTCATTAAGAGAAATTCTGGTGATGGCTTAGAAAACAAGAAGATTAGGGAAAGTCTGAAACTTCTTAGAGATTACTTAAGTGGTTGTGAACAGAACGTCCGTAGAAATGTGGACAGTAAAGGCCATTCTGAAGAGGTCTCTGATGGAAATGAGGAATATCTTATTGGGAACTGGAGCAAAGGTCATTATATAAAATAGCAAAGAACTTGGTGGCATTGTATCCATGTCCTAGGGCTTTGGGGATGGCCAAACCTGAGAGGGCTGAAGGGATTAATGCCATCTTTTGGGAGTGCTCTCTGGGTCTGGATTAATTACCCAAAGAATTTAATTACCAAAGCTATGATTTCTGGAAGAAGAAATATCTAAGCAGCTTTGAAAAGAAAAAATAAAATAGGCCGGCGCGGTGGCTCATGTCTGTAATCCCAGCAATTTGGGAGGCTGAGGTGGGCAGATCACCTGAGGTCAGGAGTTTGAGACCAGCCTGGCCAACATGTGGAAACCCCATCTTTACTAAAAATACAAAAATTAGCCGAGCGTGGTGGTGCATGCCTGTAATCCCAGCTACTTAGGGGGCTGAGGCAGGGAGAATCACTTGAACCCAGGAGGCAGAGGTTGCAGTGAGCCAAGATCATCCCATTGCACTCCAGCCTGGGTGACAGAGTGAGACTCCATCTCAAAATTAAAATAAAGTATCTAGGCAGCAAAGCACTCAACATGCTGCATGGCTGCTTTTAGCCACTTACAGTAAAATGAGAGAGAGAATACTTATTTAAAGACAGAATTTATAATTCAAAGGGAAGCAGAGCATAAAAATTTGGAAAATTCACAGCCTGACCATGTGGTAGAGCATGAAAGAGCATTTTCAGGAGAGGATCTAGAGACTATTTGGAGATTAATATAGCTAAAAGGGACCTTCTGCAGGGGCAGAGGTGCAGAGAGCCTCCACTAGAATAATGCTCAGCAGAAATGTGGGGTCAGGGCTACCAGTGGGACCCCAAAAGGGTAGAACACTGAGGAGAGTGCAATACCTGCCTGGGAAAGCTACAGGCACCAGTGTGCAACTGCAACTCATGACAGAAGTGATGTGGGCTGCACCTAGCAAAATCATGGAGGCAGGGCTGCCTGAGGCCCGAGTTCCATACCAACATGGCACTTACTTTAAAAAATTGAGATATAATTCACATACTATAGAATTCATCCTTTTGCAATGTACAAGTCAGTGATTTTGGTATACTCACAAAACTGTGCAATCATCACCACTATATAATTCCAGAAAACTTTTATCATGCTGAAAAGAAATCCTATACCCATTAGCAGTTACTCTCCATTTCCCCCTCCACCCAGGTCCAAACGACACTAATCTACTTTCTATCTCTATGGATTTGCTAATTCTGGAAATTTCATATTAATGGAACAGACACAAAAGCCCACAATAGTGCAATCAATGATATGCACTCTTGTGGCCCTTTGTGTCTGTAGCCTATCACTCAGCATTATGTAGGTATTCAAGGTTCATCTATATTGCAGCATGAATCATTACTTCATTCTAGCTTATGGATGAATAATATTTCATTATACAAATATACTACATTTTATCTATGCATTCATCAATTGATTAATGTTCAAGTTGTTTCAACTTTTTGCTTATTATGAATAATGCTGTTATGAATATTCATGTAAAAATGTTTATGCGAACATATTTAAATTCTCTGGGGTATATATCTAAGAGAAGAATTGCTGGGTCATATAGTAACTCTGTTTAAATTTTTAGGAAGTGCCAAACTATTTTCCAAAATGCCTGTACCATTTTACATTCCCACCAGCAATGTATGAGAGTTTTAACTTCTCCACATCCTCACCAAATCTAATCTCTATCTTTCTTATTACAGCCATCTGAATGGGTGTAAAATGGCATTCCCATTGTGTTGCAGGAAGTCAGGAACCCCGAACAGAGGGACCGGCTGAAGCCATGGCAGAAGAACATAAATTGTGAAGATTTCATGGACATTTATTAGTTCCCCAAATTAATACTTTTATAATTTCTTACACCTGTCTTTACTGCAATCTCTGAACATAAATTGTGAAGATTTCATGGATACTTATCACTTCCCCAGTCAATACCCTTGTGATTTCCTATGCCTGTCTTTACTTTAATCTCTTAATCCCATCATCTTTGTAAGCTGAGGAGGATGTATGTCACCTCAGGACCCTGTGATGATTGCGTTAACTGCACAAATTATTCGTAGAGCATGTGTGTTTGAACAATATGAAATCTGGGCGCCTTGAAAAAAGAACAGGATAACAGCAATGTTCAGGAAACAAGAGAGATAACCTTAAACTCTGACTGTCAGTGAGCCAGGCGGAACAGAGCCATATTTCTCTTCTTTCAAAAGCAAATGGGAGAAATATCGCTGAATTCTTTTTCTCAGCAAGGAACATCCCTGAGAAAGAGAATGTGTCCCTGAGGGTAGGCCTCTGAAATGGCCGCTTTAGGAGCAGCTCTCTTTTACAGTCACAGCTGTAGGGATGAAATAAGCCCCAGTCTCCCGTGGCACTCCTAGGCTTATTAGGACAAGGAAATTCCCACCTAATAAATTTTGGTCAGACTGGTTGTCTGCTCTTGAACCCTGTCTCCTGATAAGATGTTATCAATGACAATGTGTGCCTGAAACTTCATTAGCAATTCTAATTTTGCCCTGGTCCTGTGGTCCTGTGATCTCACCCTGCCTCCATTTGCCTTGTGATATTCTATTACCTTGTGAAGCATGTGATCTCTGTGACCCACACCCTATTTGTGCACTCCCTCCCCTTTTGAAAATCACTAATAAAAACTTGCTGGTTTTACGGCTCGAGGGCATCACAGAACCTGCTGACATGTGATGTCTCCCCCGGACACCCAGCTTCAAAATTTCTCTCTTTTGTACTCTGTCCCTTTATTTCTCAGACCAGCTGACACTTAAGGAAAATAGAAAAGAACCTACATGACTACTGGGGGCAGGTTCCCCAATACCATTGTAGTCCTGATTTACATTTACCTCGTAACTATTGATGTTGGACATGTTTTCATGTGTTTATTGGGTATTTCTATACCTCTGGAGAAATGTCTATTAACATTTTGGCCATTTTTAATTGGTTTGTCTTTTTATTATTGAGCTATGTAAGAGTTCTTTACACATTCTAGTACAAGTCCCTTATCCAATATTTGCAGATATTTTCTCATTCTGTGGGTGATCTTTTCATTTTCTTAATGAACTCCTTGAAGCACAGAAATTTTTATTTTTTATTTTTCAGAAATGGGGTCTCACTTTGTTGCCCAGGATGGAGGGCAGTGGCTATTCACAGGCACGATCATAGCACAGTGCAGCCTCAAACTCCTGGCCTCAAGTGAACTCCCACCTCAGCCTCCTAAGTAGGTGGGAAGACAGGCACACACAACCAAACATGGCACTAATTTTAATGAGGTCCAATTTATCTATTTTTTCTCCTGTCACTTGAGATTTTCATGTCATATCTAAGAAACTATTGCCTAATCCAAAGTTCATGAAGATTTAAACCTATGTTTTCTTCTAAGAGTTTTAGTTTTAGCTCTTACATGTAAGTCTATGATAAATTTCAAGTTGATTCGTGTATATGGTGTGAAGTAAGGGTCCAAATTCATTCCTTTGCATGTGTATATCTAGTTGTATCATTTGTGGAAAAGACTAATCTTTCCCTCATTAAATTGTTTTGACACTCAAAAATCAATTTATCATAAACTTAAGGGTTTATTTCTGAACTCTCAATTCTACTCCCTTAACACACAAGTCTATTTTTTTCTGTTTTCTTTTTTTTTTTTTTTAAGTTGGAGTTTCGTTCTTGTTGCCCCAGGCTGTAGTGCAATGGCATGATCTCGGCTCACTGCAACCTCTGCCTCCCGGGTTCAAGCGATTCTCCTGCCTCAGCGTCCCGAGTAGCTGGGATTACAGGTGCCCACCACCAAGCCTAGCTAATTTTTTATATTTTTAATAGAGACAGCTTTCACCATGTTAGCCAGGTTGGTCTTGAACTCCTGACCTCAGGTGATCTGCCCACCTTGGCCTCCCAAAGTGCTGGGATTACAGGTGTGAGCCACTGCACCTAGCCCATAAGTCTATTTTTATGCCAATCCACACTATCTTGATTATTGTAGCTTTGTAGTAATCCTCAAAACTGGGAAGTGTACATCTTCCAACTTCATTCTTTTTCAAGATTATTTTGGCTATTCTGGGTCCTTTGCATATCCATAGGAGCTTGGGTACTGCTTGACCATTTTTACAAAAAAAGTCATTTGAATTTTGATAGGATAGTGTTGAATCTGTAGATTAGTCTGAGAAGTATTGCCATCATTAACAACATTAAGCTTCCCAATCCATGAATATGGCATGTCTTTCCAATTATTAATGTCTTTTTAAATATCTTTCAATAAAGTTTTATTGTTTTCAGTATACAAGTATTACATACCCATTTTGGCCGAGTGCAGTGGCTCACACCTGTAATCCCAGCACTTTGGGAGGCCAAGGCGGGTGGATCATGAGGTCAGGAGTTTGAGACTGGTCTGACCAACATGGTGAAACCCTGTCTCTACTAAAAATACGAAAATTAGCTGGGCGTGGTGGCACGCGCCTGTAATCCCAGCTACTCAGGAGGCTGAGGCAGGAGAATCGCTTGAACCCAGGAGGCAGAGGTTGCAGTGAGTCAAGATTGCATCACTAAACTCCAGCCTGGGTGACAGAGCAAGCCTCCATGTCAAAAAAAAAAATTTATTCCTATTTTATTCATTTGATAGCACCATAAATGGAATTGTTTTCTTAATTTCATGTTAAGGATGTTCACTGCCAGTGTATAGAATTACAATTAGCTTTGGTTTTGGAATCAAGGTAATACTGGCCTCACAGAATAATCTGGGAAGTGCTGCCTCCTTTTCTGTTTTTTTGAAAGAGTTTTTGAAGGATTTGTGCTCATTCTTCTTTAAACATTTGATAGAATATACCAGTAAAGTCATCTGGTCCTGAGCTTTTCTTCGTGAAAAGTTAGTTGCTGTTGTTGTCATTTTACTTTTGGGGATCGAGGGTTTCTTTGGTTTTTGTTTTTTCACTAATTCAATCTCTTTCCTTGTCATAGGTCTATTAAGATTTTCTCTTTCTTCTTGAGTCTGTTTCAGTAACAGTACATTCAGTAACATGTATTTTGTGGAAACATGCCTAGTTAATCTAGGTTCTCTAAGGTATTTCAAATGCATATTAAAACCTAATAACATCAACTGTCCTGGAACATTACCAAAATAGACTATATACTCAGCCATACCTCAACAAATTTGAGAGAACTGAAATCAAACAGTGTATATTTTCTGACTATAATGAAATCAAACTAGAAATCAATCATAGAAAAATAGCTCAAAATCTCCAAACACTTGGAAACTAAACAACACACTTCTAGATAATCCATCTAGAGTCAAGGGTCAAAGGGAAAGTCTCAAGGGAAATAAAATAACACACGGAACTGATGAAAATTAAAACCTTAATGTAACATATCAAAATTTGTGGGACACAGCTAAAGATGAGAGAGAAATTTATAGCACTAAATGCCCACATTAGAAAAAAAGGAGAAGTCTGAAATAATCTAAGCATCCAACTCAAGAACTTAGAAGAGAAAGAGTAAAATATAAAATAAACCCAAAACAAGAAAAAGTAAATAAAAAAGAACAGAAATTAGTGAAACTGAAACAAAAATAATGGAGAATATCAATAAAACAAAGAGCTGATTCTTTAAAAATAATAAAATTGATAAAATCTCTAGCAAGACTGACAAAAAAGAGTGAGAGAAGACACAAACTACCAATATCAGGAATAAAACAGGGTCAGCACTGTAGACTCTACAGAACTCAAAAGGATATAGCAAAATACTGTAAAGAACTCTACACATGTAATAAGGCCAGGCACAGTGGCTCACACCTGTAATCTTAGCACTTTGGGAAGCCGAGGAGGGCGGGTCACCTAAGGTCAGGAGTTGGAGACCAGCCTGGTCAACATGGTAAAACCCCATCTGTACTAAAAATACAAAATCCCAGCTACTAAAAATACAAAAGTAGCTGGGAGGCCAGGTGCAGTGGCTCACGCCTGTAATCCCAGCACTTTGGGAAGACAAGGCGGGTGGGTCACAAGGTCAGGAGATGGAGACCATCCTGGCCAACATGGTGAAACCCTGTCTCTACTAAAACACAAAAAAATTAGCCAGGTGTGGTGGAGTGAGCCTGTAGTCTCAGCTACTCAGGAGGCTAAGGCAGGGGAATCACTTGAACCTGGGAGGTGGGGGTTGCAGTGAGCCGAGATCAAACCACTGCACTCCAGCCTGGCAACAGATTAAGACCCTGTCTCAAAAAAAAAAAAAAAAAAATGTAGCTGGGATTACATGCCTGTAATCCCAGCTACTTGGGAGGCTGAGGCAGGAGAATCACTTGAACCTGGGAGGTGGAGGCTGCAGTGAGCTGAGATCGCACCACTGCACCCCAGCCTGGGCAACAGAGTGAGACTCTGTCTCAAGAACAAAACAAAAGAACTCTACACATGTAAATATGACAACTTAGATGAAATGGATTATCAAAAAACATAAACTACCATTACAAATTAAGGAAATTAAGTTCACAATTAAAAATTTCCCAAGGAAGAAATCTCCAGGCCCAGATAGTTTTACTGGAGAATTCTACAAAACATTAAAAAAATTAATTCTATACAATCTCTCCAAAAAACAGAACAAGAGGGAGCACTTCGCAATTCATTGTATGAAGCTAGTATTACCCCAATACTAAACCAGATAGATTACAAAAAATAGAAAATTACAGAACAATATCCCTCATGTATATAGATATAAGAATCCTTAACAAAATATTAGCAAATACAATTAAGCCATAAATAAAAAGAATTATATAACTTGACCAAGTGGAGTTCATTCCAGCATCCAAGGCTGGTTCAATATTTTTAAAAAATCAATCAATGTAACCCACCATATTGACATGCTTTTAAAAATTACACAATCATATCACTTGATATAGGAATAATATTTGACAAAATTCAACATCCATTTGTGATTAAAAACTCTTAAAAAACAGGAATACAGGCTGGACACGGTGGCTCATGCCTGTAATCCCAGCACTTTGGGAGGCCAAGGTGGGAGGATCACGAGGTCAGGCGATCGAGACCATCCTGGCTAACACGGTGAAACCCCGTCCCTACTAAAAATACAAAAAAATTAGCCAGGCGTGGTGGTGGGCGCCCGTAGTCCCAGCTACTCGGGAGGCTGAGGCAGGAGAATGGTGTGAACCCGGGAGGTGGAGCTTGCAGTGAGCCAAGATCGTGTCACTGCACCCCAGCCTGGGCGACAGAGCAAGACTCCGTCTCAAAAAAAAAAAAAAAGGAATACAAGAGAACTTCCTGAATTTGATTAAGAGCATCTACAAAATACCTATAGTTTTAAAAATACCTTAATGATGAAAGCCTTAATGATTTCCTCGCAAGATCAGAAAAAAGGCAAGAATGTCCACTCTCACCGTTCTTATTCAACATAGCGTTGGAAGTTTCAGCCAGTGCAACTGAGTTTTTGGGGTTTTATTTTTTTGTTTGTTTGTTTTTTTTAAGGAAATAAAAGACATATAGGGCTGAGCATGGTGGCTCACGCCTATAATGCTAGCTTTTTGGGATGCCAAGGCAGGTGGATCACTTGAGCTCAGGAGTTCGAGACCAGCCTGGGCAACATGGTGACACCCCATCTCTACTAAAAATACAAAAATTAGCCAAGTCTAGTAGCATATGCCTGTAGTCCTAACCACTCAGGAGGCTGAGGCATGAGGATCTCTGAGCACAGGAGATGGAGGTTGCAGTGAGCCGAGATTGTACCACAGCACTCCAGTCTGGGCAACAGAGCCAGATCTTTTAAAAAAAAAAAAAAAAATAGGCAGCTGGGCGCAGTGGCTCATGCCTGTAATCCCAACACTTTGGGATGCTGAGGCAGGCAGATCACTTGAGGTCAGGAGTCTGCGATCAGCCTGGCCAACATGGAGAAACCCGTCTCTGCTAAAAATACAAAAATTAGCCAGGCATGGTGGCACGCGCCTGTAATCCCAGCTACTCAGGAGGCTCATATGGGAGAATTGCTTGAACTCAGGAGGTGGAGGCTGCAGTGAGCTGAGATCGCACCACTGCACTCCCGCCTGGGCGACAGAGCAGGACTCTGTCTCTAAATAAATAAATACATACATACATACATACATAAAGAAATAAATAAATCTGGAGAACAGACTAGCCGGGGGTAACATAGGGGGTGGCAGTGGGAGGAAAGTGGCTATATTTATAAAAGGGTAACATGAGGAATTCCTGTTGTGATGAAAACGATCTTGATTCTATCCATGTCAATAGCTTAATTGTGATATTGTACTATAGTTTTACAGATGTTACTATTGGGGGAAACTGTTTAAAGGATACAGGGATCCCTATTATTTCTTCAAAAATGCATGTGGGTCTACACTTACCTCTTTTACCAAGAAGTAAAAGAGAAAAAAAGTAAAAGAGGAGGAGGTTGATACAATTAGAATAAATGTGTTAAATTCCAGCTGGGCAGGGTGGCTCACACCTGTAATCCTAGCACTTTGGGAGGCCGAGGTGGGCAGATCACTTGAAGTCAGGAGTTCGACACCAGCCTGGCCAACATGTTGAAACCCCAACTCTACTAAAAATATAAAAATTAGCTTAGCTGGTGGCACGTGCCTGTAATCCCAGCTACTCGGGAGGCTGAGGCAAGAGAATCCCTTGAAACGGAGAGGCGGAGGTTGCAGTGAGCTGAGATAGCACCACTGCACTCCAGTCAGGGTGACAGAGCAAGGCTCTGTCTCAAAAAAGAATTTTTTAAGTGTTAATTCTATATAAGAGGGGAAAATGTTTAAAGCTGATTCAGAGGTCAATACACCACACCATTTTCCCCTTCCTCCAACCACTTACCTTTAGGCCATTTTACTTACTAACATCTTCTCCAGAGAAATAATGCAATTAAAATCACTTAATTATTATGATTTTTTTCTTTCTTTTTTTTTTTTCTGAGACAGAGTCTCACTCGTCACCCAGGCTGGAGTACAGTGGTGTGATCTCAGCTCACTGCAACCTCCATCTCCTGGGTTCAAGCAATTCTCCCACCTCAGCCTTCCAAGTAGCTGGGATTACAGGCGCGCACCACCATGCTCGGCTTATTTTTTTTATTTTTATTAGAAAGGGGGTTTTGCCATGTTGGCCAGGCTGATCTCGAACTCCTGGCCTCAAGGGATCCACCCGCCTTGGCCTCCCAAAGTGCTGGGATTACAGGCATGAGCCACTGTGGCCGGCCAAAATCAATTATTGATCAAAGTATTACTAAGGTGATAGAAAGTCACTCTCCCATGTAGCTCATGGGATTCAGTGTCACTGTTTTCGTTTTGTTTTGTTTTGTTTGTTTTTGAGACAGAGTTTTGATCTTGTTACCCAGGCTGGACTGCAATGGCATGATCTCGACTCACCACAACCTCCACCTACTGGTTTCAAGCAATCCTCCTGCCTCAGCCTCCCAATTAGCTGGGATTACAGGCATGCGCCACCATGCCCAGCTGATTTTGTACTTCTAGTAGAGACAGGGTTTCTCCATGTTGGTCAGGCTGGTCTCAAACTCCTGACCTCAGGTGATCTGCCCACCTCGGCCCCCCAAATTGCTGGGATTACAGGCGTGAGCCACCATGCTCAGCTCAGTGTCACTGTTTTTATGTGCACAGATCATATCTAATAAAGGTTTTTTGGAAAGGCAGGTACAGCTAGAAATTTTGTATTATCTTAGATTTGTTTTTATGTGCTGTTTAAATATCTCATTGCCCTAGATAATCAAAGGGCTATACTTAGGTTGAAGCCTTATTAAATATCCCAGTAACATATCACCATTCTAGTTAATTTCCATATTCTCTATGTCATTTATTAAATATGTTAATTTATTGGTAAAGCAATTTCTTAATAGTTATGTTTTTCCCCAAAAAGGTTTTTTTCATGTTGATATGGTGATCTTTAAAGAAGTATATACGTTTTTAATGAAACATGAGTTTTCTTCCTTTGGCCCTTCTTTAAACAACCATAAGTCAAATTTTACAAAGGAAGATTAGGACAACAGTCCAAAAGCTGGCACTTTAGTCAGGTTTTTGCCCTTAAGTTGTACTTTTAATGACCTTAACAACCCCCATCTTGCAAATCCAATGCCCAACTCTCAGGTTGCACCTAACTCAACCTAACGCAGTAGATCATTGTCCTTGAAAGGCTTCCTTCACTTGCCTTTGAGGACACCACGCTTTTTAAGATTTTCTTCTATCTCCTAACCAAATCTCAGGCTTTTTTGCCACTTTCTGCTCCACCACCTGAAGTTTTGAACATTGGAGAGTCCGCTTCTCTTCTCTATCCATATTTTCTCCCTAAGTGATCTGATCCAGTCTTCATAAGTCTGTCTTTAAGTATCATGCCTGCTCAAAACTTCTCAATTTACTTCTGGCTCCAATCTCTCCCCGAAGATTCGGTAGTATATTCAATAGCCCACCTGACCTTTCTATCCATATATCAAACATGCATCGCCAACTCAGTTACAAAAAAAAAAACTCTTGATTTCCCCACATGCCAGAACCCACTTCTCCCTCAGTCTTTTCTTCCCCTAAATGGCACTTCCATGTACCCAGTTGCACTGACCAGAAACCTAGGAATAATTATCCCTGATCTTTCTTGTTCCCTCACTCACCACATCAATCCCTTCAGCAGGCTATTTGTCAAGCAAGCCAATCTCATTCCAGCCTCAGAGCCTTTCCATAGAACACCCTGCGCTTTCCCTTCCCTTCCAGGATTCACTGGTGTTCTCCTTCTCTCACCCGCCCCCATCATTTAAGCCTCTCTCTAATGGCACTTCCTCAGAGAAGCTATTCCTGACCATCCTAACTAAAAATGCTACTCCCTCCCATGCTATTCTCTACACCTTTACATTCTTTTGTTGTCTTCATAGCTTCTATCACTACCTGACATAGTACATGTTTGTTTAGTTATATGCTGTCCGGCTCCCATTCTGTTGTCAGATCCAGGGTGGTAGAGAGGCTGTCCTGTTCACTTAGAACATTCTCGTGCATAGAAGACACTCTAATAAATGAATAAATAAGACCATTCCTTTCTTAATTCATGTATATCTACCATTGCCACTTTTAAGATCATAATGTCTCTGCTCACATACTCCTTAATTTATCCTGTGAGCAGCTCACTGCAATTCCTGATTATGAAGCCCTTCAACTTGAGTGAAAATCTTTCATGCACATTCTCTTTGAATATTGCCTCTTGCTCATTCTCTGTATTCATCTTCTGAAACTGCTATTAGATTCATAACGGACTTCTCTACTATTTCCTTTACATCTTAAACTGCTCTCTTTCATACTTTCTCTCTTTATCTCTCAGTGATATAATTTGAGGAATTTCCTAATACGTATATATCTTTCACTTTACTGATCTCTCTTTAGTTGCCATTTCCCAAGCCCACTGCATTCTTTAATTACGATTATTTCAGTGACCATATTTTTCATTTCTAGAAGTTGTATTTGATTATTTTTTCAAATCTGCCTGGTGTTCTTGAGAATTTCCTATCCATTTATACTACTTTTAATTCCTTCTATTGTCCTTACAATATCATATGACTTTCGTAGTCTTTATTTGGTATAATAGTTTTATTATCTGAAGTTTTGGAGCATCAAATACACTATTTATTGAATCTCTTTCTGCTCACTTATAGAGTACTAAATCCAAGCCCCAAAACTTCATGAGAGATGGACTACAGTTAGAGATGGATTATAGTTACATATTCTCAGGAGAAACTACCCCCACTCCCACCCTAAGCCCTGGCTTAGACAGACAAGTTTCCTTGTCTTCAACCTGTGGATGTAGTGGATTTTTTTCATCTGTATTTCACAGAGGGTATGGGAGTCAGGCTTTATAAAGAGTTTTCAGTTCCAGCTCATACAAGTTCAAGGTGCTATCTCCTATCTCCTATCACAGCATAGCCATTAAAGCTGAGCAAATTCCTCACGGGTACCTCGGCATTAGCTTATGGGCTTACAACTCTGGTAATCAGTTCCCTCTTTTTTCTTTTTTTTTAACCCCTTAGGTATATTTCCCTCGCTGTTTTGTGAGCCAAGACATTCATTATTAAAAAAAAGTTTGAAACATTTCATCCAGCATTGCTAGGTACCCTTAGCAGAAGAGCATTTAAATCGTCCCCTTCTTGTATTGCCAGAAGTGTTGGTTTTTATTCCTAAAACTGTTAAAAGATATCTAGGTTTATCGAGCAGTATCTAACTATACTTAAAATTTTTCAAATTGGATAAAATGTTTTTTTAATCCAACATAAATTAGAAAATGAGTTTATTCTTTTTTATCAGTCACCAAAGTAAAAATCTGAAATATCCTTTATAAGCTTGAATAAATCCAAGACATGTTGTTGTGGAGGACAACATGATTACAGGAAACCTATTCTCCCCAGTTGCCAAAGTATGTTACAAACATACTAATTAATCCTCTTGGGATTTTTTTAATAGTACAACATTAATTAATCCTTACTATGTATGTATAAAACAGATTTGTGGCAAAAAAAAATCAGTTTTATTCCCCACTTCTCAGTAGAAAAATTTACCTGTTAATAATGTGAGTAGGATAAGTTACTGATAAAGTACAGAATAGGCCGGGAGTGGTGGTACGCACCTCTCATCCCAGCTACCCGGGAGGCTGAGGCACGAGAATCGCTTGAGCCCAGGAGGCGGAGGTTGCAGTGAGCCGAGATCATGCCACTGCACTCCAGCCTGGCTGACAGAGTGAGACTGCACCTCAAATAAATAAATAAATAAATAAAGTACAGAATAAAGGCTTCTGATTTTTTGCACAGTTAAAGAAAACTTGGCCAGGCACAGTGGTTCAGGCCTGCAATCCCAGCACTTTGGGAGGCTGAGGTGGATGGATCACCTGAGGTCAGGAGCTTGAGAACAGCCTGGCTCACATGGTGAAACCCCATCTCTACTAAAAATACAAAAATTAGCTCAGCTGGTGGCGTGCACCTGTAGTCCCAGCTACTCAGGAGGCTGAGGCAGGAGAATCACTTGAACCCAGGAGGTGGAGGCTGCAGTGAACCGAGATCACAGCACTGCACTCCAGCCTGGGCAACAGAGTGAGACTGTCTCAAAAAAAAAAAAAAAAGAAAGAAAGAAAACTTGACTATTATCTAGAAAAATTCAAATATAAATATTTTCTATTAAAACCTAAGTATACTAGTTATTATTTGCATATATGTAGATAATGGTTGAAAATCTGTTTATTCTTAAAACGTTTTAAAACAAAAAAATTTTAAAAAATCAATTCGAACTCTAATCTTTTTTAAAATTCTCCTACTCCATCTTTTTTTCTATTTCCCTTCCTAAATCAAAGACCTGAGGAATCTGAGATCTCCTATCTTCTTTATGCATAGTTTTCAAGATTTTCAAATAAACAATTATTCAAAGAGGAACACACAAAGGACCCCTGAGTAAACTTAATTTTAGTTACGCATTTCAGAAAACTTTACAAATCCCTCCAGTTTAAAAATACAATGATTAGCTAAATCTGCTATTAAAGAAGTATAGGCCGGGTGCAGTGGCTCACGCGTGTAATCCCAGCACTTTGGGAGGCCGAGGAGGGCAGATCACGAGGTCAGGAGATCAAGACCATCCTGGCTAACATGGTGAAACCCTGTCTCTACTAAAAATACAAAAAATTAGCCGGGCGTGGTGGCACGCGCCTGTAGTCCCAGCTACTTGGGAGGCTGGGGCAGGAGAATGGTGTGAACCCGGGGAAGCGGAGTTTGCAGTGAGCCAAGATCACACCACTGCACTCCTGCCTGGGTGACAGAGCAATACTCCATCTCAAAAAAAATAAAAATTAAAAAAATAAAAATAAAAAAAAAATTAAGTATATCCTTTCCAGCCTCAGCCCCGGACCCTACAGCAGCGGAGATGTTGATGCCTAAGAAGAACCGGATTGCCATTTATGAACTCCTTTTTAAGGAGGGAGTCATGGTGGCCAAGAAGGACGTCCACATGCCTAAGCACCCGAGCTGGCAGACAAGAATGTGCCCAACCTTCATGTCATGAAGGCCATGCAGTCTCTCAAGTCCTGAGGCTACGTGAAGGAACAGTTTGCCTGGAGACATTTCTACTGGTACCTTACCAATGAGGGCATCCAGTATCTCCATGATTATCTTCATCTGCCCCGGAGACTGTGCTGCCACCCTACGCTGCAGCCATCCAGAGACTGGCAGGCCTTGGCCTAAAGGTCTGGAGGGTGAGCGACCTGCAAGACTCACAAAAGGGGAAGCCGACAGAGATACCTACAGACGGAGTTTTGTGCCCCCTGGTGCCAACAAGAAAGTCGAGGCTGGGGCTGTGTCAGCAACCGAATTCCAGTTTAAAGGCAGATTTGGTCGTGGACGTGGTCAGCCACCTCAGTAAAACTGGAGAGTATTATTATTTTGCATTGAATAAACGTACAGCAAAAAAAAAAAGTAAGTATATACAATTGACAAATATTTTTAAAGATCTTAATGAATTATCAAAGCACAAAAGAATATTTAATATTAACTAGCTGGAGGGGCTCTAGGGAGGGAGTTGGGGGTTCAGCCCCCCGTCCGGCCAGCCGCCCCGTCCGGGAGGGAGGTGGGGGGTCAGCCCCCCGCCCGGCCAGCCACCCCGTCCGGGAGGGAGGTGGGGGGGTCAGCCCCCCGCCCGGTCAGCCGCCCCGTCCGGGAGGGAGGTGGGGGGGTCAGCCCCCCCGCCTGGCCAGCCGCCCCGTCCGGGAGGTGAGGGGCGCCTCTGCCCGGCCGCCCCTACTGGGAAGTGAGGAGCCCCTCTGCCAGGCCACCACCCCGTCTGGGAGGTGTACCCAACAGCTCATTGAGAACGGGCCATCATGACAATGGCGGTTTTGTGGAATAGAAAGGGGGGAAAGGTGGGGAAAAGATTGAGAAATCGGATGGTTGCCCTGTCTGTGTAGAAAGAAGTATACATGGGAGACTTCATTTTGTTCTGTACTAAGAAAAATTCTTCTGCCTTGGGATCCTGTTGATCTGTGACCTTACCCCCAACCCTGTGCTCTCTGAAACATGTGCTGTGTCCACTCAGGGTTGAATGGATTAAGGGCGGTGCAAGATGTGCTTTGTTAAACAGATGCTTGAAGGCAGCATGCTCGTTAAGAGTCATCACCACTCCCTAATCTCAAGTACCCAGGGACACAAACACTGCGGAAGGCTGCAGGGTCCTCTGCCTAGGAAAACCAGAGACCTTTGTTCACTTGTTTATCTGCTGAGCTTCCCTCCACTATTGTCCTATGACCCTGCCAAATCCCCCTCTGCGAGAAACACCCAAGAATGATCAATAAAAAATAAATAAATAAATAAATAAATAAATAAATAAATAAATAAAATATTAACTAGCTTATCCAAAGCACTATTACTTCTATTAAAAAATCCCAGGTAAGTATGTCATCTTCTGAACACACACAATGAACAATCTCAAAGGCTATTTTCTACTCCCAATAGTTGCTTACTCTATATCGCTAAAAGAATTTGCACTAAATAAATGCATATGTTGCAGATCTTTGTCTGCCTTGCCTCTGGGATCTTAATCCACATGGAATATACTATTACTCTAGCCAAGAAGAAAGTAAGTCTTTTGTTTTAAGAGTTTTTTGGTTGTTTGTTTGTTTTACATTTTGCTATATATTTTTTTACTAAGTTAATGGGCAAAAGCATAAATATTTGCCATTATTTTAAATTTCATTTCATCATTTCACATAATTTTTATTGTTTAATTAGGGTTTAAAAGGTAATAATAAAACTCATTTCTCACATACAGAATTAAATTTTTATTTTATCTTATTTTATTGAGACAGCGTCTCTCTCTGTCGCCTAGCCTGGAATGCAGTGGCATGATCACAGCGCACCATAACCTCAAATCCTGGACTCAAGCAATCCTTCCATGTCAGCCTCCCAAGTGGCTGGGACTACAGGTGCAAGCCACCACAGCCAGCTAATTTTTATTTTGTTTTGTTGAGATGGGGGTCTTACTATGTTGCTCAGGTTGGTCTCAAACTCCTGGCCTCAAGTGATCCTCCCACCTTGGCCTCCCAAAGTGTTGGGATTATAAGCATGAGCCACAATGTCTGGCCCAATATTTTAAAATAAAAAAAAAAACAAATACAACAACTAAGATTCCTATCTTTAAACTATAGAATTGAAATAAAAAATCTGAAAATCTTAAGCCATTGCTCACTATCAACAGCCATAGAGAGTTAATTCTTATTATTTAAATTAGTCTTACTGTCAGAAAGGCACTTATTAGCCAATCTGTTAAACAGCATGAGGTTACTACTGATTCAAGACAGACCAGTGTTGTAATACCATGACCCAATCTCTAATTTTATAGGTGAGGTAACTGAGGTGAGACAGGTTATGCAACATACTCAAGATGACCACACCCTGAAATCACCAGATGCAGAGCAGAGACTCTATTCCAGATATTTTGTTCGCAGTCTCCAATGTGTTCAATTATATCATGCTGCCCTCTAAATTCACTACTGTGGAACAACTGATTTAGCCAGGCTAGAACATATGAATTATTCTACATTAGTGAACTTCCCAGATCCCTGTAGCTTAACTCTGTAAATACCAATACTTTTTAAAGTTATCCATTCTTTTGCTAGAAACCTCTCTAAAGTGAAAAAGCACAACTCTAGGTTCCTTGGGTATTCCAGTGAAATGGCTCTGACATCCCTAATTATTTGCTTACATACCAGGTCATGTGCCTTATGAATACATTCCTGTTATGCTACTTGTCTTCCTTGTGTTTTGTTTTATTTTCATTTGTTTGTTTTAGAGATGGGATCTCACTATATTGCCTAGGCTGGATTCAAACTCCTGGGCTCGAGTGATCCCCTTTCTCAGGCCTCCTGAGCCCCTGGGACTACAGGCATGTGCTACAATGCCTGGCTTGTCTTCCTTGTGTTAATTTTAGACCCCTCAGTGAATTCCCCATCATATTTGTTTTTCTTCAATACCTACTTTATTTGGGGGAGAATGAAGAAAACAACAGCAACATGCTAGAGTTGTGGTAGATGTTGATGGATTTTAAATGGCAGAGAAAAAATGAATTATTTATTTTCCAGACTTTTAAAACACCATTTCTACCAACTACAGTACTATTTAGAGCCAATTTAGCTGCACAGACCTTTGGCCTCCACATTAAAAGGTCCAGGTTTCATTGCACATGCCATACTTTGAGGTTAGTCTTCATCTTGAACTTTGATATCAAATTAACTTTGAATGTTGTTATTTCCTAAGATATAATAGCATGGTTTCATATGTTATATTTTGGACAGACTGAGTTTTAAAAATGCAATTATTTTTCCTTTCATGTCTCTTGTAATGTTTTGAACAAACTTGAATGATGAAAGAGAATAAGAGATATCAGTAAAAAAATTAAAAAATATAAAAACAAAGGTCTGGGTTTCTTCACTTTTTTTGAGTTTCTGCTATCATTTCTTGCTGGTATCTCTATGTGTTATTATCAACTAATTTCCCTACCTTCAATATCCTATTCAGTTTATTTAAGCTTATAAAAAATATAGCAAAAAATAAAGAAACACCAAATGAAGATTTGAGGATCTCTCCTATTACCAGCTATATCAGCATGAACTCTGATTTAGCTATATGGGGTCTTTTTTTTGTTTTTGTTTGCTTCTGAGTTGTTGACAGTTCTGGTGTCTGGGTAACTGACCTGTAGAAAAGTCTGTAAAACTTATGAGATACTGTACTTCTCTTTAGGTCTATTCTATATGAATTCATATACAATGTCCTTAAAATGAAGTGTTTGCAATCAGCTTAGGGGCCCAAACTGAGCCAAAGTAAACCTCTGACACTCTAAATCAGTGCTTCTCAAACTTTAATTTAAATGTAAATCACCTAAAAATCTTGTGAAAAATGAAGATTGTGATCCAGTAAGTCTGAGGTTGGGCCCAAGATTCTGCATTGCCAGCAGATGATGCCAAATCTGCTGGCCCCCATACTACACCTTTAGTAGCAAGGATCTAGAACACATCCCTCTTTTTTTCTCTCCTATTTCTAAATTATCTCCTTCCTTTGCTTTTTCCTTTTCTTGCATTACCATTTTTCTTGCTTTAAGTCTGTCAATAGTAACCACAGTAACTACTTAGCCCTGTAGATAGTCCCTAAGAGTATGAAGGTTCCCCAATCTAAAACATAAGCTAGAAAAAAAAATCAGTGCAGAGGACGGGCACAGTGGCTCATGCCTGTAATCCCAGCACTTTGGGAGGCCGAGGCGGGCGGATCACCTGAGGTCGGGAGTTCAAGACCAGCCTGGCCAACATGATGAAACCCCGTCTCTACTAAAAATACAAAATTAGCTGGGTGTGGTGACAGGTGCTTGTAATCCCAGCTACTTGGGAGGCTGAGGCTGGAGAAGCACTTGAACCCAGGAGGCAGAGGTTGCAATGACTGGAGATCATACCATTGTACTCTGGCCTGGGTGACAAGAGCGAAACTCTGCCTCAAAAAAAAAAAAATTAGTGCAGAAAGGTCATAATACTACAATATTGTCATAAACCTTTTCTAAATATGACCAAAAATAATATAGTCAATAGACATGACATTATTTTTAGGATGTATTGTTATTTTTGTATATTTCTTAGCAATTAAATATTTTCCTTAGAAAATATTTCAAAAAAACTTATAATGTCACGTTTCTTAATAGGAAATCAAACGTTTTAGTCACGTTAAGATTCAATAACTGTTAAGATTCCAATGAACTGAACTGCTAATTATGAACAGAATGATGGTACTTGTACTAATCTTTATAACCTGTTAATGAATCTTTTTTTAGCCTACTCTAAAATTACAAGAAAATCTGCTACCAAGGATACCTAATCCTCAAAAGATGAGATTTATTTTTATTTTTATTTTTATTTTTTTGAGACAGGGTCTCTCTCTGTTACCCAGGCTGGAGGGCAGTGGCACGATCATGGCTCAATGCAGCCTCAACTTCCCAGGCTCAGGTGATCCTCCCACCTCAGCCTCCTGAGTAGCTGGGATGTAGCCTGTAGGCATGTGCCACCACGCCTGGCTAATTTTTGTTTGTTTGTTTGTTTGTAGAGACTGGGTTTTGCCATGTTACCCAGGCTGGTCTCAAACTCCTGGGCTCAAGCAATCTGCCCACCTCAGCCTCCCAAAACGCTGGGATTACAGGCGTGAGCTATCGTGCCCAGCCAAGAGATCAGCTTTCTAATGAACTAATTGGAACTATACATGCCTTACCATCCTACATAATTTTCACTTATAGTTGTATCACACCAGATTCTATCAAATGGTTCATAACTCTCACAGGAATTGCTAGATTTAGAATGAGTCCTTTAATATAATAAATGTTAGCATTTGTAACATACAGAAGTGTTTTTCTTCCAAAAAGACTCTAAGATCTTAATGTGCCTAATCAACAAGCAGTAGTCTCATTTTCCAGTGGGGAAACCTGAAGCACATCCAGATTACACAACCGAATGAACACAATGGAAACAGAATATGTAGCTTCTAACTTTAAAACCATCTTATAGTCATTATACACTATAGGTTGAACACTGCTAAACTTCCTTTACGTACAGGAATGAATTTTTTAAATCAAAATTATATAAAATAGCTGGCTTCTCAGTAACATTCAGAAATATGGTTTCTATATAACATTAGTCTCTTGACAATACAGTGAGCTACAGTGTAAGTGGAATCCACTTCTGTGGTGTAGTTTTCACACAAGGAAACTGAAGCAGATTAATTCCATTTCATCGAACCAGACAACAGTGCATTCTAGTGGTCAAAGGAGAGAATAATCAGAAATGTCTTTGGGACTCTGGACTAAAATTGAAACATCTAAAATCTAGAAGCTAAGAAGGAAATTTTACAAATACTATATGACTCCTTGCAGATTTAAAGAAAATTTGTATTCAAGATTAAAATAAAGACGTAAAAAAAGAAATTACCCAAAAGCTCCAGTCACCACTCCAATTATGTAAATTTGGCCCCTGTTTTTTAACTACCACATTATTCTCTTCCACAGTTGGACTAGGATTTTCCTCTACATCTTCCTGTAAGTCGGTGGCAAGGCTTGAATCCCCTTCATTCATCACCTGGAAACAAATATCAAACTAAGTCAATTATTTATTGAGAAATGGCCATTTTAAAAAGAAAAAAGTTAATGTTCACAACATATACATTAATTTTAAAAGGGCAATATTTAAATGTTTAGAAGACAGTAATAAATACGTTTTTGCTTCAATAGTTCATCTAGTTATATATTTATTTTTATTTTTTTTAAATTCTTATTTTATTTTCTTTAGAGACAGGGTCTCACTCTTTCACCCAGACTGGAGTGTAATGGCCCCATCATAGCTCACTGCAGCCTTCAACTCCTGGGCCAAAGCAATCCTCCTACCTCAGCCTCCAGAAATGCTGGGATTATAGGCATGAGCCACCTCACCCAGCCAAGTTCATACATTTATACATGCAACAAAGATTTTCCAACTACTATTATTTGCTAGGTAGTTTGGTTGGCACTAGGGATGCAAAGATGAATAAAACAAAGTCCTCCATCTCCAGAAGTGCACAGTCTGCTAGAGGAACAATAAATAATAAAAATACAATTTAATGGGAGTGTCCGTTTGTACAACTATTTTGGAGAACAATTTGCAATGCCCAGTAGGAAAGAAGATAGACATATACTGCAATGCAGCAATTTAATATACACATAGAGTCAAGAATGTTTGTTAATACTATGAAAGTGGAAATAACCTCACCGTCCATCAATAGAGAAATTAGTAAATAAGCTCTGATTTATACAAACAATGGAGTTTAAACAAACAAATAAGATGTGCCAGCTGTGCGAGGTGGCTCACGCCTGTAATCCCAACACTTTGGGATCACTTGAGGCCAGGAGTTCAAGACCAGCCTGGCCGATATAATGAAACCCTGTCTCTGCTAAAAATACAAAAAATTAGCCAGGCATGGTGGCCTGTAGTCCCAGCTACTCGGAAGCTGAGGCAGAAGAATTGCTTGAACCCAGGAGGAGGAGGTTGCAGTGAGCCGAGATCACACCACTGCATGCCAGCCTGGGTGACAGAGCCAGACTCTGTCTCAAAAAAATATGGGCCCATCGGGTAATTGCTCAAGTAAGATCACTCATCAGGCAGTTAAAAAAAGAAAAAAGCAAATATGGAATAGGGGAGTAAGGAGGAGTAGCCATTATAAAAGCATATGGGCCAGGCACAGTGACTCATGCCTATAATCCCAGCACTTTGGGAGGCTGAGGCAGGAGGACCTCTTGAGCCCAGGAGTTTGAGACCAGCCTGGGCAACATAGTGAGACCCCGTCTCTACAAAAAATATCAAAAAATTTGCCTGGCATGGTGGCATGCGCCTATTGTCCCAGTTGTTCAGGAGGCTGAGGTGGGAGGATTGCCTGAGCCTGGGAGGTCAAGACTGTAGTAAGCCATGATCAAGCTACAGCACTCCAGGCTGGCCGGCAAAGCAAAACCCTGTCTCAAACAAACAACAAGAACAAAAAAAAAAAAAAAAAAAAAAAAAACAGCTTATGGTGGACCAGGATCCTTAAATATCTCTGCTGCTGCTGCTCCACTTAAGCTTGAGGTTCTTTTTGTTTTGTTTTTTTTTTGAAACAGAGTCTCACTCTGTCGCCTAGGCTCGAGTGCAGTGGCGTGATCTCGGCTCACTGCAACCTCTACCTCCCGGGTTCAAGCGATTTTCCTGCCTCAGTCTCCCGAGTAGCTGGGATTACAAGCGTGCACCACCTCACCCGGCTAATTTTTGTATTTTTAGTAGAGATGGAGTTTCACCATGTTGGCCAGGCTGGTCACAAACTCCTGACCTCACGTGATCAGCCCACCTAAGCCTCCCAAAGTGCTAGGATTACAGGCGTGAGCCACTGCACCTGGCCAAACTTGAGGTTCTTAAACCCTATAAATAACCATTGCCATGGGGGAAGCCTCTAATCACAATGATACTGATTTGAGGCTCTCTAGAGAAAGAAATTTGTAAACATGAGAGGGTAGAGAAGACCTCCTCCACCTGAAGTATATCCAGTAACCTCCAAAAAGAGAGGGAGAAACCAACAAACCTGGATAGAAGGGGAGGAAACATACAACAGCAAAACAAAAACAAACAAAAAAAACTGAAACTGAAGTCCATAAACTGATCTAACAAAACATACAGAATTTAAAATAATTTACAGGATAAAAGATAAAAGACTGGCTTTTGTGCCTCTACAACATAGGTTCTAAGTTAACTTCAACATCAGCTAAAATGCGGCAATTGGCAAATCTTCATGGCTTTAATCAATATTGGGTCTCAAATTACAGTTATACCTAGAGTTCCCACTAAATTTAAACAAGGTATCCCCTACAATCTTAGGAGTTATTCAACATAAAATAGACAACAAATAGGTATGCCTCACTTTAACCATCAGAACTATACCTTTGCCTAAATACTCCACGATGGTGGTATACATTGCCCTGAAATATCCTATTGTGGCCATGGACACTCTGACACAATTAGTAATAAACTAAATTTAAATCAAGTCTTTAGAGCTTACAAATTGGCTTTCAAAGAAGTGGGACAACAGGCTGGGTATGTTGGCTCACACGTATAATCCCAACATTTTGGGAGACTGAGGCAGGAGGATCACTTCAGGCCAAGAGTATGGAGAACAAGCTGGGCAATACAGCAAGGCCCCCTCTCTACAAAAATTTAAAGATTAGCCTGGCATAGTGGTACACACATGTAGTCCTAGCTACTTGGGAGGCTGAGGTGGGAGGACTGCCAGAGTCCAAGAGTTGGAGATCACAGTAAGTTGTGATTGCACCATTGTGCTTCAGCCCAGGTGACAGAGCAAGACTCTGTCTCAAAATAAACAAAACAGTGAGACCCTATGGACCACCACTCTCAATGCCCAGTTAAAATTATACAACCCAATATAAAACAAAACAGGGCCTTCAAGGACTAAAACTTGTTATGTAAGACCTACTTCAGCCAGGCACGGTGGCTCACGCCATGCTGTAATCTCAGCACTTTGGGAGGGAAAGCCAGGTGGATCACGAGGTCAGGAGTTCAAGACCAGCCTGACCAACATGGTAAAACCCCATCTCAACTAAAACAAAATACAAAAATTAGCTGGGCGTGGTGGTACGTGCCTGTAATCCCAGCTACTTGGGAGGCTGAGGCAGGAGAATTGCTTGAACCCGGGAGGTGGAGGTTGCGGTGAGCTGAGATTGTGCCACTGCACTCCAGCCTGGGCGACAGAGCAAGACTCTGTCTCGCAAAAAAAAAAAAAAAAGAAAGAAAGAAAGAAGTACTTTGTGAAAGTAATTATCCCTACTGCTTCTCCATTTAACAGCCCAATTTGGCCTGTTAAATTTGGTAAGAATGAATGGTACCTCATGGTTCATTACTGCATCCTCGATGATGTCATTTTACCCAGGAAGGCCCCTATACTCAACATTGTTGAAATTACTGACTATCCAGTCCACAACTAGTAAATATTTTGCTGTGATAGATTTGGCTAATATGTTCTGTTCAGTGTCTCTTTCAACACCTCCTCAGCCATAGTTGGTCTTCACCTCCAGAGAGACATAACATCTCTTTACCAGGCTAACCATAGAGTACGCAGTCTTGCCATCATACACAGCCTTTACAGGAAAGATCTTAACTGCATCAAATTTTCTCCAGGAGCACAAGTATAACATTCCATTGATGACATCCTCCCCTGAGGACAGTCTTTTGACATACTCACAAAGGAGCTCACAAAAGGAGGATGGGCTATTGTGCCACACATAGTGTAAGGCCTACCACCTTGGTTAAATTTCTGAAAATAATTTGGTCTCTGTCACCCAGGCTGGAGTGCAATGGCACAAACAGGGGTCACTGCAGTCTCAACCTCCTGTGCTCAAGTGATCTTCCTATCTCAGCCTCCCAAATAGCTAGGACCACAGGCGCCACACAACCATGCCCAGTTAATTTTTCTTTCTTTTTTTTTTTTATTTTGGTAGATACAGGGTCTTGCTTTGTTGCCCAGGCTGGTCTCAAATTCCTGTCCTCAAGCGATACTTCTTTCTGCCTTGGCCTCCCAAAGTGCTAGAATTACAGGCATGAGCCACTGCACTGGGCCACAATGGCTGACTTAAATTCAAATTCAAATTCAAATGGTGCAGGTCAGTCATCAAACATCAAGGGTGAAAAAAAGACCTGGAGCCAGTTTTTTCCTGAGGCTCTCTTAAGCCATTTTAGTGCTGCTTGAGAGGCCTGCCTTGCTCTCCCTGGAGACCTTAATTATGTAAGTAAAAGACTTTTTCAGGGCCGGGCGCGGTGGTGGCTCAAGCCTGTTATCCCAGTACTTTGGGAGGCCGAGGCGGGCGGATCATGAGGTCAGGAGTTCAAGACCATCCTGGCTAACACGGTGAAACCCCGTCTCTACTAAAAACACAAAAAATTAGCCGGGCGTGGTGGCGGGCGCCTGTAGTTCCAGCTACTGGGGAGTCTGAGGCAGAAGAATGGCGTGAACCCGGGAGGCAGAGCTTGCAGTGAGCCGAGATTGCGCCACTGCACTCCAACCTCAGGGTGTGTGTGTGGCATCATCAGTTTCTACTCCAACCTCATGGTGTGTGTGTGGCATCATCAGTTTCTACACCTGAATCAAATTTGGGATGGGGGTCCATTCTGGCTTTCTGGGGTGGCTACAGTAGATTCCTGTCTCTCTGACTTATTAGCTGTGTGGTCCTTAGCAAAGTCAATCTCTGTACATCTGTTCCTTAACTCTACAATAGAGGAAATAATTTTATCTCTAGTCTAGACAATAAGCTTATTGAGAGCAGGGATCATGTCTGTGTTAATCACCATCTAATCCCGAACACCCAGTGCCAGGGACATAACTGAATCAGTGACTGATTGGGTTCATGAATATCCAGCTTGACTATTTCATAGTAATGTTTTTCAAATCAAGTGAAATAACACTCATTCATCTGTTCATTCAACAATTATTTGTGTACCTCCACTAATCTGTAAACTATAACGCTCTTCAGAAGATATAGCACTGACCGCAGTTCTCTAAAAGTAAAATACATACACACAAACCAATGTAGAAGGAGGATGGTGTTCAGAAACGCAGGCGCCCGTCCAACAAAAGCGGGGTTTCATCCTGAATATTAATAAGCACGCTTTCCGTTTTGTCAAATAAGGTAGTAAACAAATAAAACTAGACTAGTTGAAATCAAAAACTTGGCTGACAGCACAGTGATTTAAACTATCCGGACCTTTACAACAGGGCTGAGAATGAAAGGAAGGGGGCAAGGCTGGAAAAAACGTTGACAGTGGGTCAGAATCACGACCATGGGGCCTGACCCAAGGGGGCCTGGGGCTGAGACATCCGCACCAGGACATTTCGGGACCAAATTCAAGCCCTCAACGCCCACAGGGAAGCAAATGTCCCCACCACCGCCCGTAGGGAAAGGGCTCGCAGAGGCACAGGAAACCGTTTCCTCGGTAACAACTTTCCGTATTACTCCAAAGAGCACGAAGAAAAGGGAAGGGAGGGATTAACTGTAATCTGAGAAGGTTCAAGCAATCACCGTGAGAAAAAGTAGGCTAAAGCCACAGATGGGAACCTGCCCCAGCGAGGCCCGCGGCTTACCTGACGGACAGTCGGAGCGCCCTCCATCGCGGCTCCCTCCGCCGCCGCGGCACCGCCCCGCGCGCACCGCACCGCACCGCCCCGCGCCCACCTCCAGCGCGCGCTGCGAGTTACAGGCTCCGCGCGCCTCCTCCGCCGGCCCTCCGAGTACTTCCAGCCGCAGCTCCTTGCGCCCTCTGGCGGCCGTGAAGGATTCCTGACGATGGGTGTTACCGGGTTAGCCTGAAGGCTTGTCTTTCTAGGGGTCACAATGAGACTTCCCTATTCCCAACCTCAAACTACTGTGCCTCCCAGGAAATGGCATACCCTGCCCCAATGTGCGAAAAGGTGAATTGCTCGGAAACTTTTTTTTTTTTTTTTTGAGACGGAGTTTCGCTCTCATTCCTCAGGCTGGATGGAGTGCCAAGGCCCCGTCTCGGCTAACTGCAACCTCCGCCTCCCAGTTCAAGCGATTCTCCTGCCTCAGCCTCCCGAGTAGCTGTGGTTACAGGCGCCTGCCACCACGCCCGGATAATTTTTGTATTTTTAGTAGAGACAAGGTTTCACCATGTGGGTCAGGCTGGTCTCGAACTCCCCACCTCAGGCAATCCGCTGGCCTTGGCCTCCCAAAGTGCTGGGATTACAGGCGTCAGCCACCGCCCCCGGCCAGGAAACTCTTGTTCCTTCCAATAAAGGATTGAAGTTACTGATTAACTGCTGTACGTATTGCAGATTCTTGGTTCTGTAAACCAAAAATAAAATGCCGAGGCCCACCCCCAGCCATCTAAATGGACCCCTCCTCTTGGCCAAGAGCGTTCCAAATTTAACCTGAAAATCTAGTTCAGGCCATGATGAAAGAGGGGATTGGACATGCCTCATTAACATCAACACAGACCTTAAGTCTGAGAAGAAATATTTATCATCTATTGCCTCGGACACCTGCTACTTGGAGGCTGCATCTGCATGATAAAACCTTGGTATCCACAACCCCTTATCCTAACCCAGACATTCCTTTCTACTGATAATAACTCTTTTTTCTCTTTTTCTTTTGAGACAGGTTCTGGCTCTATTAGACCAGCTGGAGTGCGGTGGCGCAATCTCTGCTCACTGCAACCTCCACCTCCCGGACTCAACCAATCCTCCCACCTCAGCCTCTCGAGTAGCTGGGACTACTGGCGTGTGCCACCATGCTTAACTACTTTGTTTGTTTGTTTGTTTGTTTGTTTGTTTGTTTTTTGAGACAGGGTTTCGCCATGTTGCCCAGACTGGTCTCGAACTCCTGGACTCAAGCAGTCTGCCCCCTTCGGCCTCCCAAAGTGCTGGGATTACACGTGCAAGCCACAGCTCCCAGTCAATAATAACGCTTTCAACCAATTGCAAATCAGAAAATTTTTTTATGTACCAATGACCTGAAAGTTCCTCCTTCTCGCCTTGGAGCTGTCTCCCCTTCCAGATTGAAACAATGTAAATCTTACATGTATTGATTGATGTATTAGGTCTGCCCAAAATATATAAAAGCAAGCTGTACCCCAACCACCTTGGACACATGTCATTGGGACTTCCTGAGACTGTGTCACAGGTGTGTCCTTAACCTTCACAAAATAAATTTTCTAAATTAACTGAGGCCTGTCTCAGATATTTGGGGTTCAGAGTTCCCAACCAAACAGCTATAAAAAAGACATTCTAAGCCAGGCACAGTGGCTAACTCATGTAATTCCAGCACTTTGGGAGACTAAGGTGGGAGGGTTGCTTGTGTCCAGGAGTTCAAGACCAGCCTGGGCAAAACAGGGGGGCCCCATCTCCAGAAAAGAGAGACAGAGAGAGAGAAAGAAAGAGAGAGAGAGGGAAGGAAGGAAGGAAGGAAAGAAGGAAGGAAGGGAGGGAGGGAAGACATTCTAGAACAATTGAGGAATAGTGAATATGAAATGGCTATTAGAGTTGATGTTACAGGATAATTAATGATTTATGTATACATTTATGGATATTCATTTATGGATAATTAATAATTTTTGGCAGCTGGGCGTGGTGGCTCAAGCCTGTAATCCCAGCACTTTGGGAGGCTGAGGTGGGAGGATCACCTGAGGTCAGGAGTTTGAGACCAACCTGGCCAACATGGTGAAACCCTGTCTCTACTAAAAATACAAAAATTAGTCGGGCGTGATGGTGAGCACCTGTAATCTCAGCTACTTGGGAGGCTGAGGCAGGAGAATCGCTTGAACCTGGAAAGTGGAGGCTGCAGGGAGCCGAGATCAGGCCATTGCACTCCAGCCTGGGCAAGAAGAGTGAAACTCCGTCTCAAATAATAATAATAAATAATAATAATAATAATAACTTGTGGCTATGTTGCAGGGTGTCTTTAATATTAGAAAACTCACACTAAAATATTTAGGAGTTCCCTGTTATCCATGGGGATGTAAAAAAAAAAAAGTATTTAGGAGTGAAGTAGCACCATGTCTGCAACTTGCTTCCAAATGCTTCCACGAAGATGAATACACAGAGAAAACAAAATAGCGAAACGTTAATTATTGGACCTAAGTGGAGGGTATACTACTATTCAGTTATTCTTTTACTGTTTACATATATTTAAAAATCATAATGTAAAGTTGAAGAGATGGAAAGGAGTTGAATCCAGTTCCACAAAATGTCAGACACTGAGTGTATTTCTTTTTTGTTTTGTTTTGTTTTTGTTTTTTTGAGACAGAGTCTCGTTCTGTCCCCCAGACTGGAGTGCAGTGGCACAATCTTGACTCACTGTAACCTCTGCCTCCCAGGTTTAAGCAATTCTCCTGCCTCAGCCTCCTGAGTAGCTGGGACTACAGGCGCCCACCACCATGCCCGGCTAATTTTTGTATTTTTAGTAGAGATGGGCTTTCACCATGTTGGCCAGGCTGGTCTCAAATTCCTGGCCTCAAGTGATCCACCCGCCACAACCTCCCAAAGTGCTGAGATTACAGGCGTGAGCCACTGCACCTGGCCATGAGCATATTTCTTAAATATATATGACATACTAAAGGACAAATTACTTAATAAGATAATCAGTAAAAGACAGGTTTCCATCCTCATTCTGCAAAACTTTGCATAAACTGTGTTCTGTTAAACATAAAAAACGTCACAGAACACTAATATTAAGCAAGGCCACTGTATGATCATGATAGAGTAAGACAAAAAGAAGGCCACTGGGTAATCATGTCTAAACACAGACAAAAATGTGAACATCGTTCGAAACACAGAAATGACTATGTCCCTATGCTGACTAATATGACTGACTGCTGCCTTTTTCCCAATAACAGCTTTAGCTTCACTTTATTCCACCTACCTTCTAGATAAGATGTATTAAGATACCCAATCAGAATAACCACATCTTATTGACAATATGTAATCTGGGACAAAGCTCCACTTCTTGAATCCTCCTCGCAAAATCACTGAACACAAACCCAAATCCTGTAGTAAGACCTTTCTAACACCCTTTCACTGAGATGTCCTCATGGTTCTCCATGGTATTTTTTCACCCTCATTGCAATGAGTCAATAAACACAATGTTGTCTAACTACAGCTATGGTTCTCCTGGACTTTGGCTGAAGAGCATTGATATATTTTGCAGTGAAATAGAACATAAGGTGAAAGTGAATATGGAAGAAAAGTTGTTAGAAGTTTGAAGAGAAAGGAGAAATTATGAAATACTTAGGAGCACAGGTGAATGAACTGACTAATGTTTTAGGAAAACAGTAAAACAGTAGCATTGCTGGGCAACACAAATGCCTCATTGAGATTAATGGTCATGTATTTAAAGTGAGATCACACTAATATGTAAACAGCTCCCAGAAATCCCTGCTTACCACAATCAGGGGAATGCTTAATTAGGAGATTAATGGTCATGTATTTAAAGTGAGATCACACTAATATGTAAACAGCTCCCAGAAAAACATATGGAAAAACCATAGTCAAGTTAAAATTGTTAAAGTATATGTCAGAAAGTTCATGGAAAAGGAAATATCAGTGTCTTTTTTTTTTTTTTTTTGAGACGGAGTTTCACTTTTGTCACCAGGCTAGAGTGCAATGGCACGACCTCAGTTCACTGCAAACTCCACCTCCTGTGTTCAAGCGATTCTCCTGTCCCAGCCTCTGGAGTAGCTGGGATAACAGGTGCCCACCACCACGCCCAGCTAATTTTTTTTTTTTTTTTTTTAGTAGAGACAGAGTTTCACCATGCTGATCAGGCTCGTCTCGAACTCCTGACCTCATGATCCACCCTCCTTGGGCTTCCAAAGTGCTGGGATTACAGGTGTAAGCCACCGTGCCTGGGCAAATGTCTCTTAAAAATATAAAAGATCCTCAGTTTCACTCAGAATAGCATAGAAATTAAAACCACACTGAAATACTATTTTTCACTTACTAGTTTGACAAAAAGTACAGAAATTTGAAAACGCATTCTGCTGACAAGACCGTGGGGATACAGGACTCTTATAATGGAAGTGTAGAGGCTGGGTGCGGTGGCTCATGCCTGTAATCCCAGCACTTCAGGAGACCAAGGCAGGTGGATCCTTTGAGGTCAGGAGTTCGAGACCAGCCTGACCATCATGGTGAAACCCTGTCTCTACTAAAATGCAAAAATTAGCCAGGCGTGGTGGCAGGCGCCTGTAATCCCAGCTACTTGGGAGGCTGAGGCAGGAAAATCGCTTGAACCCAGGAGGCGGAAGTTGCAGTGAGCCAAGATTGCACCACTACACTCCAGCCTGGGTGACAGGGTGAGACTCTGTCTCAAAATAATAATAATAATAATGGAGGTGTAAAGTAATATAGCGAATTTGGCAATAGCTTCAAAAATTACAAAATGCATATACTCTTCAGCAGTACCAACTTCTGCAATTTTTCCTATAGATTTAATTGCACACATGCAAAATAATCCAAAGTTATTCCTAGAAGAATAGTTGGTAGTAAAAATTGAAAACAAATCATCATCAATAAAGGACTGGTTAAATAAATGACAAACCTCCATCCATTAGAATTTGGAATTCTGTGCAGTTTCATAATAATTTTTAAAAGAATGAGGAGGAGCAACATCAACGAAAATGGCAGAGTGGGGAACTTCAAAAGTCTGTACTTCCACAAAAGCAACAAAAAAGGTGGCAAGAGCTGTCAGAAACAATTTATTTGGAAATCTGGAATGTCACCAAAACCTTACCACAATCAGGGGAATGCTTAATTAAGAAAAAACAGCTGAGTCTCAGTAAAAGACTTTTGTGACATTTTATTTTAACTTACCCTGGTACCATCCCCTACTCTACAATAGCCCACATTCCTGGTACTGATTCGTAGTATCAGAGGTAGCAGTACAGACCTTATTCTCGAAGAATTGTTATCTGTTTGCTTTGACCTGTTTGGTGGCTCCCTGAAGGCTCAAGGACTTGTTTGCCTTATTTTATCTCAGAACTCTTCCAAGGGTAGGACACCTGCCTTGGGCAGGTGTTGGTGGGGGAATGTTGGTAGAGGGGGCAGGTAGAGTATTTATTGAAAACATTTGGGCCGGGCATGGTGGCTCACGCCTGTAATCTCAGCACTTTGGAAGGCTGAGGGGGCAGATCACCTGAGGTTGGGAGTTCGAGACCAGCCTGACCAACATGGAGAAACCCCATCTCTACTAAAAATACAAAAATTAGCTGGGCGTGGTGGTACAAGCCTGTAATCCCAGCTACTTGGGAGGCTGAGGCAGGAGAATTGCTTGAACCCAGGAGGCAGAGGTTGCAGTGAGCCAAGACAGCACTATTGCACTCCAGCCTGGGAAACAAGAGCAAAACTCGTCACACACACACACGCACACACACAAAAAAAAAAAAAAAGAAAGAAAGAAAGAAAGAAAAGAAAAGAAAAAATTTGAAGGCAAATATATTACCAGTATCACTTGGGGCAAGGGATAACAGTTCAGGCAAACAATGGACAATCTGAATAAGGGCTTTGAAAAACTCTCACAAATTCCTGGGAATCCAGAAGGCCACATCCATGCCCAAAGCTGGGAACATGCTCAGAAAAGACCTAAGAAGGCCCTAAACTTCCACCTCTGGCTGACTTTTTGCTCGGCTAAGGCAGAGATATAAACTGCCTGGCTGGGTGTTACAGGCATACCCAGCACACACAGAAAGCCAGTCTGCAAAGACTGGAAGATAATTGCTTGTTTCTGTATGTATTTTTCTTCCTCGGTTTTTATTTTTTTCTAATCTGACAGAACAGAGACTTATGTGGCCACATAAAACAAAGAATACAAACTTTACAAAATTAGTTTGACTTGTATGAGGTACCTAGAGTAGTCAAATTCATAGAGAAAGGAAGTAGAATGGTGGTTTCCAGGGGCTATGAAGAGGGCAGAATGGGGCTTTATTTAACTGGTTCAAAGTTTCAGTTTGGGGTGAAGAAAAAGTTCTGGAGATGTGATCATTACACAATATAAATGCACGTAATGTCACTGAACCATACTTGAAATGGATAAAATGGTTAATTTTATCTTGTGTATATTTTACCATAACATAAAAAAGTAGTTTATAAAAGATACTAACAAACCACAAATAAATGCTAAAATAAGCAGCAACAGTAAAACCTGGGGAGGTGTACAACCTGATTTTCAAAGTTGCTGCATTATGCCAGGCACAGTGGCTCATGCCTGTAATCCCAGCACTTTGGGAGGCTGAGGCAGGTGGATCACCTGAGGTCAGGAGTTCAAGACCAACCGGGCCAACATGGTGAAACCCTATCTCTACTAAAAACACAAAAATTAGCCAGGCCTGGTGGTGGGTGCCTGTAGTTCGTGAGGCTGAGGCACGAGACTCTCTTGAACTGGGGAAATGGAGGCTGCAATGAATCGAGATCACACCACTGCACACTGCACTCCAGCCTGAGCGACAGAGTAAGACTCTGTCTCAAAAAAAACAAAGTTGCTGCATTATAATATTCAAAATGTCCAGTTTTCAACAAAAAATTATAAGGTACACAAAGAAACAAGACAGTTTGACCCATATACAGAGAAAAATAATAGAAACAGCCCCTAATGAAGCCTGAGCATTAGGCAAACAAAACTTTAAATCAACTATTTCATATATGCTCAAAGAGCTAAAAGAAATCAAATTCAAAAGAGACCCATGAGAACAATGTCTCACCTAATGAAGAATATCAATAAAGAGATATAAATTACAAAAGGAACCACATAGAAACTCTGGAGCTGAAAAATACAATAACTGAAATGAGAAATTCACTAGAGTAATTCAAATAGACTTGAGCAGACAGAGGAACAAATCAGCAACTTGAAGGTGGGTCAATTGGGATTATTCAGTCTGAGGAGCAGAAAGAAAAAAAAGTGAAGAAAAATGAACAGAACCCATAAGACCTGTAAGACACTGCCAAGTAGACCAACATATACAAAATGGGAATTCCAGGAGAGAAGAAAGAAAGAATATTTGAAGAAGTAATGGCCAAGAAAGAATGAGGAAACTCTTTATGCACTGATATATAAAGATCTACAAAAAATTTTGTCACATTAAAAAAAAGTAAGGTGCAAAACAATATACAGTGCCAAAAATGCATACTCTGAATCTAATTGTGAGGAAACAGACAAACTGAAATTGAGGGACATTACTTGAACTCTTCAAAAACATCAAACTCATAAAAGGCAAAGAAAGACTGAAGTGTTCTTTCATACTAAAGAACACTAAAGATATATAGCAACTAAATACAATGTGCGATTTTGTCTTGGATCCTGAACCAGAAACATTTTGTTGTTGTTGTTGTTATAAAGAACATTACTGGGACAACTGGAAAACTTTGAATAAAGTGTAGGTTACATTATAGTATTGACTCAGTGTTAATTTCCTGTTTTTGTTTTTTGAGACAGAGTCTTGCTCTGTCACCCAGGCTGGAGTGCAGTGGTGCGATCTCAGCTCACTGCAACCTCTGCCTCTTGGGTTCAAGCAATTCTCCTGTCTCATGCTCCGGAGTAGTCTCAAGTGCATACCATCATGCCAGGCCAATTTTTGTATTTTTAGTAGAGATGGGGTTTTTACAGGTCACCCTGGCCTCGAATTCCTAACCTCAGGTGACCCACCCGCCTTGGCCTCCCAAAGTGCTGGGATTACGGGCATGAGTCACCATGCCCATACAATTTCCTGTTTGTTATAATTGTACTATGGTTAGGTATGGGGATGTGCTTGTTTTAGGAAGTGCAGTCATGCATTGCATAACAATGTGTCAGTCACTGCATTCAACAGTGAACCACAAGAAAACAGTGGTCCCATAAGATTATAGTACAATATTTTTACTGTACTTTTTCTATGTTTGGATACACAAATACTTCTCATTGTGTTACAGCTGTCTTCAGTATTCAGCATGGTAACATGCTGTCCAGGTTTATAGCTCAGGAGCAATAGGCTATTCCATATAGCCTAAGTGTGTAGTAGTAATACAGGAGATAGAATTTAGGCAGATAGTAAGGGTAAGAGTCCTCGGTGGAACTCCCCTTTTAACAAAAAGCAGCCACCAAAACATTTCTTTTCTAACAAAGAGCAGCCTGAAAAATCAAGCCGCAAACATAGATAAGCAAGCTAAAAAGCTTGCACAGGTGAATGCCAGCCTCAGTGCCAATAGAAAAGGGCTACCTGGATGCCAGGCATGTTCAACAGGGAGGGTCCTCTTCTCTTTTCTTTGTCACCACGTGTACAGTAAAGAGGCAGGCAACATGGTGCCTGGCCATGTAGAGAACCCATCTCCATAATAAAAGATTAGGGTGGAGTGGCCAGCTTCTTTGCATGCTGTGCAAACCGCACACCTAGTCCTAACCAGTTCTTCGTGTGCTATGCAAATGACACACCTGGTCCGACCAATCTTTTGTGCCCTATATAAATCAGATACCACCTCCCCAAGATCATCTATTCAACCTTCTGCATTTCACCATGGAAGCAGCAACCCATATTCTCTGGGGCCCCTCTCTCTGCAGCAGAGAGAGCTTTTCTCTTTATTTCGCCTATTAAACTTCTGCTCTGAACCTCACCCTGGTTTGTCTGCGTCCTTGTTTTCCATGACCGTGGGACAACGAACCTCAGGTATTACCCCAGACAACAACATCACCTCAGTAGGCTCTACCATTTAGATTTCTTTAAGTACATTCTAGGATGTTGGCACAACAGCAAAATTGCCTAATGACGCATTTCTCAGAACATATCCCAGTTGTTAAGTGACGTATGACTTTGTACACTGATATATTTGATCTAGCTCACCCAAATGTTTCAGAAAAAAAAATTGTGTGCCAAGAGAGAATAATAAATAAAGCAAACATGAAAATCTGAGTAAAAGTTTTATGGGAAGCCTTTGCACTATTCTTGCAACTTTCTTATTTCAAGTAATTAAAAACTATTATAACTCAATAAATAAAGTGAAACCACCCTCCACAGTTGTGTCATTTTTTTTTTGTAGTTGCACAAATGCAAACACAGAATGGACACAGTTGGATTTAGTTGGAGGTTTTGGAGGGTTTCTTGAGACAGGGTCTCTCTCTATTACCCAAGCTAAAGTGTAGTGGCATGATCACTGTTCACTGCAGTCTTAACCTTCTGGACTCAAGTGATCCACCTCAGCCTTCCAAGTACCTGGGGCCACAGGCCCACACCACCCCATCCAGCTAGGTTTTGGGGAGTTTTGTTTGTTTGTTTGTTTGTTTGTTTTGTACAGACTGGGCCTCCCTATGTTGCCCAGACTGGTCTTAACTCCTGGCCTCAAATGATCCTCCTGTTCTGGCCTTCCCTCGTGCTGGGATTACAGATGTGAGCCACTGCACCCAGCCTAAGGTTGATTTTTACCAGGCAAGTACGCTAAGTCACAAGAGAAGCAAGGGAGATAAGTATGTATGCAAGGATTTGGCAATAATGATTGCCCCTGGAGTCCAAGCAGGGTTAAGAAGCAAAATAAGGTCATAAGAGTGTCAAGGCCAATGAAAGTGTGAGGATTAAATGTTTGTAAATCTAGTTGAGATTAAAGGACTGCTGGTGATAGAAGTGATGAGTTGGAAAGATACAAATGGTACTTGAAACTGAGATTGTGGACAAATTGCAGTTATAATGATAAGTTCTATGATATGAGCATGAGAGTGGGTGGCTGACAGGAGTGGTGGTTCAGATTGTTGGGGCAGAGGACAAGGCACTAAGAAACCAGGAATTGAAAGTATAACCTTAGTGGCTATTGAAATCACCAAGTGCAGAAAGAGTAGGGTAGAAGAAAGCGACATGAGCAAGGAGCAAAAATCTTCAATGAAAAAGGGAACATGGATTGTGAGTTTATAGATGACTCCAATAAGAAAAGGCAACTGGTGGCATAGTGTTCTGACATGAAATTCAAAGATAGAGTGTTAGGGAAGAGTGAAGGAAAAGAGTCTGGAAGTAATAGGAAAAAAGAAGACAATCACTTTTTCTTGGGCCCATTGGTGCTCCAGCTACTATAGTTGCATGACAAATCACCCAAAACCTTAGTGGCTGAAAACAATAATCATTCATTATTTCATGGTTTCTGTGGGTCAGGAACCTGGAGCAGCTCAGCTCCTCAGTTCTAGCTCATGGGCTTTCAGAGGTTGCCCTTAATCAAGTGGATATCCAGTCATCAGAAGACCTGATAGTGGCTGGAGGATCCACTTCTATGGTGTCTCACTTACATGGCCGGGCACCTGGTACTGGCTATTGGTTTGGGACCTCAATTCCTCTCCATATGGACATCTTCACAGAGCTGCTTCAGTCCTCATTGCATGGCAGTGCCTTTCCTCAGAGCAGGTAATCCAGGATACCAAGGTGAGGACTACAGTGCCGTTTATGACCTAACCTTGGAAGTTATAGACTATCATTTACACCGCATTCTATTGGGGTCAGTCAGCTCTGATTCACTGAGGGAGGTGACTCCACAGGGCATGAATGATAGAGGCCAGGATCAATGGAGGCCTTATTGATTGGAGGCCAATGGAGGCCAGGATCAAAGAAGGCCAGATCAATGGGAAGTTACAAGTGATATGATGGTGTGGGAGAGGAAACAGACACCACTTGAGAGGGCTTCAGGGAAAGCCGTTTCCTCTCAAGTTTCAGGGGAAAACCAAGTATCAGTGCAAGCTTGTCCAACCCGTGGCCCACAGGCCACATGCGTCCTAGGACAGCTTTGAATGCAGCCCAACACAAATTCGTAAACTTTCTTAAAATATTATGAGAGTTTTTTGCCATCAGCTGTCATTAGTATTAGTGTATTTTATTTTATTTTATTTTAAGATGGAGTCTCGCTCTGTCACCCAGGCTGGAGTGCAGTGGTGCGATCTTGGCTCACTGCAACCTCTGCCTCCCGGGTTCAAGCAATTCTCCTGCCTCAGCCTCCTGAGTAGCTGGGACTACAGGTGCATGCCACCACGCCCGGCTAATTTTTTGTATTTTAGTAGAGGCGGGGTTTCACCGTGTTGCCCAGGCTGGTCTCAAACTCCTGAGCTCAGGCAATCCGCCTGCCTCGGCCTCCCAAAGTGCTGGGATTACAGGCATGAGCCACTGTGCCCGGCCTAGTGTTAGTGTATTTTATATGTGGTCTGAGACAATCCTTCTTCCAATGCAGCCCAGTGAAGCCAAAAGATTGGACACCCTTGAGTTAGAACAAGATGAAGAAAGATTTTTAGAGAATTTTCAGAGAAAACTCAAAGAACTTAGGTTATAGAAGATTTTGTTGGCTGGGTGCGGTGGCTCACGCCTGTAATCCCAGCACTTTGGGGGGCCGAGGCAGGCAGATTGCCTGAGCTCAGGAGTTCACAACCAGCCTGGGCGACATGGTGTTGAAACCCCTCCTCTACTAAAATACAAAAAATTAGCCGGGCGTGGTGGCATGCACCTGTAGTCCCAGCTATTCGGGAGGCTGAGGCAGGAGAATGGCATGAACCCAGGAGGCCGAGCTTGCAGTGAGCCGAGATAGTGCCACTGCACTCCGGCCTGGGTGAAAGAGCAAGACTCCATCTCAAAAAAAAAAAAAAGATTTTGTTCATGTCTGATCCTGAATTCCACAACGCACTAGGGAGGGAGTTTTGGAGTTAAGGGCAGGGCTGGTGGGGAAGAAATGAGTGCTGAGGAAATAGATAGGGTGCTCAGAAGCATGCAGCAGTCCTAGGGTCACCTCTTTATTTTATCCCAAGGAGGCCCAGAGGTGGGCTACCGATGGTATGCCACTTTTTGCCCCTTCACTAAGTAGAGTGTTCCTGAAGTACAGCTCTGTAACTCACATTTCAATATTAGAAAGAGCTTGAAGGAGTTTACAAACTTCACTCTTTCAAATTTGTTAAATGTTCAGTATGACTAGTTTTAGTATAGATCCTTGGGAAATGTCATTGTTAATTTTTATCACTTTTTTCTAGTTTTGCTAACCCATAAATAGTGAGTTAACATATCTTTATAGACCTAATGAAGTGGGTCATGCCTGTAATCCTAGCTTTTGGGAGGCTCAGATGGAAGGATTGCTTGAGGCCAGGAGTTCAAGACCAGCCTGGGCATCACAGCAATCCATCCCTAGGAAAATTTTTAAAATGTGTGTGTGTGAGTGTGTGTGTGTGTGTGTGTGTGTGTGTGTGTGTGTGTGTGTACACATATGTATCTAACTTTGTTCCTTCCTGAAACCCACCCAAATTGCAATAAAAGGAGTTGTGGACAGACAGAACAGGAGAGGAAGCAAGAGCAAGAAACTTGTAAGCTGAAAGGCAGGGGAATGAATTGCAACTGAATTATAAAACTCACTCTCTCTGACCATATTTTTGCCAGACATCTAGTGTCTGGTCCAGGTGCTCAAAGTCTGGTGAGTCCTAGGCTTTCCAGGACTGCCTGTAGGGCTCCTGCCCACTGACTTTCCAAAATGACCTCTAGGACAACCAAGGACCAAGCTGATTTACACCTCAGAATGCCCAAAAAACATGGGAAGACAACACCAAAATACCTGTGACACTGATGATTAAATAAGGAAAGAAGTAGAATTGTAGCTAAAATAAGGACTCAGGTCAAAGCTGCTTGCTTTATTTTTATTTTTTTATTTTTGAGATGGGGTCTCACTCTGTCGCCCAGGCTGGGTTGCAGTGGCACCATCTTGACTCACTGCAGCTTCCACCTCCTGGGTTCAAGCAAGTCTCCTACCTCAGCCTCCCGAGTAGCTGGGATTTACAGGGGCGCGCCACCATGCCCGCATTTTTAGTAGAGATGGGTTTTCGCCATGTTGGCCAGGCTGATCTCAAACTCCTGACCTTAGGTGATCTGCCCATCTCAGCCTCCCAAAGTGCTGGGATTACAGGCATGAGCCACCACTCTGGCCAGGTCAAAGCTGTTTGAAAAGCAGTTATATCCCTAGGTCATCTCCTTGTCTCCATGCTGCTAGGCAATTTTAATTTTCAGATGTATATGTCTCAAAAAATATGCCACCCACCTTACTTAAGAAACAAGCTACTGGAGAAACAGCTCATTAAGAAACCAGTAAAGATAAAATGTGGGCGATGAAAAACAAGCACTAGGATAGAGATGGCATTCCCCAAGTGGTAGATCCCAGAATGACAGCTGCAGACTAGACATAGAAGGCAAGTAGTCCAGATTGGAGCCATGCAACTCAAGAGACAAGCTGATTGAGTGCTGTCATCACCAAGATCCCTATTGCCATTTATCTTCTTTTTAGCTGAAGACAGAATTTCCCTATGAGTCATGTTCAGAATCTTTTGTGTACTTTGCTTGTGAAGTTCCTATTCTCCCTCCATGCTCTGCTGCTTCACCCCACAGATTTCTGGTTTGACTTACTCCTGAGAACGAGAGGTAGCTATGATGGGTTTAGAAGCAGAAAACACAGAACAGTCCATTTTCTCTGACCATATTTTTGCCAAACATCCAGAATCTGGTCCAGGTGCTCAAAGTCTGCTTGAGTCCTAGGCTTTCCAGGATTCCTGAAGGCTCCTGCTCACTGACTTCCCTAAAAAAAGACTGTTTATTAACTCTCCGGGAACCTAACGCCAGATTATGATCAGTTTCTTTTCTCCTGAAAGGCTTTAAAAATCTGATAGTGACACCAGTCACCCTTTGCTTACACAGGAACATAGGTGACATATCTATAAATTAAAACAAGGCACTGATTAACACAAAAATCAGAGTAATGTTTATCTTTGGGGAAGGAAGAGAGTTGCAATTGGTGAGGGCTTCTATGTTACTCCAATATTCTATTTCTTTCTCTTTTTTTTTTGGAGATGAAGTCTTGCTCTGTCTCCCAGGCTGGAGTGCAATGGCGCATTCTTGGCTCACTGCAATCTTTGCCTCCGGGGTTTAAGCAATTCTCCTGCCTCAGCCTCCCAAGTAGCTGGGATTACAGGCATGCGCCACCATGCCTGGCTAATTTTTAAATTTTTGGTAGAGACAGGGTTTCACCATGTTGGCCATGCTGGTCTCAAACTCTTGACCTCAGGTGATCCACCCACCTTGGTCTCCCAAAGTGCTGGGATTACAGGCGTGAGCCACCATGCTCGGCCCCATATTCTATTTCTTAATCTGAGTGATGGGTACATACATATGTATGTTTTTTTTAATTGTCCATGTTAATACTATATATTTTTCTGTAAATAAACATTTACTTAAAAAATAAATATTTTTAAGTAAATAAACAATGAAAGTAATTATGTTTTTATTTAAATGTTGCTTATTGAGTATTGGATTGACAAACATTTTTGTTTTGATTTGAATAGTTTTTGTAGGATAAATATATACAGACACATATATATATATATATCTTAAAAGGAAAAAACCAATATAGAAAAACAGGCTTAGGCTGGGCACAGTGGCTCATGCCTGTAATCCCAACACTTTGAGAGGCCGAGGTGGGAGGATCATCTGAGGTCAGGAATTGGAGACCAGCCTGGCCAATGTGGCGAAACCCCGTCACTACAAAAAATACAAAAATTAGCTGGGCATGGTGGCGTGTAATCACAGCTACTCTGGAAGCTGAGGCAGGAGAATCACTTGAACTTGGGAGGCTGGAGGCAGAGGTTGCAGTGAGCCGAGATAGTGTCACTGCACCCCAGCCTTGGCAACAGAGCGAGACTGCATCTCAAACAAACAAACAAACAAACAAAGCGGGCTTAAGTTAAGTTGGGTAGAGAAAGGGATAAAATTTCCAGGGACTATAGAATGAGATCCACTGAACAGAACAAAGTTTAAGGCTGGTAAAATAAGGATATGTGCAAAATAGAAGCCAGTGTTAGAGTGAAAAGAGAAAAGTACAAACTGAGAGAGTTCCTAGGTCATTTGCTAAGGATATTAGATTTCCAGATTCACATTTCATTAAACTATAAATTATTTAAATACAACTTGTGTCAATTTCTGAAATGAGATGCCTTATATTATCTAATGTTGCACTATAACCTATGGTGTTAAATAAATTAACCTACCTAAATTTGACCTGCCATCTCTCTCATTCCTCTCCTTTCTGCCTCAATGATATCCACCAACCTCTCAATTTTAGCATTGCTATTTTAAGTAAAAATGCTTTGCCTTTACAAATAAATAAGCAAATGTTTTCCAATAAACTATTGATAGCGTAATTAAATTTAGAAATTAATGGCCGGGTGCGGTGGCTCGCGCCTGTAATCCCAGCACTTTGGGGGGCCAAGGCGGGCGGATCACGAGGTTAGGAGATCGAGACCAATCTGGCTAACACGGTGAAACCCCGTCTCTACTAAAAATACAAAAAATTAGCCTGGCGTGTTGGCGGGACCTGTAGTCCCAGCTACTCGGGAGGCTGAGGCAGGAGAATGACATGAACCCGGGAGGCAGAGCTTGCAGTGAGCCGAGATCGCATCACTGCACTCCAGCCTGGGCAACAGAGCAAGACTCCATCTCAAAAAAAAAGAAATTACCAAACATGTTGAGACAATGTTTTCCTTTACATAATACTCTTCCTGAAAATTAGGCATTTTTAGAAATGACATTCTCTATTTAATTGAACCTTATAGGCCACAGGAGTATTATTTAATAAAAATCTCTAGCGAGATTATTAGCAATTTAGCAGTTATAATTCATGGATAAGTGTTAATTCAGCCAACTAAACATAAAAATAGAAATTGTGTTCATTGTGATTAGAAACCCATGCTAAAAATATATAAAATATAAAATGTGTAGTATTTTTTGAGTAGCTACGTTTGTTGGAAGCAGAGGCAAGAATATAAATATTCATGAGTATCTTTCCTTGGATCACACAATGGTGCATTTAAACGTAAGTATAGGCCAGGTGCATTGGCTCACACCTGTAATCCCAGCACTTTGGGAGGCCAAGGCAGGAGGATTATTTGAGTCCAGGAGTTCAAGACCAGCCTGGGAAACCTGGCAAAACCCTGTCTCTACAAAAATACAAAAATTAGCTGGGTGTGGTGGTACGTGCCTGTGGTCCCAGCTACTCAGGAGGTTGAGGTGGGAAGATTGATCATTTGAGCCTGAAAGGTCAAGGCTGCAGTGAGCCATCATCGTGTCACTGCACCCCAGCCTGAGCAACAGAGTAAGGCCTTGTCCAAAAAAAAAAAAGGGGTATCTAGGCAAAATAAAAATGATACTAGGCTGGACATGGTGGCTCATGCCTGTAATCCCAACACTTTGGAAGGCCAAGGTAGGAGGATTGCTTGAGATTGACAGTTGAGACCAGCCTGGGCAAAATAGTGAGCTCTCATCTCTCCAAAAAAATCTTTTAATTAACTGGGTGTGGCAAGTCCCAGCTACTCAGGAGGCTGAAGTGGGAGAATTGCTTGAGCCTGAGGTCCGAGGCTACAGTAAGCCATGATCACACCACTGCACTCCAGCCTAGGTGACAGAGCCAGACTTTGTCTCAAAAAAAAAAAAAAAAAAAAAAGAAAAATTTGGTAGTGTGACTGAGAAGCCTGTAATCCTAGCACTTTGGGAGGCCGAGGAGGGAGGATTGATTGAGCTCAGGAGTTTGAAACCAGCCTGGGCAACATAGTTAGACCTTGTCTCTACAAAAAAATTAAAAATTAGCCTGGCATGGTCGCGTGTGCCTGTAGTCCCAGCTACTCAGGAGGTTAAGGCATGAGGATCACTAGATCCTGGGAAGTCAAGGCTGCAGTAAGCTATGACCATGCCATTGCACTCCAGCCTAAGCAAGACCCTATCTCAAAAATAAAATAAAATAAAAATAAGTACAACCTTTGGAAAACAGCATCTATATGTGAATCAAATTCTAGAATAGAAGAAAGACATTGGAGAAAAAGATGTGGGCCCTCCTGGGCACCATAACAAGACCCTGTCTTTGAAAAAAAAAATTTTTTTTTTAATTAGCAAGAGGTGGTGGTGCATGCCTGAAGTCCCAGCTACTCGGGAGACTGAAGTGGGAGGATTGCTTGGGCCCAGAGCAAGCCCATATCACAAAAGAGAGAGAGAGAGAGAAAGAAAGGAAGGAAGGGAGGAAGGAAGGAAGGAACGAAGGAAGGAGCTGACTTGAATTCTTAATTCTCTCAAAATGAAGGCTGACACATTGAAGAAGCTTTCTATAAAATGATGCAAAAATGTTCAAAATGGGTAGGTATCTTAATGAAAAAATAATACATTCTCTCTCTCTGTCTTTTTTTTTTTTTTTTGGAATACAATGTTTCTTTTTCCTTTTTTTCTTTCTTTTTTTTTTGAGATAGAGTCTCGCTCTGTTGCCCAGGCTGGAGTGCAGTGGCTTGATCTCGCTCACTGCAAGCTCCGCCTCCCGGGTTCACGCCATTCTCTTGCCTCAGCCTCCTGAGTAGCTGGGACTACAGGCGCCCGCCACCATGCCTGGCTAATTTTTTGTAGTTTTAATAGAGACAAGGTTTCACTGTGTTAGCCAGGATGGTGTCGATCTCCTGACCTTGTGATCCACCCGCCTCAGCCTCCCAAAGTGCTGGGATTGCAGGCGTGAGCCACCGTGCCTGGCTTTTTTTTTTCTTTCGAGATGGAGCCTCGTTCTGTCACCCAGGCTGGAGTGCAATGGCACAATCTTGGCTCACTGCAGCCTTCACCTCCCAAGTTCAAGCAAGTCTCCTGCCTCAGCCACCCAAGTAGATGAGACTACAGGTGCCCACCACCACACCCAGCTGATTTTTGTATTTTTTGTAGATATGGGGTTTCACCATGTTGGTCCGGTTGGTTTCCAACTCCTGATCTCAAGTGATCCACCTGTCTCAGCCTCCCAAAGTGTTGGGAGTACAGGCATGAGCCACTGCACCTGGCCCAAAATAATACATTCTTTTTTTTTTTTTTTTTCCTGGAGACAGGGTGTCACCCAAGCTGGAGTGCAGTGGCACCATCTTGGTTCACTGCAACCTCTGTCTCCCAGGTTCAAGCGATTCTCCTGCCTCAGCCTCCCGAATAGCTGGGATTACAGGCGTCTGCCACCATACCCGGCTAATTTTTGTATTTTTAGTAGAAATGGGGTTTTACCATGTTGGCCAGACTGGTCTCAAACTCCTGACCTCACATGACCCATCCGCCTCGACCTCCCAAAGTCCTGGGATTACAGGCGTGAGCCACAGCTCATGGCCTAATACATTCTTAATATATCACTTGAAGGCCTTCTTTTAGTGAGAACTTTCCGGAACAAGACAACCCTATGATTCTGTTCAATATAACTGTAAAAATCACAGTAGTTATTTCTGCTCAGTGAGAATTTTGTGGAAGAGGAAATGTCTTAATTTCAGTTCTCTAGGAACAGAGCCTGAGAATGAGATTCCTGTGAAAGTGGCTTATTGAGGACGTGCTGCTCAGGTGAAACTCATAAGGGAGTGAGGAAAGTAGCAGAGAGAAGGAGAAATAGAAGATGCTGATGTGGGTGCAACTGAAGTTTCTCCTCAGCCTGGTCCCACAGGGAGCGCTGGAGCATCACAGACTGGTGTCACCTTGAGGCAAGAGGACTGGTCTTTGATACCCTCATATTGATTTGGGTGCAGTTGGGTGTGTGGGTGGGGAAAACAGAGGGCTTCAGCTTCCAGGCCTAGCCAGATGTGGCAGCTGCTGTTAGTTGAGGGCAAGTTTCAGTACAAATATGCTGCTGCGAATTCTTATCAGCCAATACTCCATCAGAATATGTGAACTGGCCTGGCAAAGGGAATATGTGCATTTCACCAGCAGGGGCTATTACAAGTAATATTTCTTTTCTTTTTTTTGAGACAGAGCCTCGCTGGCCAGGCATGGTGACAGGCGCCTTTAGTCCCAGCTACTTGGGGGACTGAGGTGGGAGGATCACTTGAGCCTTGACCCAGGAGGTCAAGGCTGCAGTGAACCAAGATGGCACCACTGCACTCCAGCCTGGGTGACAAAGTGAGACCCTGCCTCAAAAAGAAAAAACAAAAAACAAGCAAAACCAAAAACTTATTTGGCAGTAGTTTAATCAAAGTTAATGCCAACAGGTTATGATTCAAATATCAAGAAATATGTTCTATTAATTTTGAAGTACTTACTTCCTGAAGAGGTTTGCATTTGATGATGAATTTCTATATAATACAAGGCTAACATTTACCTTGAATCCTTCTAAAGGTATTCAGTAGGCACTTGTATTTTTTTTAATTAATTTTTTTTTTTTTTTTTTGAGCCAGAGTCTCGCTCTGTCACCCAGGCTGGAGTGCAGTGGCACAATCTCGGCTCACTGCAAACTCTGCTTCCCAGGCTCAAGTGATCCTCCTGCCTCAACCTCCCAAGTAGCTAGAATTACAAGCATATGCCACCATGCATGGCTAATTTTTGTATTTTTAGTAGAGATGGGGTTTCACCATGTTGACCAGGCTGGTGTTGAACTCCTGACCTCGTGATCTCCCATCACAGCCTCCCAAAGTGCTGGGGATTATAGGCATGAGCCACCATGCTCGGCCTAAAACTTTTTTTTAATAGAGACAGGGTCTCACTATATTGCCCAGGCTGGTCTTGAACTCCTGGACTCAAGCAATCCTTCCACCCCTGCCTCCCAAAGTGTTAGGCTTACAGGCATGAGCCACTGTGCCTGGCCAGTAAGCACTTATTTTAACTGATACTAAAACAGTCAGTCCGATTTTTGACTTACAAGCAGGGTTGCTGAAATTTCTGTCATTTGAAAACCACCCTCATTTTTGCCATATCTTTTTACTTCTGTGATTTTATGTACTTAATAGTGTTCTTTAAAAATGAATCACTTTTAAAAATATTGAATAGTTTGGCTGCCTCCTTAAGCAAATCCTTGAAATCATGGATTTAAACTACTAAATGTTGCCTCTATACATTAAAATGCATACTATTCATCTGCCTCTTTCCTAAAACCATCTCACAGCACTGAGGTACACTGTGCAGGTTTCCCTTTGCGGAAGGCTTGCTGCCCAGCTGCCAGGAGTATGGTCAGCATACAGCCTCCAGCTATCAGCTCCTTCTTACTCTACAGTTGCTGAAAACCACCCAATCTGAGATGACATTCTCACAGGTATCTTGAATCTGGGAACCAAGAGAGGCACAGGTGTAAAGGCCAGGCCATTTTAGGCTGATGCATGTCAACTCTGGCAAACTCCAGAGGTTCCGCCTAGGAGTGGACAAGTCTGTCAGGCCTGCTTTGTACTTTACTTATTTTCTGCCCAACCCTGCTTTTGCTCCCTTCCTTTCCAAGTTGTTTATTGCTAGTTAACAACTTGCATCCCAAGCTCCACCTAGATGAGCTCTGGAAGTTCATCTGCTTCCAGAAAACTCAACCTGTAATTCCATGCTTGGGGAAATACTGTCATAAATCATATAAGGGTAAATGTCAAAAGGGCTTTATAAAGACTTTAAAATAAAACATGCAATTTAAAAATTAAGGCCATAAATATGATTTTATGTGCCAGGTGCAGTGGCTCGCGCCTGTAATCCCAGCACTTTGGGAGGCCAAGGCAGGCAGGTCACCTGAGGTCGGGAGCTCGAGACCAGCCTGACCAACATGGAGAAACCCCATCTCTACTAAAAAATACAAAATTAGCCAGACATGGTGGTACATGCCTGTAATCCCAGCTACTCGGGAGGCTGAGGCAGGAGAATTGCTTCAACCCAGGAGGCAGAGGTTGCGGTGAGCTGAGATCGCGCCATTGCACTCCAGCCTGGGCAACAAGAGCGAAACTCCATCTCAAAAAATAAAAATAAAAAATAATAATAAAGGGGCATGATCATGTCTCACTGTGGCCTTGACCTCCTGAGTTTAAGTGATCCTCCCACCTCAGCCTCCCAAGTAGCTGGGACTACAGCCATGTGCCACCATGCCCAGCTAATTTTTAATTTTTTTGTAGAGAGGAGGTCTTACTATGTACGTGGCTCAGGCTGATCTTGAACTTCTGGGATCAAGCAATCCACCTGCCTTGGCCTCCCATAGTGCTGGGATTACAGATGTGAGCCACTGTGCATAGCCAACAAATGCTATTTTTTAAAATGGAACTAAATTATACTCCTTTATAATTATGTTCACAAGCTAAGCCTGTGTATAACAACATCAAAATATGTTGCAGAATTTTGATTCCTTTTTAAAATCTCCTATGTATAGAGAAATGGACAGAAAAAAACCTGTTGGTTCATTCAGTAAAATACCTGAAACTACTGTAATAGAATCCTGTTTAAAATCCATAGGCATTACAGTTATTATTGCTAAAATTTCATGATTTAGGAAAACTTTGAGTGCCAGGCTATTCTGAGTCTAAATGAGTCAGAATACATGTGAATCAGCAGAGCACAGTTTAAGGTAAGTACCAAGGAACATCTTAAAGGATAAATGGTTCTGCAACATCTTATAATGCTGAGATTATGATAAAACTAGTCAACATTTGGGAGAATGCTTATTTAAATCTAAGTCTCTCATGTTACTTTTTTTTTTTTTTTTTGAGATGGAGTCTCGCTCTGTCACTCAGGCTGGAGTGCAGTGGCGCAATCTCGGTTCACTGCAACGTTTGCCTCCTGGGGTTCAAGCAATTCTCCTGCCTCCGCTTCCCGAGTAGCTGGGATTACAGGCACGTGCCACCACGCCCAGCTAATTTTTGTAGTTTTAGTAGAGACGGGGTTTCCCAATGTTAGCCAGGATGGTCTCGATCTCTTGACCCTGTGATCCGCCCATCTTGGCCTCCTAAAGTGCTGGGGTTACAGGCGTGAGCCACTGCGCCCGGCCTCATGTTATTTTTCATAGCTAAGCATGGAATAAAGATAGTTGTTTCCCAAAACTTGCCCCATGGTAAGAATCACTTGGAATGCTTGTTAAATCTATTCCCCTACCCTTTCCCTAGACCAGAGATTCCAATTCAGGTTGGTCTGGGGCAGGGCCTGGGAATCCGTATTAACACAATTCCATGTTTCTTACATTCAGACAAGTTTGGGAAACATCTAATTAAGATGTATAATTATTTAAAACATTAAACCTGTTTCTAACAGCCATCCATTGCTGCTTTAGGGGCTGTGATATGTATTCACGGACACCTGAGTACGTATTTGTATGCAACTGGCTACAGCACTGTGAAGAGACAACAGTTTATGCATTCTATGACTGTGTTCCAAGGACAGACTATTCCCCAAATCCAGGTCAGCTATCCAACAAAGCAAGCTATTGATTGCAAAGAGAATTGAAAGTGCCTGAACTGAAACATTTAAATCTATTACTGCTGCTAGGAAAGCGTAAGTTTAAAAATCAAACAAACAAACAAAAAAACATCATTTTCTTATTAGGTAAAACCTAAAAGTATTTTTTAAACCACCACTATATATTTCTTAATGCAAAACTACTTTAAATAGAAACCTTTTGAGTATAATCGTTACTTGTTTTTGTAAACTTATTAGTAAAGTATGATGTATATACAGAAAAGTGCTTGAATCGTGTACATGAATTTTTACAAAGTGAACTCATCTTTGTTATCAGGACCCACATCAAGAACCAGAACATTATCAGCACTCTGGAAGCCCCCCTTCTGCTACCCTCCTGTTATTTTATTTATTTATTTTTTTGAGATGGAGCCTTGTTCTGTTCCCAGGCTGGAGTGCAGTGGCACAATCTCAGCTCACTGCAACTTCCGCCTCCCAGGTTCAAGCAATCCTCCTGCCTCAGCCCTCCTAGTAGCTGGAATTACAGGCATGTGCCACCATGCCTGGCTAATTTTTGTATTTTTAGTAGAGACAGGGTTTCACCACGTTGGCCAGGCTGGTCTCGAACTCCTGACCTTAGGTGATCCACCCGCCTTGGCCTCCCAAAGTGCTGGGACTACGGGTGTGAGCCACCGCACCCGGCCTACCCTCCTGTTATTAACATTCCCCTCCCCACCATGTGTAACTGCTATCCTGACTTCAAACACCACAGATAAGTTGTTTTTTTTTACATTTTATATAAATTGAATCATTTGCTGTTGTCTGGTTTCTTTAAACATTATGCCTGTGAGATACATGCATGTTGTTGCATTAACTTTCATTTCTGTATAGTATTTCATTGTGCGAATATGCCACAACTTACTTCAGTTCTTCCAAACTGTTATCCAGGTAGTTCCCAGTTTGGGGCTTTTACAAATAGTGCTGCCTGCTGCTATGAACATTTTGGTACATGTCTTTTGGTGAACATATATGTATGCATTTCTGTTGGCTATAGACCTCAGAATGGGATTCGTGAGTCATTAGTTATTCCTAATTCAATTTTGTAGATTCTGTCAGAATAGTTCTCTAAAGTGGTTGTACAAATTTACACTCTTACCAAAAATGTATGACAGTTCCTGTTGTTCCACATCTTCACCAGTACTTGGTATTCTGTCCTTCCCATTTTAGCCATTCTAGTGGGTATGAAGAGGTATCATATTGTATTAATTTGCATTTCCCTGATGACTTGAAGCTGAGCAACTTTTTCATATAATTGGCCATTTTTTGAGGCATCTGTTAATTCTTTTATCTATTTATTAAGATCTCTGCATTTTTTATTTCTTTATATATTCTGGGTATAAGTCCTTTATCAGATATTTATTATGTTTATATTCTTGTTCCTCCCCTCTTTAAAGACTTCTATACAATTTTGGTAAAAATGGTTATCTATTTCCAGATTCATCTTCTTCAACTGTGGCTCAAACTTGAACAATTTCCCAATCACATTTTCCTTCTTAAGAAAAACAAACTGGGCCAGGTGTGGTGGCTCACGCCTGTAATACCAGCACTTTGGAAGGCCGACCAAGGCAGGTGGATCACTTGAGGTCAGGAGTTTGAGACCAGCCTGGCCAACATGGCGAAACTGTCTCTACTAAAAATACAAAAATTAGCTGGACATGGTGGCACATGCCTGTAGTCGCAGCTACTTAGGGAGGCTGAGGCACGAGAATCGCTTGAACCCAGGAGGCAGAGAATGCAGTGAGCCGAGATCATGTCATTGCACGCCAGCCTGGGCAACAGAGCGAGACTCCATCTCAAAAAAACAGAAACAAAAACAAAAAAATTGGCCAGGCATGGCGGCTCATGCCTCTAGTCCCAGCACTTTGGGAGGTTGAGGCAGGAGCACCTCTTGAACCCAGGAGGTTGAGGCTGCAGTGAGCTATGATCATGCCACTGCACTCCAGCCTGGGCGACAGAATCAGACCTTGTCTCTAGGAAAAAAAAAGATGAGTGGATCAGGCATGGTGTCTCACGCCTATAATCCCAGCACTTTGGGAGGCTGAGAGGGGCGGATCACCTGAGGTCAGGAATTTGAGACCAACCTGACCAATATGGTGAAACCCCATCTCTACAAAAATACAAAAAATTAGCCAGGTGTGGTGGTGCATGCCTATAATCCCAGCTTCTTGGGAGGCTGAGGCAGGAGAACTGCTTGAACCTGCGAGGCGGAGGTTGCAGTGAATTGGGATCACACCATTGCACTCCAGCATGGGCAAACAGAGAAACTCCGTCTCAAAAAAAAAAAAGATGAGTGAATCATGCTACCTGTGTCCATGTCCTTTGTCTAGCCAGTAATTTCTCCCTGGTTTTTCTCAGGTTACTTTATCTCATATTAACCAACCCAACGTCTTGGGTCTGAATGAAAAGTACACATGTAAGGAAAAGATACACAGTATGATTTAGTGGAAACAAAGAAACACTAGGAATCAGGAAGCCAGGATTTCGCTATTAAGTAGCTCTGTGACAAGGGCAAGTCAGTTAACCTCCCTGAACTTCAATTTCCTCTTCTACGTAATGAGGGGGTGGGAATAAATGATCAAAATCCCCATTGATCCAACAAGATGCCTTTACTTTCAGGAGCATTAAATCCCATCTGTCTACTTATACCCAAAATTGGTAGTATGTGTACTCTCTGCTCTTTCTCAAACATCTTGTCTCCAAGTCTCCTGATCTTTTTACATGGTATTTCCTTATTTTGCAGAATTTTTTTTTTTTTTTTTTTTGAGACAGAATCTTGCTCTTGCCCAGGCTGGAGTGCCGGTGGTGCAATCTCAGCTCACTGCAACCTCAGCCTCTTGGGTTCAAGCAATTCTGCCTCAGCCTCCTGAGTAGCTGGGACTACAGGTGCGCACCACCACACCCAGCTAATTTTTGTATTTTTAGTAGAGACTAGGTTTCATTATATTGGCTAAGCTGGTCTTGAACTCCTGGCCTCAAGTGATCCACATGCCTTGGCCTCCCAAAGTGCTGGGACTACAGGCAGTGAGCCACCCGGCCCAGAGTAACTTTTCCGTTACTAATTGACTTTTTTCCTGGATTTGTAAGAAGCCTCAGTGGTTGCTAGTAGTGTCCTACCTCTATCTCCTCAACCATGACCACCATTTCAGTGCCCACCAACCTGACCTCCCAACTGCCAGTACTTCAGTTTTTTTGTAGAGGATTTTCTGTGGCCACCAGGACCTGATCTACCTGTATGCATGTGCTGTGTATTGACTCTCCCCATCTTCATGGGGACAGCTTTCAAATGGAAAATCGACAGGAGCTGGTTGTCAAACAAGTTACCCTAGTTTCCTCGCACCCCGGTGGGATAACTGAGATGTGCATTCTTCACTTGTTCCCCAAACTCCCCAGCAGGATTGTGCTCCATAGTCCAGAGTATTAACTTGGTTGATAATGAGAGCTTTAATTGGCTTCTTTCCAGTCTGTCTCAATTCTCTACTTTGCTAATGGTGTTTCCTGATACCATCTCCCAAATAAACTACCTAAACTCAACTGCTTGTCTCAGAGTCAACTTCTGCGAGAATTCAAATTAAGCTCTTAGAACAACTTCAGTAGCGTTTTATCACCCCATTTGAGAAAGTTGATTCCCTTCTTCGTGTTCCTATATTGTAGCAATACAGTGAAGCTAATATGCTGAAGATATTGGGATATTACCTAATGGACAAAAAATTACTGGCTCTATAATGAAGAAGTCTTCTCATGATTTTTAAACTATTTCTCTACATAAACTTCAGACTCAATGGTAATATACAGTTCTTTGACACTGCTTCTTCACTCCTTTGGAAATTGTTAAAAATACAACATTTAAGGAAATAAAATATATCCTACGTACCATAATGAATTGCTACAAAGGATGTTGCACATTGTTATATTGGACTTTAAATTGGCTTGCAAAATCATAAATTACAAGGCTTTAGTTTACTTGTTAAAAACTGAAGAGTACCACTGATTTCCTTGCACTTAGAAGTGAATTTATAGAAACCATTCACTTTCTCAAAGTAAAATTCAGAATGGGATGGGATTCTGTAGATTATATTTCCAAAACATAGTGTGATACAGTTATGGGACTTTTTGCAGGCTATAATGAGGGCTCCAATTCAATTTCATAATCTTAAGTAACAATCTATAAAAAAGGAAGGAAAAAATTTTAAAAGGTCATACCAAAACATTAAGTCAAGATACAAGGTACATATTTTCTAGCAGATTGTGCCATAAAAAAGAGAAAAAGAAAAAAATGTTAATTTAAATCCACTTTTTATTCTTTCACAGATTTTAACAATTATACACAACTTTTAACATAAAGGTAGTGAAATCTCAAGGATAAGGAGGCAATATATATGGCCTCTTCTATTCGTTATTCAGGATGGAAGGAAATTTTCAAAGTACAGTGTGTGAGATTCAACACTGGAAAAATACATATGAAACTTGTTTAATTGGCTCCACTTAGGACCAGACACAGCACAATAAATACAGAACTGCATCATCTTTTTAAAAGATCATTGTAATTTTAACACATTCTTACTAAAGAAATACATACTATCAGTGACCGATCTGAAACTCTGTAACAGGTGAAGGGAGACTTACGATGAATATCTGAGCATAGGTTCGCTAGCATCTTCACACTCATACATAAACATTCTTAAAGGGAATAAGAATGATTTCAAATTCAAAACAACAACAACAACAAAAAAACAAATTTGGTCAAACTTTCTTCATCATACCATTCATTGCTATCACAATCCTAGTTTGCTGGTAGGTTTAAGAAAGGAATAGAAAGTTTTTGAAATCCTTTTAATTTCTACCAGTCTTAGGGCCTCTTGAGTAGGCCACTTTGGAAGCAAACTGATTAAACAGCACCATCAAGTCCGTATCTCAACAAACCATTGCATAATTTCTGTCAATGTTCTCAAAGGTTAAAACAAGTTGTATAGAAGAATACCTTTCCTCAATAGCAGGCCACTGTAAAAACATGTAATCTGCAAGAATTTAAACAAAACTATCCTGAATTCTCTACTGATTGCTTCTTTCCTTAATAGACCAAGAGATAGGCATTACCTAAAAAATTAAATAATAATATACTGAGGCATAAAATAAATACTTTATTTATGCTATCACAATTTGGGTATTTGAAGATTGTTAGCCATGTTCACACACCCTTTCCTCTTCCCAAAGAGGAAGCAACGGTGCCAGCACTATTGGTCAGAAAGAGTTAATGGGAAACTGTTGCTCTCAGAGCTGTTCTGCAATATGCAGACACATAAATTATTATTTTAAACATATACTTAAAAGACGGATAAAATGATTTTTTTTCATGTGACCCAGATTCTGTTATCAGTAGATACAAAATTAATTTCATTCCTATTAGGATGGAAACTGGTATGCTGCTGTGGCCATAGATATTCTGAGAAACCTCTTAAGCCAGTGAACCAAAAACCATATGAAAGAAAGTAATACTTTCTATGATTGGTCAACTGGCTGTTCAAAAATTCAACAAGCAAACAAACATGCAAACATGTGACATATGTCATTATTTTGTAAAAACATAATGCCACTCTGGCCCCAGGAATCACTACAGCCCAGCTGGTCCTTAAAGGTGCAAACAGCCTTTAATTGCTACTAAACATCTTCTCTGGTATTTTACTGCCCATCACACTTGCCACATGATTCTCAGAAGCTTAGGCTTCCAAGATGTTTAAGGAAAATAAACAGGGTGTGATGTGGATCAAGTTTTCAGTGATTGTTTTAAGTGTCATTTTAAAAAGAACTTCCTAGTAATGAAGTATGTAATAGTCCTTGATATTAAATTTTTTCTAGTGAAATAAACTATGCTTTAATAAGACAATGTTGCTCTAAGTTTGACCGCCTGATTTTTTTTTTCTCTTTTTTAGAGGGTACTATTTCATATATTGTGTGAGCCCCACAAATGTCTATTTTAAAAAGAGTATAGTCCCTGGCCAGGCGCGGTGGCTCACGCCTGTAATCCCAGCAGTTTGGGAGGCCGAGGTGGGCGGATCACCTGAGGTCTGGAGTTCGAGACCAGCCTGACCAATATGGTGAAACCCCGTTTCTACTAAAAATACAAAATTAGCTGGGCATGGTGGAGCATGCCTGTAATCCCAGCTACTCGGGAGGCTGAGGCAGGAGAATCACTTGAACCCGGGAGGCGAAGGCTGCAGTGAGCCAAGATCACGCCATTGCACTCCAGCCTGGGCAACAAGAGGGACACTCCGTCCCCAAAAAAAAAATAATAAAAAAAATAAAAAATAAAAATAAAAAGAGTATAGTTCCCAATGGTTTCTCACAAACATTCCTGATTTATACTGGGGGAAGTGATGCATAATTGGAACATTAATCATTATGTTTTTGAAAATTAAATATTTCCTGCAAAGCAATTCCTTTGCAAAATGCTAAGCTGCCAATGAGCTTACCACAATAGAAATTGAGTCATTTCACAAAGTACCTGTTCAAAAGTTATAGAAACCTGGCCTTCCATTCCAAATTCACTGCAAAGAGAGTACATGCAGTAGTCCTGTTTACAATTTAATAGAGATGAGGAAAGGGTACACCTAGGACAAAGAGGGTCATCACCCTACATACAAGTTTACAGTAGTGTAACCAGAATGTATATTTACTATATTCACCACTTCAGATAAAGGAAGAGGGAGGCCCTTCACAACACTAGAACAAAGGAATGTTTGTTTTATATAAGACCTACCAAAAAAACAGGGAAACAAATAACACACATAGGCACTAGTCTCAAAGCTGCACAATAAAGAAGCAAAGGGTTTGAGATGAGAAATTCAGGAAAATATACACATAGGAGCTTGCTGAGGAAAAGGAAATCACAGTTGTAATCTTCAAGGCTTCTAATCTTCAAGGCTACGGAATGCATTCTGCATGTCTTCAAGAAGTTGTGCATAGTCGCTTTTGATCTTTGCCTCACCATCTTTCAGTGGATCCTGAAAGAAGACATTACAAATTCAACTCGCATTTGGAAAATAATTTTCATTACGTATGTTAAGTTACTTTTTTTTTTTTGGAGGCAGAGTCTTGCTCTGTCACCCAGGCTGGAGTGCAGTGGCACGATCTTGGCTCACTGCAACCTCCACCTCCTGGCTTCAAGTGATTCTCCTGCCTCAGCCTCCCAAGTAGTTGGGATTACAGGCGCCCACCATCACGCCCAGCTAATTTTTTTTTTCATATTTTTAGTAGAGACAGGTTTCACCATGTTGGCCAGGCTGGTCTTGAACTCCTGATCTCAAGTGATCCACTTGCCTCGGCCTCCCAAAGTGCTGGGATTACAGGCGTGAGCCACTGCACCTGGCCCAGGTTACTCGTATTTTATATATTTTGAGTACTAGGTTTAGTGAGGGACACTGGTAAACCACAGGCAGGAGGTAAAACTATACTCATTTTCCCTTTTTCTTAAGGATACAAATCCAACCAAACAGAAAGAAAACAAAATTTTAATTTTGCATTTTGCCTGATAACCACATTCAGTGACCAAAGCCTTTATCCTCAACAATGTGCACAATAGTGGGAAATTATGCCGCTTCATATATTAGATGAACATGACTTAATGCATGATAATTAGGAATTAATTTAATCAAAACAGAATTTGCTCAACATCTGGTATTATCACACTGGGATGGAAAAGTAAAATTTAGGCAACTTACTGAGTAATATGTATAAAAGATAATTTAGCTAGGCTTGGTGGCTCACGCCTGTAATCCCAGCACTTTGGGGGGCCGAGGCAGGCGAGTCACAAGGTCGGGAGATTGAGACCATCCTGGCCAACATGGTGAAACCCTGTCTCTACTAAAAATACAAAAAAATTAGCTGGGCATGGTGGCGTGCACCTGTAGTCCCAGCTACTTGGGAGGCTGAGGCAGGAGACTCGCTTGAACCCAGGAGGCGGAGGTTGCAGTGAGCTGAGATCGCGTCACTGCACTCCAGCCTAGTGACAGAGTGACACTCTGTCTCAGAAAAAAAAAAAAAAAAAAAAAGAGACAGACTTTAAAATGTTCCAGGTCTCTAACCCAATCATTCCACTTCTGGGACTCCATACTAAGAAAATGCACAAAACCAACTACACACAACTACATGGTTGTCCACACCAATAACTGGAAATTTTCTTTTCTTTTCTTTGTTTTTTTTTTTTTTCAGACAGAGTTTTGCTCTTGTTGTCCAGGCTGGAGTGCAATGGTGTGATCTCAGCTCACCGCAACCTCCACCTCCCGGGCTTAAGTGATTCTCCTGCCTCAGCCTCCTGAGTAGCTGGGATTACAGGCATGCACCATCACGCCCAGCTAATTCTGTATTTTTAGTAGAGACGGGGTTTCTCCATGTTGGTCAGGCTGGTCTAGAACTGACCTCAGGTGATCCACCCGCCTCGGCCTGCCAAAGTGCTGGGATTACAGACGTGAGCCAATGCGCCCGGCCAACAACTGGAAATTTTCTAAGTGTCTAAGAATAGAAAAATATTACTCTCCAGCCACAAAACAATGCTACAGAAGAGTAATGACATTAAAAAATACCTGTGATGTTAATTTGACACAATAAGCATGTAAATAGAAATCATCATTACTACAGGTATATTTCTTCTTCATCCTCTTTCTATGAATATATAGTTTTTTAAGACAATATTTGGATCAAGTTACATATGGAAGTTTTTTCACTCTGTGCCATAAGCATTTCTCCATGTCTTTGAATATTTTTGACAAAAATGGTAATGCCTTCATAATATCTATCTTATGGACACACCATAATGTACTGTTGGCTCTGTTCATTCTTGGGTGACATTTAAGAAATTTGGTTTAGCGTAGTGGCTCATGTCTGTAATCCCAGCGCTTTGGGAGGCTGAGGCAGGCAGATCACCTGAGGTCAGGAGTTCAAGACCAGCCTGGCCAACATAGAGAAACCCCCGTCTCTACTAAAAATACAAAAATTAGCTGGGTGTGGTGAATGCACCTGTAATCCCAGCTACTTGGGAGGCTGAGGCAGGAAGAACTGCTTGAACCTGGGAGGGGGAGGTTGCAGTGGGCCAGGATCGTGCCACTGTACTCCAGCCTGGACAACAGAGCAAGACTCCATCTCAAAAAAAAAAAAAGAAAAAAAAAGAAAAAGAATTTAATAAACGACCGTGTATATCCGTATCAAAATTCTGATTACTTCCTTTGTTTATTTATCTCAAGGTGAAATGACAAGACTAAAAAGGTGTAAATGTTTTTAAACTCTCAATGTAGTGCTTACCTATTTGTACAGGTTTACTTTCAATCTATAGTGTGAACACACACACAAAATATATATATAATTTAAAAATTTTTATATTACATATACACTCAGAGAATCATTCTCAGTAGGTGGTTAGTAAATATGCCTGGATGTCATGACAGAAATAAATACAATTCAACTGATCAAATATTTTAAAAACAATCTTATACATTTGAGTTCCTACTAATAATTTCATTTAATTATCTATTTTTATCTTGTGTACTTCCAAAAGAACAAGAGGCCACTTAAAAGTTAAAAAATGGCTGGATGCGGTGGCTCACGCCTGTAATCCCAGCACTTCGGGAGGCCGAGGCGGGTAGATCACATGAGGTCAGGAGTTCAAGACCAGCCTGGACAACATGGTGAAACCCCGTCTCTACTAAAAATACAAAAAATTAGCTGGGCGTGGTGGCAGGCACCTGTAATCCCAGCTACTTGGGAGGCTGAGGCAGGAGAATCGCTTGAACCCAGGAGGTGGAGGTTGCAGTGAGCCGAGATTGTGCCACTGTACTCCACCCTGGATGACAGAGCAAGACTGTCTCAAAAAAAAAAAAAGTTAAAAAATGACCTGCAGTACATGATATTTAAAAGAAGTAAACAGAGAAGATGTCATTTCAGAAGAACACATGTGCTAGAGGTTAATAGGCACTTGGAGTAAGGCAACTGTTGCTCAGCTATGAAGTAAGCTCTAATTTGCCTGGCAACTAAGACAAAAGGGAATACACATCAGCATTTATTTTAGACGTGACATACTAATTTTTTTTGTTTTTTGAGACTGGGTCTCACTGTGTTGCCCAGGCTGGAGAGTAGTGGTGGGATCATGGCACACTGCAGCAGCCTTGACCTCAGCCTCCCAGATAGCTGAGACTACAGGTGTGTGCCCCACACCTGGCTAATCTTTTGTATTTTTTGTAGAGACGGGATTTCGACATGTTGCCCAGGCTGGTCTTGAACTCCTGGGCTCAAGTCATCCTCCTGCCTGAGCCTTTGAAAGTGCTGGGATTACAGGCATGAGAACCACTATGCCTGGCTGATATACTAATTTTTATCATTAGAATTCCTATTTGAACATAACTTTGAGGTCTCTACTGATTTTACAAAACCTGAACATGTGTGAAAATAACTGCAAGTTTTACAGCCCAGGTTTGGGACTCAAAATAGCTAGAAAAATTAAAAAGAAGCATTGCACTTTGTGAGGCCAAGGCGGGCAGATCACGAGGTGAAGAGATCGAGACCATCCTGGCCAACATGGTGAAACCCCATCTCTACTAAAAAAATCCAAAAATTAGCTGGGCGTGCTGGCACGCACCTGTCGTCCCAGCTATTCAGGAGGCTGATGCAGGAGAATCGTTTGAACCCAGGAGGCAGAGGTTGCAGTGAGACAAGATCATGCCACTGCACTCCAGCCTCGCAACAGAGTGAGACTCTGTCTAAAAAAAAAAGAAAAAAAGAAGCATTTCCAAATAAAAAAAGTTACAGCAGAAACAAAATATACCTTGAATTTCATGGAGGAAAGTTTATAGAGGATGTCTCCCATGTGCTCACGAATAATGGACCATGTGATTTTATTGTCACTCTGGGCAGTGGTTTCAACAGCTCTACGAGCCATATCATAAAATGCAATCATGTTGGACAGCATCCCTACTGTCTTGTAGAATGGGCAGAACCTAGAATAAATGAAGGTCCAAAAAATTAACAAAAATAAACTCCAAAACAGGTTCATACTTTATATAAAACTACTAGAGCATTAGTTTCTTTATCTAAGTATGCAGATTGCTTATTTATTAGATGATACCTAAGGAATAAAAAAATAATAGTGAAAAGACCAACAACTACTTAACCAGAGTTTTTGGACAGAGATGTCTCAGGATATGGGATAGAAGAAGATATATATTCTTGTATTTATTTTAAGGGTAAATTTTACTTTTCTCTGTTAACATCATCAAGTGGGAGAAACAATGAAACAGTATTACTATAATCTAATGACTCTCTGAGGGTTTGTTTTTGTACAATGCAGTTAAATAAGTAACCCAAATGGTAAAATAACTGAGTTGTAAAGACTCCCTTGTGATAGTGGATTAGGTTTAATGAGTAATAGGAAAGCAGGAAACTGCAAGTTCCTGAAGTTAGTAGTAGCCCCTTTTTTCTTAATGTGTTTGTTTTCATTTGCCCATACTTTTAAATAACAGACACGTGAACAAATATTCAACTTCAGTCACATACATTCGTACAACTTTTGGATATGTTTAAACACCTTTGCATACATAATTTCACGGATACTCCTATTACACCTTTTCCAAAGAATTTTTCCCTTGTTATCTTTGTGTAGGTGGTTCCTAGAAGCTTCGTTAAGTTCCCAGTAGAGCAGATTTCTGGGGCTTACTGATATACAGGCATATTTACTGCTTGCCCTACATTCTGGTAATCCTTCCATTGGCTCAGTTCCTTCTTCAGTCTTATATGGGGCCAAATATGATTTGAGGGAGAAAAGATAACCTGGCATGAAAGGGCTAAATTCTCAAAATTTAAAAGAAATGAGAACTTTAAACAAGCCTCAGTAGTAGCATTGATAATAATGAAAAAAAGAAAGCACTGAGTAGGAGTTGGAGTGCTCTAACAGAGACCTTGGTAGAAAGCAAGCAATAGGACTCTTGGGAAATGAGGCATGAAAGCAGAACTATTAATTATTTAGGAAAAGAGTAATAATTATTTAGGAAAAAAGTAAAAGAAGACAGGCGTGTTGGCTCATGCCTGAGTCCCAACACTTTGGGAGGCCGAGGTGGGTGGACTGCTTGAGCCCAGGAGTTGGAGACCAGCCTGGGCAACATGGCAAAACTCAGTCTCTGCCAAAAAAAAAAAAAAATTAGCTGGGCATGGTGGTGGGCACCTGCAGTTCTAGCTACTCAGGAGGCTGAGGTGGGAGAACTGTCAGGAGGTTGAGGCTGCAATGAGCTGAGATTGCGCCACTGCACTCTAGCTCGGGTGACAGAGTGAGACCCTGTCTCAAAACAACAACGTAAGAGAGTAAAGGAGACATGGGCAGTGGAAAGAAATGAAGAAGGCTTCTGAAGGAGGGAATAATCCCCAGGCTCTGCACTAAGCCACAATTAAATCTAATTATAGATGAATATATGAGTGAAAATACTGTCATAATTGGACAAATGAGCAAATCAAGATAGGGGACATATTAGATCATGTCTACTACAAATATACAAATAAACCAATCTACTAAGTCAGAGTGTATGAGCCTGTATGAGAATAAAAAAGGGTTTTTAATGTGTACTCCTTCACCAAAACACAACAGAAAATCCTCAAATAAAAAAAGGAAATCAATATAGCTTACCTGTCATAAGGAGTATATCCATTTTGTTGTAGGAAATCATCTTTGATAAGTTTTGCTACCTCCAGAGTGATTTTATCTGTTTCTGCCAAAGAAGCCTAGAAGAGAAAAAGATATTTTTAGACATTTACTCTAAAATGTAAGATTGATGGTGGCAATTAATTAACAAGCAGAAACTATTATATAGTTTCCACCATCACCTATTGTTAATAAATTTACTTATAACGGCTTTTTGATTGATGTTCTTTTTAAACTGTGGTTAAAAGGCATGTAACATAAAATTTACCATCTTTGCCACTTTTAATTATACAGTGTAACAGTGTTAGGTATACTCACATTACTGTGAAACAAATCTCTAGAGCTTTTCCATCTTGCAAGTCTGAAACATCCATTAAACAGTAACTGTCCTTTCTCTCCTCCCCCAGCCCCTGGTAACCACTATTTTACTTTCTGTTTCTATAAATTTGACTATTTTAAATACCACATAAAAATGAAATCATACAGTGTTTGTCCTTTTGTGACCAGCTTATTTCACTTAGCATAATGCCCTCAAAGTTTATCTGTATTGAGGCATGTGATGGGATCTCTTTTTTAAGGCTGAATAATATCTCATTGTATATATATATATACCACATTTTGTTTATGGATTCATCCATAGATGGACATATGGGTTGCTTCCACTTCCTGGCTATTGTGAACAGTGCTGCTAAGAATATGGGTCTGGGTACAGTGGCTTACACCTGTAATCCCAGCACTTTGGGAGGCCAAGGCAGGAGGACTGCTTGAGCTCAGGAGTGAGAGACCAGCTTGGGCAACATGGTGAAAACCTGTCTCTACAAAAAATACAAAAATTACCCAGGCGTGGTGGCATGCGCCTCTAGACCCAGCTACTTGGGAGGCTGGGGTGGGAAGATTGCTTGAGCCTGGGAGGCAGATGGAGGTTGCAGTGAGCTAAGATCGTGCCACTGCACTCCAGCCTGGGTGACAGAGCGAGACCTTATCTCACAAAAAAAAATCCCAAACAAACATCGGTGGCAAAAAGCTTGACGTTCTTGGCCAGGCACTGTGGCTCGCACCTATAATCCCAGCACTTTGGGAGGCCAAGGTGGGCAGATCATGAGGTCAAGAGATTGAGACCATTTTGGACAACATGGGGAAACCCCGTCTCTACTAAAAATACAAAAATTAGCTAGGTGTGGTAGGGCGCCTGTAGTCCCAGCTACTCGGGGGGCTGAGGCAGGAGAATCACTTGAACTTGGGAGGCAGAGGTTGCAGTGAGCCAAGATCGCGCCACTGCACTCCAGCCTGGCGACAGTGTGAGACTCCCTCAAATAAATAAATTAATTAATTAAAAATAAGCTTGATGTTCTTTTCTTGAAATACCTCTTCACATCTTGGCTTGCTATCTTAATTATTTGAATTCTCAGTCTTGTTTCATAAAAATCTATATAGCTCATAAATAGTTGAATTTTAAAAACATTACAAAATATTTAGAACTATGAAGTACAGTAAGTATGTACTACTCTATGTCTGAGTGCTATTTTACTAGTATAGCTAAGTTACAGAGCTTCACCCTTTAAATATCACTACCTCAAAAGCCCTAAATTCTACAATTGCCCTAGCAGCTTTGAGAGATAGTATTAGTGTTGCCAGGATCACTAACAGGTAAAGATTTCTTGGGAGTGGAAAATGGACAAGCCCAATGAGTTAACTACATTCTTGCATTATGGATCAGGTCTCCAGTTTTGTTTTTTTTTTTTTTGTAAATCCCTTTTATCTCTAGTCCTCTCTTCAACCACAGGTAAATATTAAACAATGTTTTATGTGTATTATTTGTATAAATTCATGTAAAATATATATTTTATTTTGTGCAAGTGTCTTTAATTATGTAAAACTTCTTACTTGTGTCTTTGGTTTGGTACTTTGTTTTGATCCACCCATGCTGCTGTGCAACATGGTCTGCTGCTTCCAGCTCTCATGTATTTCATCCTCTGTGGTGTGCACCCTCCCTATTTTACCTTCCATCTTTTGCTCACAGTAGAGGACATTCAGATTTCTTCCAATTCCCCACCATCACAAACATCCACTTAAGGACCTGCTTGAGAATTTCTTTGGGGATAAATATCCAGAAACAGAATTGCTAGGTTCCAGGGTATGTAAACAAGTCCTATCAGACTGCTCACAATGGCAGCACCAGACAATCCACCCACCAGCTCCTCTGTCCCCACAACACTGGGCAATATTTGACATTTTAACTAGTATAATGTGATGTTCTCAGTGTTGTTTGAGCAATTCTCCACAGGTCTATTAGTCTTTTGAGATTCCTTTTCTATTATCAGTCTGTTCTTTCCCTTGGCCACACTTCTGTTGAAGTTCGAGTCTTCTTATTAACTTACAGGAGATCTTTGTACATTTTAGACATTAGTCCATCAGTTTTTTTTTTAATTTTTTTAAAAGTATTTTTAAAATTAAAATTTTTCTAAACATTTTTATCTTATTATTTATGTATTTACTTATTTTTTAATAGAGATAGGGTCTCACTCTGTCACCCAGGATGGAATGCAGTGGCGAGATCTCTTTTCACTGTAGTCTCAACCTCCTGAGCTCAAGTGATCATCACACCTCAGCTTTCCAAGTAGCTGGGACTACAGGCCCACACCATCACACCCAGCTAATTTTTATATTTTTTGTAGAGACAAGGTCTCGTCATGTTGCCCAGGCTGGTCTTGAACTCCTGGAGTCAAGCCATCCACTCACCTCAGCCTCCTAAAGTGCTGGGATTACAGGTATGAGTCACAATGCCCAGCCAGTCCATGAGTTTTAGATGTCACAAACTTCCTCTCCCAATGTCACTGGTCTGTTACCTTTAACCAGGGTAGGCCTTTGCTAAACATAAATGCTTACTTTTTATGTAATCAAAAAACTCTTTTTTTTGTTTTAAGGCTAATGTTAAGGGGTTTATTTTAGAAGTCCTTTTCCAACTCTAGATCACAAAGATATTTTCTTAATATTTGTTTTCTATCAAACTGAAAGTCTTACCTTTCCCACGTAAATTATGAATCTATCTGGATTCTAACTTTGTATGTGGAATTAGAGAACAATCCATTTTGTTTTTTTCCTTCAAATAGTAAACAGTTTTCTATCACAGACTGAAACAATCTATCCTCTCCTCCCTTGATTTTCGGTACCATCTTTGCAATATCAATCGTTTATACAATCACAAGTCTATCTCTATTCTGCTCCACTGGTCCGCTGGTCTGTTATTTTACCAATACCACATTGTTTTTATTATTATGGTTTTGTATTCCCCCTTATCCAATAGGGGAGAAGCTCACACTTTACTATTCTTATTTAAGGTTGTGAATCTTGGTGAAATCAAATGAATTTTAGATTGGCGTTACATTGAATTTACAGATTAAAGAGAAATTGCGTCTTTTTTTTTTTTTTTTGAGATGGAGTCTCACTCTGTCACCCAGGCTAGAGTGCAGTGGCGTGATTTCGGCTCACTGCAACCTCCGCCTCCCAGGTTCAAGCAGTTCTCCTGCCTCAGCCTCTCAAGTAGCTGGCATTACAGGGGTGCGCCACCATGCCCAGCTAATTTTTTGTATTTTTAGTAGTGACAGGGTTTCACCATGCTGGCCAGGCTGGTCTTGAACTCCTGACCTCGTTGATCTGCCCACCTCTGCCTCCCAAAGTGCTGGGATTACAAGTGTGAGCCACCACGCCTGGCTGAGAAGTGGCGTCTTTTTAATAAGTCATTCCGTCCAAGAGCATGGACTGTTTCTATTTTCATATCATCTTCTGTTTCATTTATTAGTTTAAAAGTGGTTTTCATAGAAGAAATATATATTTCTGGTTAGTTCCTACACTCTAGTTTTTGTTGCTATTGAGAACATCTTATTTTTACTTTTATTTTCTAGTTGGTACTGCTAGTGTAGAGACATTCTCTTGATCTGTGTTTATCTTGAATCATAACACCCCAGTGAACTCTTATTATTTGTTTCTCTGTTAATTCTGTTATATTTCTAGTATATGAGCATATTATCTACAAACAATGACACTGTTATCTCTTTCTTTGCAACTTTTCTTTTTTCTCTTCTTACATCATTGGTTATGATCTCTGGTATTTGACAGAACACAGTGATGAGATTAGGCATGCTGGTCTTAATCCTAGTTTTTAAATGAAATGCATCTGAAATTTCTCCAGTAAGTAAAGTGGTTTCCCTAGGTCTTAGTATATTACTTTTAACACATTAAGGAAGTTCCGTTCTATTCCTTGTTTGCTAAGATGTTTCTAAAAATTGTAATAAACTTCAAATATTTTTCCACATTAACTGAGATATCCTTTTTCCATTGTATTATTACATTAGTGAATTACAATAGATTTTCTGTGTCTAATATGGACATTCCTGAGATAAACTTGCTTATGATGTATCATTTTATTTTCTTTAATATCCTACTAGACCTCATACACTAATATTTAATATTTTATTAAGTATCTACATTCATACCTACATTCATCAACAATATTAGCCTATAGTTTTCCTTTCTTGTATTGTCTTTATCTGGTTTTGCAGTTCTTCCTGTTTCTTGCTTCTCTTATTGGGCAGATAAGAGAATATTTTTATTCTATAAATAGTAAGTAGTAATACATGTTAGAATGTTAGCTATCTCCTAATATTAACCTTTTTTGGAATAAATTAGGAGATGACTTTGTAACATGTAATAAAAAGAACAAAACCAGACAAAGAACTCTGAGTACTAACTAGCATTGCATACTATCTGAGAAGTCTTTTCATTCTGGCATTTAATTTGCCTAAATTTAATTACACCATCTTTCCTTGAAGAATCCAAGATACAGGCACAAGAATGTAACTCACCTGTTTAAGGCCAATAGCTAATTATTGGAGGAACTAGAAGCCAATCCTTCTGAAACCTAGCCCTAGCATTCCTACAAAAATGTATGCTAACAAATCCTAAATCTACTACCTCTAATTTGGTTGGTGATGGGTATATTCCATTTCAAGATAAAAGTAAATCAAATGTTTCTTTCTCACATACAATATACCCAAAAACCATGCTAAGTACTATAATGAATAGAAAATTTCAATTAAAAATATTTAATAAATATTTATTTTGCTAGGCAAGAATCTGTAATATCCAAGGCTCTATCTGTCCTTGAAACACCCCAGTGTAACCCACAGATCTATCTTCCATGGAATTTAACAACTCACCTTTCCCACAAGCTGTACAATTTCTGCCAGGTCTTCTTCTTCCTGCAGAATTTCCTTAGCTTTCGTCCTCAGAGGAACGAACTCTGTGAAGTGTTTGTCATAGTATTCATCCAAGGCACGCATATACTTGCTGTAGCTGATGAGCCAATTGACAGAGGGGAAATGCTTACGTTGAGCTAGTTTCTTATCTAAGCCCCAGAACACCTGATTAAAAAAAACACACACACAAAAACAGTAATTTTTCTCAAAAAACAAAGTTAAAAAATACCGAAGCATGTTTGTCCCAACTATGCAATTCTTTTTTTTTTGTTTTTGAGACAGAGGCTTGCTCTGTCACCCAGGCTGGAGTGCAGTGGCATGATCTCGGCTCACTACAACCTCCACCTCATGGGTTCAAACAATTCTCCTGACTCAGCCTCACCAGTAGCTGGGATTACAAGCATGCGCCATCAGGCCCGGCTAATTTTTGTACTTTTAGTAGAGATGGGGTTTCACCATGTTGGCTAGGCTTGTCTCGAACTCCTGACCTCATGTGATCCCTGGCCTCCCAAAGTGCTGGAATTACAGGCATGAGCCACCATGCCTGACCCCTAAATATGCAATTCTACAATTCACTGGTCAAATTATACATCGTTTTAGTATATACTAAGTAAAATTAAAACAGAATAAAACTTGCAGAAAATGACAATAATCTATTTCCTTTCATTTTCCAAGTGCATAATACCTACAAATCGAATTTAAAATTTACCTCTATTTTCTTAATACTGTGCCAAATCCAAAAGCAAAAAGAAAAATTAATTTACTCTTTTGAAAATTATTATGGTACAATAGAACCAGAAAAGGTTTATGTAGATCGAATACACACTTTACTTTGATTAAAAACCTCTAACTGGCCAGGCATGGTGGCTCACGCCTGTAATCCTAGCACTCTGGGAGGCTGAGGCAGGTGGATCACCTGAGGTCAGGAGTTCGAGACCAGCCTGGCCAACATGGCAAAACCCTGTCTGTACTAAAATACAAAAATTATCCGGGCGTGGTGGTGGCGCATGCCTGTAATGCCAGCTTACTTGGGAGGCTGAGGAGGAAGAATTGCTTGAACCCGGAAGATGAAGGTTGCAGTGAGCTGAGATCACGCCACTGCACTCCAGCCTGCATGATGGGGGTGAGATTCCATCTCAAAAAAAAAAAAATTTTTTTTTTAACTGTTCTGGGCCAGGCATGGTGGCTCACGCTTGTAATCCCTGCACTTTGGGAGGCTGAGGCGGGTGGATCACCTGAGGTCAGGAGTTCAAGACCAGCCTGGCCAACATAGTGAAATATTGTCTCTATTAAAAACACAAAAAATTAGCCAGGTGTGGTGGCGGGTGCCTATAATCCCACCTACTTGGGAGGCTGAGGCAGGAGAATCACTTGAACCCGGGAGGTGGAGGTTGCAGTGAGCTAAGTTTGTGCCATTGCACTCCAGCCTGGGCAACAAGAGTGAAACTCCGTATCAAAACAAACAAAACAAAAACATCTAAGTGTTTTGATTAAATTTAGTTGCCTATCATTCACAGGGCCAATCCAACAACAACTGACAGTGATTTTTGTAAGGGCAAACATTCACAGATATTCCATGCATTTCTAACTCTGTTCCCTCTTTCCCCATAATTTAAAACTCAAAATTTTAGCAAACGTTAAAAAGCTTGAGAGTTGTACATTTAGCCTCTGACATTTCCTTTTCTCTGATACTGTCAGAAACACAAGTAAATATTCTGTTTTTCCCACATGAATAATATACACATATCACTTTTTTTTTTTAACTATAGCTCTGATTTGTACACATCTTTTATTTGGGCTTCTTTTAATAGCCAAGCTGGCTACCTATCCACTAAAATTCATGTCTTGTCACTGGAAAGCAAATGCTTAGGCAGAAACTGCATTTTCCAGCCTTGCTTTCACCTGGATGTGGCTAATAGAATGAGTGGAGTGACTGTGTCACTTTTGAATCCAAGGTTCAAAAAAGGTGGGTATGCCTTCTCCACAAGGCCCAGCTCCCTTGTGTCAGCTAGATGCAGATGATCACCAGGCTAGGTGACAGTGGAGTCACAAGATGGAAAGAATCCTGGACTCAGAATTATCACTAAACAGAAGAGAGCCTTGGATCATACTGTGAAGTGAAATAACTTCTGGGTATTACACATTTTTGGGCCTCTTTGTTTCTATAACTAGGGTTACTATGACTTAAAGGATAATACTACTCTAATACTAATAAAATTTTTGCTACCTATATTTTCCACTTATATATTATTAAGTTTATTATAAATCCTATGTAAACAGCTAAGAAAAAAACAGACAGTATTAAAGGCTCTGTGTTAAGAGTGTTTCTAAACCAGACTTTACCATTGCCTATCCTTTAGAGACTAAATTAAATACTTCACAACGATTACATTAGATCGCATTAGAACAGCAGGGGCTGCAGAGAGGAGGAAAGGCTCAGAAGTTGACTATACTAGGGAAAGACATACCTGAACGATACCAAGAGTGGCAGATGTAACTGGATCAGAAAAATCACCACCAGGTGGAGAAACTCTAAATTTAAAAAAAATATGGTCATTACAAAAAAAATGGTCATTAGAAATGCTTATGAAAAATAACATATATATAAATGTTAACTTTTTTTAAAGTCGATTTTAATGTAAATAACTTTTTAATGTAAATAACTTTAGAAATGACCTTTGGAAAGAAAATCTTACCTAAAAATCTTAAACAAAAGCCAGTATTTAAGTTGTAAACAACAATAGAAACTACAGAACACCTTCTATTATGAGACATGAGATAGATATTTTATTATAATCAATTTTATTATTCTAATCAAATAGATGAAGCAAGGAGGAAACGCTCTAAGAAAAAAGTATGGCTTTATGTAGTGATCACGAATCTTCACTTTCTTTTTACCGTGATGCAATCTCACCTTATTATGTCTATAATTTTCTAAATTATAAAAATTAAATAAATATCTAAATTAAACATATAAATATATAAATTAAAGTCAAACCTATGGAACCAGGACATGTAGAAATTGCCTAAACATGTGCATCTTCAAAGAGCTCCTTAGGTGACTCTGGAGTGCAACCCTCCTTAAGAACCGCTGCTCCCAGCGGGAGCTAAATATTCTCTCTTTAAAATAAGTGACTTTTTTTCTCTCTTTAATACATCTGTGACTTTTTTCCTTTTGCAAAGTAAATAGTGTGGGTGCTTACGCTCCTACAATGCTGACACTCCCTTCTCTTTCAGGATTTCCAAGACATTTCACCCTGCCTGCTCGTTCATAAAACGAGGCCAGACGGGCACCAAGATAGGCTGGATATCCACTATCTGAAAAATGAAAAGAAATTTTAAAACAGAGTTTCTAAGCCAGCCCCGAAAATCCCATCAGTCTTGTTTACATGATAAGCAATACACAGACTTACCTGCAGGCATTTCAGCTAAACGACCAGAGATTTCTCTAAGGGCCTCAGCCCATCTAGAGGTAGAGTCAGCCATCATACTGACATGATAGCCCATGTCACGGAAGTACTCTGACAGTGTGATTCCTAAATTGGGAAGAATATTATTATAAGTTACAATGCTAGCATATAAAAATCCTGTTTTTTTCCACCCTTAAGAAAACCTTAAAGCAATAAGTACACAACGTAGACTGCTAGTGGCTCCCTCAAAGCTGCTCTTCCTCTTTTTCTGGGCACACACTGAATTGTTTCCTAGCATCCTGTGCACTTAGATATGGCCATGTAACTGATCTCTGGCTAACAAAACTCAAGTCAAAATAATGTGTTCTACGGTCAGGCAAGTCACACGCTCTTCCATACTCTTTCTTCCTTCTGGCCTACTGAAATGGAAAGAACTCCCAGTAGTCTTGGAAGCCATGTGTTGAAAATGGTAGAGCTCATTTCAGGCTGGATCATGGCTCAGAATGACAGAGTAAAGAGTGCCCTGAACACTTGAAATAAACATCTATTATATTGAGCAAATATATATTTGGAATTATTTGATGCCATAGCCTAGCTGGCCCTAATATAATGCACATTTTAGAAAGCAGGAAATGACTTTCTCTATTCTTTGTTGAAATAATTAAGTCTGAAATTAATTTTCAAATGTAGCTTCTCTCTATATATCACATACACACACACAAACATGTATGCATGCAAAAGTAACCCTTAACCAATCAGCTTGGGTGGTTACTTTTCAAAAGTAGCAAATGTTATTAAAATGAGTAATATCTTAATTGTCCAGATTATTCTGCTATGCAGATCAGGTCCTATCCTGTAAATTTAGACAGTAAACCACTTATAAGCAGCTAATATACAGAAACGAGTGTTGGGTTCTAGTTCCTATTCTGTCATTAACCTTAGCAAAATAACTTGATTTCCCAGTGTGGCTTCCTAACCTATTAAAAATGGAATAACGCCTGCCCTATATACTTGTATATATGGCAGATGAAGTGAATTAAATAAATGTCATCTAAAAAGTACAAAGCGCTATGAAACACTAAGATATTAGGAAAAATATATAGTTATATTATAAAAGTTCCAAAAGATTTTGGAACTTTTATAATGCCTTGGTTTTTTTATTTTACTGGTAAAGAAACAGAGGTTTATATAAGTAAAATTAACATAATTAGTGGAAAATTCAGTACTTTCCTATTTATCATATTGCATCTTTCAGAATAAAAAATACTGACTGTTCAGGCATCCATAAAATGGTCTCATGAAGAAAGTCTTTAGGAAACATTACTTATCAATATTAAGGCTTCAACAACACAATAATTACCACATATTCCAATCTAATAAGAACAGATTCTTTCTTATACAAGCATGCTGTGTTTTAAATCTGTGATGAAATGTCACAGATACTTGTGATATTAGAAAGAAATGGCAGAAAAGACAGATACATATGAGTAAGTGAGAATTCTCTGACAGACCTACAGGTATCAGTGCCTACAAGAAAAATATGCCTCAGACAAAATCAAGAGATAAACAAGCTGGGACATATTTGCAACTCATGACAGATAAAGGACGAATTTATTCATTAATCAAAGAGTTTCTGGCCAGGCGCGGTGGCTCAAGCCTGTAATCCCAGCACTTTGGGAGGCCAAGGTGGGCAGATCCCCCGAGGTCAGGAGTTCGAGACCAGCCTGGCCAACATGGTGAAACCCCATCTCTACTAAAAATACAAAAATTAGCCAGGTGTGGTGGTGGTGCATGCCTGTAATCCCAGCTACTCGGGAGGCTGAGGTTGTAGAACTGCTTGAATCCAGGAGGCAGAGGCTGCAGTGAGCCAAGATCGCACCACTGCATTCCAGCCTGGGTGACTGAGTGAGACTTTGTCTCAAAACCAACAAACAAACAAAAAAAAACAACAAAAAACCAAAAAGAGTTTCTAGAAATCAGTATGAAAAACAACTATCATCCAAAAGGAAAATGAACACAAGGCAGTTTTTAAATGGTTCATACACACAAGAAAGATGCTAGTTCATTGTTAAATACAGATTGAACAGGTATCTAATAAAGCAAGAATAGTTAAAATTTCAATTGTCAAATCTAAGTGCTGGGTACATGGTATTCACTGTAACATTCTTTCAACTTTTCCGTATCTTTGATAATTATCATAAGAACGTGTTGAAAAAACTAGCATTGGTGAAGATGTTGAGAAGCAGAAACTCTTGTCCACAGTTAGCCCTTTTGAAGGGCTATCAGAATGTAAAATAATAATTAGCAGCTGTATTGGCAGGAATTTTGCTTCTAAGAAATTACCCTAAGAAATGTACAAAGAGGCCAAGCATGGTGGTTCATGCCTATAATCCCAGGACTTTGGGAGGCCAAGGCAGGAGGATCTCTTGAGGCTAGAAGTTGCCCATCCTGGGCAACATAGTGAGACCCCCATCTCTACAGAAAATAAAAAAATTAGCCAGGCATGGTGGCTCATGTCTGTAGCCTCAGCTACTTGGGAGGCTGAGATGAGAGGATCCCTTGAGACCAGGAGGTCAAAGCTGCAGTGAGCCATGAACATGCCACTGCACTTCAGCCTGGGTGATAGAGCAAGACCCTGTCTCTAAGGAAAAAAAAAACATGCAAAGAAACATGCATGCAAAACATACAAAGAATAGTGTAAAAATATATGTTTAAGGATGTTTTAGTGCTGCCTATCGTAAACGACGATAAAGAATCCAATAGTCCACCAAAAAGATGCCAGTTAAATTGATTATGATATATCCATACAAAGGGATACTGTGCAGCCATTTAAAAGAATAAGGTAGCTTTCTTAAAATGGTAGATGAATATGTCACTGTCTCTTCCTCATAAAACTTACCTCCAAACAAGGAGAACAAGAAATACAGAAATACAAATTTAGTCATTAAAAACTAGGAGACATAGTCCCACAACAATATAATTTAAAAAGTCACCTAAATAAGGTGAAAACCAAATAAGGGTATGGAAAAATGCCAAGAATTCATCTGAGGCCATGCATCTCAGATAAAGCTTCTGCAAACTTGAAGGCACATCTTCAAGTGCCTTGTTTGTTTCCAAACAAAGCAAGAGTGCTTTGTTTGGAACACTGCAAAAAGCTACATGGCCAGTCGCAGGAAGGAGTTCCTTGTACTCAGTTTGGCATCAAAGAGAAGCAGGAAGATAGGGATGAATAAAACACAAGTAGGTACTCCCTATTTTCACTAAATGAAAAGTGGGTGAGACAGAGGAGAATTCACTGTGAATGGTCTTACAGCTGCTGATTTCTGGTATCAGGCAAGAAGAGTAAAATAGCTTTTTTACACAGCTGCATGCCATAATAAACTTCACAAGTTACCATGAAGAATTCCTGCTACCCTGGTACACAGTCACAGCCAGCCCTCTCATCTCCTACAAAGATGAGTAATAGTAATAATAAATATCAGTACAGGATATCTAAACAAAAATAAAATAAGGAAAAAGACAGAAGAGAAGAATACAATGATGGTCAAATAACTTGTCAAAGAATAAATGAAAACTGTGACCACAGTTAAAAAAAAAAAAAAACCCTAATAATGCAGCCTACTACAAAATAAAATCTCAAGGCATATGGAGTAAGATAAGAAGAGATACTTGATGAGCTGAAAGAACAAAAAGAAATAGAAGTGAAGGTTTCATTAGAAGCAACACAAAGAATAAATACCATTTATCCTGTGAACAGACACAAGGCTAAATAAAAAGGAGTAGAGAGGAAATGATGCACATGGAAAATAGATAACAAAAACCTAACATGTCTAGTTGGTATATTTGAAGAAGACAGCCATAATGAAAAAGTTTCAGATGCAATTTTCTAAATTTTTCCAAAATAAAAGACATATTTCATAGATGAAAAGGGCACATTATGTATCCAGAAAAATTTAATGAAACTATCAATATTGGAATATATCTTAATAAAGTTAAGAGACTTCAAATTTAAAGAGAAAGTCCTTTGGGAAAAGAGAAAAATCACCTACAAAAGGAAAAAAAGAGGCCAGCTTCAGCTTTTAATGTCCCCAGCATTTAATACTAGTTCTCACAGAAAGAAATATTGATCAAGAATTTTATACTCAGCCAAACTACTATTAAAGTTTAAAGGCAGTAGAAAAAAAATAAATTTATGAAGAAACAAGAATTCAGAGAACACAGTTGCCATAAGTCTTCTTGAAGAAACTTCCAAAAGTCAAATCTTAGCCAATCAAGAAATGGAGAAATTATAGCCAAGGGACTGTTGGTGAGCATTAACTCCATTTTAATGTAGGTCTACAGCTAATTCAAATATTGGCTTTATGGCTACAGAATAGAATGTAAGTTTTATAAATCCTGAAAATGTAGAAATAAAAGCTGGGATGGAAACGGAACCAAAGATGAAAGGTCATTAACACATGAATTGTCTTATCTTTTATATCCCCAGACAAAATATATTAATTCAAAGCTGATAATTCAAGTTACAAAGGTACAAGTATATTTAAAACTAGATCAATGATAAAACATGTAGTGAAAAAAGGTAGTATAAGATCATTTTACAGTCATTAAAAAGATTGAGACAGCTCTATAAATGTCTTACATTCACTTATTCTGAAGACATAGTAAGTAAATTTTTTTTTTTTTTTTTTTTTTTTTGAGACAGAGTCTTGCTCTGTCGCTCAGGCTGGAGTGCAGTGGCGCGATCTCGGCTCGCTGCAACCTCTGCCTCCCGGATTCAAGCAATTCTCCTGTCTCAGCCTCCCGGATTCAAGCAATTCTCCTGTCTCAGCCTCCCGAGTAGCTGGGATTAAAGGTGGCTGCCACCACGCCCAGCCAATTTTTTGTATTTTTAGTAGAGACAGGGTTTCACCATGTTGGCCAGGCTGGTCTCGAACTCCTGACCTCAAGTGATCTGCCGGCCTGGGCCTCCCAAAGTACTGGGACCACAGGCGTGAGTCACCATTCCCGGCCAAGTAAAATATTTTTTAAAAGCTAGGAATGTGCTTATATGTACAGAGATATTTTAGAATGAAAGTAAAAAGCTCTTTAGAAAAGTTTGGTGCTAGCTTTACACTTAAGAACAGATGTTAACTGCTTTTATTCCAATTATATACTCACCAGTATAAATAGAGGCTTCTCTAGCAGCAACAGGCATATTGGAGGTATTGGCTACCAAAGCTGTCCTCTTCATAATTGACTCTACCTTACCATCAACCTCCATTGTGAGCTAGAGGTAAAATATATATTAGTGAATCTCCAATTTCTAAGGTAACATTTTAGCCCTCCCTATTTTTCTTTTTTTTTTTAAACTTTTGCCCATATTTAATGCCTCTTACAATCAGTGTTCCTAAAGTAATATTCCCCACCACTCCAACCTCTCTTCTCTGCTCCACGGTGCTATGAAGAAGATAGACATTATTTCAATTTCATAAATAAAATAAATATTTTATGAAAAAAGAAATACTACTATAATAATCTAGATCATAAATCACACATAAAGTTCACATCTATAAATGTTTTATTTCTTTATTTCATCTTTCTCTCAATAAGTAAAAACCACCAGACCATAAAAAGAAACTTTCAAGTGTTTGGCTTAAGAATTAAAATTCCTGGCCAGGCACGGTGGCTCATGCCTATAATCCCAGCAATTTGGGAGGCTGAAGTGGGTCGATTATTGGAGGTCAGGAGTTCAAAACCAGCCTGGCCAACATGGTGGAAACCCCGTCTCTACTAAAAATACAAAATCAGCTGGGCGTGGTGGCATGCACCTGTAATCCCAGCTACTCAGGAGGCTGAGGAAGGAGAATCGCTTGAACCTGGGAGGTGGAGGTTGCAGTGAGCTGAGATGGTGTCACTGCACTCCAGCCTGGGCAAAAAGAGTGAAACTCCATCACACACACACAAAAAATTAAAATTCCTTTTCTTGAATATACAGATTAATTACAAATATAATTTTAAAATTCCTTAAAGATCCTTGACGAATGACAGCATTGCTCCAGACCCAACACAAAGCTTTATTAATTGTCAATGAACACTGATGAGTGGTATTTTCTCTAGGATATTATTTGAAGCTTTATACAGACCTCTGGGAAGTCCCGGAGGACTTCAGACATCTCATTTCCTCTTTCACCACATCCTACATAGATGATTACATCACTGTTAGAATACTTGGATAGAGACTGTGATATCACTGTCTTTCCACAGCCAAAGGCTCCAGGGATAGCAGTAGTTCCTCCCTGGACACACCTAAACAAAGAAAACAAAGTATGGATTACTTGACTTGCTAATAGATATTAATAAATAAAGTAGGGGCCGGGCGCGGTGGCTCACGCCTGTAATCCCAGCAGCACTTGTGGGGGCCGAAGCGGGTGGATCATCTGAAGTGAGGAGTTCGAGACCAGACTGGCCAACATGGTGAAACCCCACCTCTACTAAAATTACAAAAAAAAAAAGAAAAATTAGCCGGGCATGTGGTGGGTGCCTGTAATCCCAGCTACTCTGGAGGCTGGGACAGGAGAATTGCTTGAACCTGAGAGGTGGAGGTTGCAATGAGCCGAGATCGCGCCTTTGCACTACAGCCTGGGTGACGAGCAAAAAACTCCATCTCAAAAAAAATAAAAATAAATAAAAATAAAAATAAAGTAGGTAAGGAACACAAAAACACAAGTTAAAGAAAGAAAAAGCACTATGAAATATATTCAATAAACTGGAGAAGAGGGATATATGAAAAGAATAAGATAAAATAAGGCTAGGCACAGACGCTTATGCCTGTAATCCCAATGCTTTGGGAGACTGAGGTGGGAGGACCGCCTGAGCCCAAGACCAGCCTGGGCAAAAGAGCAAGACCCTGTCTCTATAAAAATATTTAGAAATTAGAAGGGCATGGTGGTGCATGCCCATGGCCTAGCTATTCAGAAGGCTGGGGCAGGAGGATAACTGGAGTCCTGGAGTTTGAGGTTACAGTGAACTATGATCTAGCCATTGCATTCCAGCCTGGGTCACAGAATGATAACCTATCTCTTAAAAAGCGAGAGACAGAGAGAGAAAGAGAGAGAGATAGGAGACGGTTTACGCTTTTTAAGCAGTCGTAGAAAATGGAAAGAGCAGACAACAAATTAAGAAAGATTGCTGGGCAGCAGAGAAAGCCCAGTTGATTTTATTTAGGTCAGTGCAAAAATAATGATATCGGTTTTTGCCATTACTTTTAATAGAAATCATCAATTTATGGTGACATAAATCTACTATTTTTTTAAAATTATACCACAATTCTTTATTTTTAAAAAGTTACACATGCAAATAAATTAAATACATCCTTTATGCTGGGAGATCTATTCCTGTGCATGCTTTTGGTTTATTGAGTGACATAATAAATTGCTTGGTAATAATTTATACTTGAATCATTTGAACTTTGTACATCACAAAATCAGTTTACCGTAAAATTATATAATTGGTTACAGAGAGGCTTAAGCCAAAAATAGACATCAGTTGAAAGCTACAGATATTGGAGTATTTACTTCTTTGCCATGAAACAGGGCATTTTCCCCCTGCTTTGTCATCTGAATTATTTAATAATTTTAAATCTAGAAGTAGATCCAGCATCAAACTTAAAGTTAGGTATTCATGTTGCTTGCTTCTCAGTTTGATTTATCCCAGGCATGGAGTTTGGGACTAAACTGATCCCCTGGATCCCGTGATGACTACAGAGATTTCCTTCACCAAAAATCAGATTAAAGCCTTGTTTCTGCAGAGCTATGAGTACACTACAGCACTTAGAAGCACATTCTGTACTATTTTCTTTCCCTCTTCCAAATGTTATCCCAGTTATTTGGGTGGGGCTTCTGTCTTGGTTCCCAGTCTAGAATAACTTAAGAAACATGGTGGCCGGGTGCAATGGCTCACGCCTGTAATCCTAGTACTTTGGGAGGCCAAGGCAGGTGGATCACTTGAGCTCAGAAGTTTGAGATCAGCCTAGGCAACATAGTCAAACCCGGTCTCTACCAAAAATACAAAAAATTAGCCAGGTGTGGTGGTGCATGCCTGTGGTCCCAGCTACTCAGGAGGGTGAGGCAGGAGGAGGATTGCTTGAGCTGGGAGGCAGAGGTTGCAGTGAGCTGAGATCATGCCACTGCACTCTAGCCTGGGCGACAGAGTGAGATCCTGTCTCAATTAAAAAAAAAAAAAAGAAGAAGAAGAAGAAACAGAGTTACATTGTTTTGGTACAGATTTTCTTCAGAAAATTTAATTTTTCCAGAAAAGTTTCAGAAATAATGCTTTCTGTGGGCAACCATGAAAAAAGTAAATGTTTTGGTACAGATTTTCTTCAGCAAATTTAATTTTTCCAGAAAAGTTTCAGAAATAATGCTTTCTGGGGGCAACCATGAAAAAAGTAAATCTTCAATGGTTTGAATTTATAATAAGTGCTAGCAATAGATAAAAATATTTAATTCACCATTATTACTCTAGATAAAATGTATTATAGTGTTAAACACATAAGCCCTTTATCTATAAAGATAATAAAAACATAAGCACATATAATAACTCTGAGGGAAAATCGTGGGACACATCTCAAACTTACGGAAAAAGGGCATCAAGGACTCTCTGGCCAGTCAACAGAGGATGATTGGCTGGCAGCTTCTCAGTGACAGGTCGAACTTGACGTACAGGCCATACTTGCACCATGGTGAACTTCTCCTTTACACCTTCAAATTCAAGCTCCAAGACAACATCCTATAGAAATACAGTAGGATTTTAGTATGGTCAAATTTGTGAACATTTCTTCCTTCAAAATCAAAGTAACCCGATTCTCCTTGGGGTTAGGAAGGTGATACATGTAAGTGCAAAGGGAGATTTATACTTTTTATTATAATTAATTATATATAGTCTTAGCTTTTTTTTTTTTTTAACCTGGTGCATTTATTACTTTTTTAATAATTACAAACAAAATTTCTGAGTTAGAAAGGAGTATATCAGACTTGTGACTGTAATCCCAGCTTCTCAGAAAACTGAGGCAGGAGGATTGCTTAAGCCCAGTAGTTCCAGCACCCCAGGCAACATAGTGACACCCCATCTCCTAAAACAAAAAAAAAAAAAAAAAGAAAGAAAGAAGTATATTAAGCAACAAAGAAATAGTTAAATATAAGTAAAGGCCTGTAATCCCAGCTACTTGAAAGGCTGAGGCAGGAGAATCGCTTGAACCCAGGAGGCAGAGGATGCAGTGAGCCGAGATCGCGCCACTGCACTCTAGCCTGGTGACAGAGCAAGAGTCCATCTCAAAAAAAAAAAATTAACTGGGCATGGTGGCATGTGCCCGTGGTCCCAGGTACTTGGGAGGCTGAGGTGATAGAACTGCTTGAGCCCAGCAGGTTGAGGCTACAGTGAGCTATGATTGCACCACTGCACTCCAGTCTGGGCAACACAGCAAGACCCTGTCTCAAAAAAAAAAAAAAAAAAAAGAAAAGAAAAAAAGAGAATTCAAATAATCCATTATATAATAATAATACTAATTATTTTTATTTTTTTGAGATGGAGTCTCGCTCTGTCACCCAGGCTGGAGTGCAATGGCACGATCTCAGCTCACTGCAACCTCCGCCTCCTAGGTTCAGGCGATTCTCCTGCCTCAGCCTTTCAACTAGCTGGGATTACAGGCGTGCGCCACCACGCCTGGCTAATTTTTGTATTTTTAGTAGAGACAGGGTTTCACCATGTTGGTCAGGCTGGTCTCGATCTCCTGACCTTGTGCTCTGCCCATCTCGCCCTCCCAAAGTGTTGGGATTACAGGCGTGAGCCTACATGCCCGGTCCCATTATATAATTACTATGTGAATATTGATACACCATTAAAATCAAAGTCTATTCTATGCCTAAACAACTAGGGCTTTAAATAAATGTAGCATCAGTTAATATGGTAGAAAACTGTTACATTTCTTTAAAAAGAAATACTATGTTCTGCTTTTTCATCCCTAAATCCAAGTTAAAAATAAACAAACAAAAACTTTCAAAAATTATAGGAGTTACTCAAAACTTATGTATTAAATATCAATTCTTTAATTACTTAGGGCACTAAAACTGGGCAGCTATCATATAGAAATAGAGGCACTCTGCAGGATAAAGTTCAAATGATACTTACAGAGGTATCATAATTCCCAGGTGGAGCAATGTAAGTTACAGTTCCTCTGTTTCGTGGGGGTAACATGATTTTGTGTTTGATAAGCGAGTTCTCACTGACAATTCCATAAATGTCTCCGCCAGTGATATGACTACCAACCTAGAGATAAATGTATTTGCTGTTTAATTTGCAAATAAATGTCAAGTAGACTTGCCCCTGCTGCTATAATTTAAATCAATTACCTGACTTATCAATAAAACATTAGTTCTAAAATCCCATGAAGTAGAGTTAAGAAAAACTTTAAACTATCCTTCTGTAGTCTATTTTTATTTGGACTAAGAGTACAATGTAGTTTACTAAACATTCATTTTATATTCTTTCAATAACTTCAGAAATTCTTGGTTACACAGACATACCCGTAGGTTTTTGCAAGGTGTAAAGTCCCATTTGATATCTCTGCTAAGAGCAGACACGTTTACTCCTCTGGGGATGTAGATGCTTTGGGTCTGACTGCTGATATCCGACAAAGGTCTTTGAATACCATCAAAAATGGCTCCCATAATGCCAGGACCAAGCTCTACAGAGAGGGGTTTACCAGTGCGAAGTACAGGATCTCCAACAGACACACCAGCTAAAAACAGCAGCTAAGGAAAACCTACTATGAAGGTTTAAAGACACAATTAACAGGAAATACCACAGTTTAACAAGGAAATGCCACTCAAGAAGTGAAAACGGAAGTTCCCAAACTTTCTCAGTTCACAGGATTCATAGTGTTTTCAGTAACTTCTTTCAGTGTCCCAGGACAAAAGATATATCTAACACTTGCATTTATTAAACAGTTATGTCTAAACAACCTAATATGTATATACGTCCTAACAACTGAGTAGCAATTTGAAAAAATATATGCATAAGTTGAAAGAAAAAATAATATTAATTTCAGTCCTAAATATCCATAATTCTCATGAATGTATATGCCCTTGGGGAACTATATAATTTTCCAATCTTGCAATCAGATTGGAAACTTGTTCCATTTTGATTGTCACATGATACCTGCTTTTGTAGCTTAGCAACTGCCAAAAACTCAGCTTTGCAAAGATATGACATCATTGACAAAAATATAGTACAGCAACATAATGAAACTGTTTATTATCTCAAGCTACTAGTTCATGTGGTGTCTGACAATATGTCTAACATTCCTGTGTTTGCCTCAAAAATTTTAAATATCCTGGCACCACATGAGTTTGCTGCAGCTTCTCAGAATGACTCTGCAAAGTTTGGGAACCACAGGGCTAAAAACAGAAGCAAAACTCCCTCATTAATACATTGCTTCACATATGCTGCTGAGGAATATCAGTCCCCTAATAAGGGTATTAGTACTTGGACAAAACCTAAAATCTTAAGAATAAAGTTATTTTGAAAACATACAAATAAGAATAAAATATATAAATAAGCATAATGAGTCCACTTTATTCTACACATTTGTTGACAGGAGTAAAATCAGTACAACTTTTCCTGAGAGCAATTTAGCAATATTTATCAAAATTCAAAATGGGTAAGTCGTGACCTAGGAATCCAACTTCTGTGAATTCTTACTATACTTACAATGTAGCACTGTTTATAACAACCAAAAACTAGAAACCAAAACTTCTATCATTAAGACATTGATAAGTAAATAATGGTACATTTATATGATGGAATTGTTATATGGCTGTAAAAAAAAGAACCAGAGTTATCATGAATTCCTCTAGAAATCTCTCTAAACTATGTATTTTCATTTCCAATTTTGATTATGAAAATTTTCAGAACAACAACAAAGTTGAAAGAATTTTACAGTGGACTCCCAGTCTCTACAAGCTAGGTTCTATATTTAACATTTTACTATATTTATCACATATCTATTTATCTTCTAGAATACACATACTTTTAAGTGAAAAAAAGCAAGGTGTATAACAGTACCTAAAATATGCTATCTTGGGAGGCCGGGGCAGGTGGATCGTGAGGTCAGGAGTTCAAGACCAGCCTGGCCAAGATGGTGAAACCCCATCTCTACTAAAAATACAAAAAATTAGCCGGGCATGCTGGCACGTGCCTGTAATCCCAGCTACTTGGGAGGCTGAGGCAGAGAATTGCTCAAACCTGGGAGGCGGAGGTTGCAGTAAGCCGAGATCATGCTACTGCACTCCAGCCTGGGCGACAGAGTGAGACTCTGTCTCAAAAAGCAAACAAACAAACAAAAAAACCATATATATATGTATATATATATATATGTGTATATATATACGTATATATATACACATGTATATATATATATAGAGAGAGAGAGAGAGAGAAAGGAAAGAAAAATACAAATATTTGTATTTGCTCATGTATGTAATTACTAAACTAGAAGGATATAAAATAAAGGGAGCTATAAATGTGGTTCCATGTGTGCATGGAGGTGTGTATGTGTTTTGATAAACGGCTAGATACAAGACAACAAAGGCAAGGAGGGTTGTCACTGTTTACATTTTCATTTATTTTAAATCTTCAAGCCATGAAAAAGATTAAACAGATTAAAAGATAAAAGTAAAAATAGAAAAAATATTTCTGATTAGTCACAATTTCATAGCTACAAAAACTTCTATTTTTATTTAAAATTTCTAGATGATTTTGTTTTAAATTGGCACCTAGTACTATAAAGAGACTAGTTATCTGCACGCATGTGTTTTAGAATGGCAAAAACGTCGTACCAAATAAATCTTGATTAAATACTCAAAGAATTAATGCTGATTTTGAGAATCAAAGTAAAACACATATAGAAGCACTAAAAAAGTGGTTCTTCTTCACTAGGCTTAACCCTTTATTTTTCATAGAAAATTGAAAATAAATACTATGTTTAAAAGCCAAAATTATGATAACCAAATAGTAAAGCTTTCCTAGTAATAAAACTGAAATGTAATATGTCACTCAGTGCTATCAAAAGAATGGTGACCGTTTTATTTGTGGACTTACTATTTTAAACTGAAATCATAATTAGAGAATTTTAACCTCACAAGTCAATATTGTTATTCTGTTTACGCTTTCTTCTACAATATGCGTCCCAATGAAGAAAAAATTCACTTGGTCCCCCTTAAGTTCATGAATTACTGAAGCAGTAAGAGCAATGAAAGTTCAGAAGATACTAATTTCTTAAAATAAGAGTACCAATTCATAGTACTTTTCTCTCTTTCTTTAACATACTCCTGCATAATTCAGGTCTCTTCACAACACCAGCATTTCATGCTTCTAATATCATTAGTTGTTGCTGCTTTGCTGCTTCCACCTTTGGCTTAAATCCTCAATTTTTTTTTTCTTTTCTGAGATGGAGTCTCACTCTGTTGCCCAGGCTGGAGTGCAGTGGTGCGATCTCTGCTCACTGCAACCTCCCACCTCCAGGGTGCAAGCGATTCCCCTGCCTCAGCCTCCCAAGCGGCTGGGATTACAGGCGCCTGCCACTATACCCAGCTGATTTTTGTATTTTTATTAGAGATGGAGTTTCACCATGTTGGCCAGGCTGGTCTCAAATTCCTGACCTCAGGTGATCCACCTGCCTGCCTCCCAAAGTGCTGGGATTACTTTGTGTGAGGCACTATGCCTGGCCTAAATCCTTAAATTTTGAAATATAGAAAGTGGCAGGAAATTGAGCCAAAAAGGATACAAGTTTCTTCATACACCTGAATAGTAGCCATGTCACCCTCCAATCGAATAATCTCTCCAACCAATTCGCTGTGGCCCACTCTCACCAGCTCATACATGGCTGCACCCGCCATGTCACAGGCTGTAACCACTGAAGAGAACAAAAGACTATTTTGATGACTTAAGACTCTAGTGCTCTGTGAATAGTCACAAATAATTAAAACACCCAATAAACCCAGTATTGTGCCTCTCTCATATATTCATAAGAAGGATAAAAACCTACTATGGAACATACTGGTAGTTTCACATAGATATATATTTTAGTGTATAATATAAAGAGGTAAGCCAAAGATTATTTATTTACATAATATACATGAAAACTTTTCAAACATTTCAAGTTCTGCATGGCAAACTTACCTGGTAGGATTCAGGTATGTTCTGAGAGTTGCTATGATACATGGAGTGAAGGCTTTGGAACAATAAAAAAAACTTTTAAAAGTAGAAATTGGAATAAATGGTTTGGCTAGTAGTATGGTAGAATGCCACACAATTATCACTTCGCTGTGCTGTTACCATTTCCTTTGAGAGACAGACCTAAAGCAACATGTTTACTTTCTAATAACTTATAGCAGTAGTTCTTAAAACTCTTCTGGGACATGGACCCTTTTCAAAAACTAATAATAGCTCTACTAGAAAAACTCACACACACATCTACAAAATTTTTTTCATAGGCCGTAAGGATATTTATAATCAGTCACCACCATTGGGTAAGAAATTGTCAATGGAATTCCATTTACTGAACTTACTATTTTGGACCATGTGGTCTAGTAAGCAAAAATTACTTTTCTAGCAGGGAAGGAAGGTTGCCATATTTTTAGACACGTGTAAGAATAAACCAATTTTTAATATTTAGCCTTCTGATACAACTGATTAGAACTATGTTATAGGTAATACTTCAGTGGAAACTATTAAAGCTTTATGAGTTAATTAACCTGTGTAAAAACAATGAAGACTTATTCATTCTATAAATATTTACCTCTATGCCGACTACTTAAGAATTAAGATGCACTGAAATACCAGAGATAATGAAATTTAAAAATCATATTTCATAAGCCAAAAAAGGATGCCATTGTTCCATTACCTTATTAAGTACTTAAGAATTAAAAATTGCAGGAGGCAAGGGGAGGGAGAGCATTAGGACAAATACCTAACGCACGTGGGGCTTAAAACCTAGGTAACAGGTTGATAGGTGCAGCAAGCCACCATGGCACATGTATACCTATGTAACACACCTACACTTTCTGCACATGTATCCCAGAACTTAAAGTAAAATTTAAAAAAATTTTTAAAATAAAATAAAAATTGTTTCCAGGAGCAGTTTACTACACAGTTTCACAGAATATTTTTTCCTAAACTCTCTGATGTTCTTTTGCCTTTTCTCTAAAGGTTCTTGGGTTTAGTCTGTCCATCCTGAAGACCCTTATGATCATTGAGAGGACAATTATTTCTCTGCATGGCAAAAGATACTGATAACCTTTTAATGACCTGCCAATGAAATCAAGCTCAAACACCAAGTTCTTGGGGGAGAAAAAAGAGGCACAGTGACTGACAGTCTTCATTTGCGTAAACATCAAAAAACTGTCATCACCACTACTCTAACTAGAACAAGAAAAAGACTATATAGCATGAGGTTTTAAGGATAATACATCACTGACCAGGTTTTACTTAGAGAAACTGTGACTGTGAATCACATTGTGTAGTGGGAGTATTCAATAACAAAACAAATACTGGCGTAAGATTTATTATTTAAAAAGCAGCACTCCATGTTTTGGCAGAATGGACATAAAGTTTGGGTCCTAAGACTTCTTTCCCACAGGTAGTTAATAATGTGACACTTAAAATAACCATTCAAAAAGTTTCATAAATGCAAAGGGCAAAAGCTAATATTGCTGAGAAATGCTCTGAGCGTTTGAATTATTAAAGTTCAAAGCAAATTAACATTTACTGAATGCCTGCTATATGCAAGGTATTACATATTAAAAGCTATAAACTTCATAGTTTATTTACCTCAAATTTAACAAAAAATTAAGACATATAAAACTGAACACTGGTTGAACATTTACATAATTATAAACAGGATATCACAAAGTAGTACCTCAATAATTATAAAATTTAGATAATCAATGCTAGATGAGCCCTTATGACAGAGATTCTACTTCGGTCTTATAGTCACTATGAGATCGCCTAAGGACAAACAGAATTTATGCAGGTAAACAGAAAGTTGTATATTTCTATGTAAAATATTTTGAAAAGACATTAATCAAAGTTAGATATCCTTATTTTGAGATTATGATGTATTACTTACCAGGTCCTGAGACCCCATGCACATAACCAAATGTGCTTTCTTTATCTTCATCGAGTATTTTGGGTAGCTTGGAAAAATCCATAATGTTAGTTTACCTATAGTAAATAAATAAATAAATAAGTTATAATTATAAACCGTAAAGCAAAAGACCCAAAATATAGGTAGTCCACTAAGATGAGACCACTCTCATCTTTGGTGTATTCTTGAGTTATTATACTTCTTCAAAGTAGAATAAAAAAATTCCTTTTCTTAATTTAAAAAAAATTTTTAAGAGGCTCTCTGTCACCCAGGCTGGAGTGTGGTGGTACAGTCATAGCTCACTGCAGCCTCAGACTCCTGGACTCTAGCGATCCTCCTGCCTCAGCCTCCCAAGTAGCTATGACTACAGGTGTGTACCACCATGCCCAACTAGTTTTTTGTTTGTTTGTTTGTTTGTTTTTTTGAGACAGAGTCTAACTCCACCACCCAGGCTGGAGTGCAGTGGAAGGATCTCTGCTCACTGCAACCTCTGCCTCCCGAGTTCAAGCAATTCCTGTGCCTCACCCTCCAGGGTAGCTGGAATTACAGGTGCACGTGACCATACCTGGCTAATCTTTGTATTTTTAGTAGAGACAGGGTTTTGCCACGTTGGCCAGGCTGGTCTCAAACTCCTGACCTCAAGTGATCCACCCACCTCAGCCTCCCAAAGTGCTGGGACTACAGACGTGAGCCAGCCACTGAACCCAGCCAAAATTCCTAAAATGTAGTTAAAAGTACCCTATTCCTGGATGCTGGATGGTTTTATCACAACTGAATTATATCTCTATGTGAGGTATTTCATAGGAAATATCGATAACTATAACAAAAAATGTGAAGTCTTTTCAATAACTTATCCACCCCCACAACAAGCCCATCCTCAATGACCTCTCTGACTTATCCAGCTACTCTTTCACTTAATCATGCTGCAGATACACACTGAACTCTTTGTCAGCTCTCAAAAACACAAGCACATTCTACCTCAGGGCCTTTGTACAGGTTGTTCCCTCTGCTTAGAATGTTATTCTCCAAGGTATCTGCTCCTACACCTCCTTCAGGTCTTTTTTTCTAACACAGTCTGTCTCCGTCGATTTGGCAGGAGTGTAATGGTGTGATCATGGCTCACAGCCAACTCAACTTCCTGGGCTCAAGAGATCCTCCCACCTCATCCTCCCTAGTACCTGGGACCACAGGTGTGTCCTACCACACCTGGCTAATTTTATTTTCTGTGAAGACAGGATCTCAGTATTTTGCCTAGGCCGGTCTTAAACTCCTGGACTCAAGTGATTCTCTGGCCTTGGCCTCCTGAAGTGTTGGGATTACAGGTGTGAGCCACCATGTTCAGCACTCCTTCAGATCTTTACTCAAACATCACCTTCTCCATGAGGCTTCTCTGTCCATTTATTTAAAACTGCAACATCCTTCCTCCTTCCCTATTTTATACCATAGCACTTTTCACAATGTAACAAATGATATATTTTACTCTTTAAAAGTATTTATTTATTACCTATCTTTAAATTTTAACTATGAGTGTTTTTCCTTTTTTCTTTTAGTGGAACACACAGAATAGTTTAAGAAATTCATTTCAACCTCTTTGTTTATTGATATACAATTTAAAAAACAGGAACTATCCAAGTTCACATTGAAAACTGGTAACAGATGCCAAAGGAGAAAGTTTATTTGTGACTGCTGATCTACCTTAATAACTATTACCAATTTAATGAGGGAGATGAAATACATGTACACATGAAAAGCTAAATAATGTCCAAAATTAACCACAAAGAGTCATAGATCAATAAGTGATAAAGTACCAAATAATATACCCTTATTTACTAAAAGTTCAAAGATTAGAATGTTTAGAGAAGATACCTTGAAGGTCAGGTAGAATTTGCACACAGTAGAAAAAGAAAGGTAGCAAAGACACTGCAGAGGGTAGCGGGGGTGCCAATAACAAAAGAATGGAGAAAAACATTCAGGAATAGTGAACAGACCAGCCTGACTGGTATAAAGACTATATTAGAACAGCAGTGAGAAATAAGGATGTAAGGGTAAAGACTGATTTGTGGATCTTGAACTGACTGCCAAAATAACAAGTGGACTTTATCCTATAAACACAAGGAAATCACTGAAGATTGAGGGAGAACTATTATGAGAAGAATGGTGTTCAACTACTTTAACAGAATTAAAGTAGGGGAGGCAGGATAAGTCGAAGAAGCTCTGGAAATACGTAAGGCTTGAATGTCAATGGAATTCCATTTATTATATGTTTACAGAGCTTTTGAAGCTTTAAATAGCTATATAGCAAAACAAAATGACTTAAATGCTCAATTGAGGTGCAAACACCACCTTGGGAGCACAGGAGAAACTGATTCCAACTTGCAGAAGTGTACACCAATGTGGATGAAATATAGTGAACAGGGAGCTGTAAAGTAAGTTTTTGTTTTTGTTTTTTTGAGACAAGTTCTCGCTGTCACGCAGGCTGGAGTGCAGTGGCGTGATCACGGCTCACTGCAGCCTTGACCTCCTGGGCTCAAGTGATCACCTCAGCCGCCCCCGTCCCCACCCCACCCAGTAGTTGGCATGACAAGCACACGACACCACATCCAGCTAATTTTTACATTTATTGTAGAGACAGGGTTTCACCATGTTGCCCAGATTGGCCTCAAACTCCTGGGCTCAAGTGATCTGCCTGCCTCGGCCTCCCAAAGTGCTGGGATTACAGACATGAGCCACCGCGCCTGGCAGAAATTTATTAGGATTTTTGGCTTCCTGAAAATACAGTAGAAGAAGCCATTAAGAGCAGGCATGGGACTGTAAAACATTGGAATCTAAAGAGACAGAACAAGACGTTCTAGAAACTATGAGATAATACGGGGGAAAACAGAAAGAAGATTTAAAGACAAACATATTTAATTGGACAATAGGTTGGGAAAAGTCTTCAAAGAAGTAGTGAACAAGTGAATGAGGTGAAATTTCAATCTTCAGAAAATCAAAGATTTTCAAAATCAGAGAAGAAACTGACAATCATACACAGTCTAAGTTCCTCCCCACATATGGGTATTTCCTCTATAGCATTCATGATACATGGTCATCTGCCTATTAAAGTGGAAACAGCATGAGATCTTGGGTCAGCAGACTTGGGATCACATCCTGGTCCTACCAATAACATGCTGCAGAACATCTTGGACAAATCAAAATCTCTTAATATCTGCATTTGAAAAACAGTAATAATGCTACCACCTACCCACCAGACTTGCGATTGCATTACAAATTTCCTTAAATGTTCCTTGTGTCTGGGTGCAGTGGCTCATGCCCATAATTCCAGCACTTGGGGGGGCCGAGGTGGGCAAATCACTTGAGGTCAGAAGTTCGAGACTTGCCTAGCCAACACGGCAAAACCCTGTCTCTACTAAAAATACAAAAATTAGCTGGGTGTGGTGGTGGGCGCCTGTAATTCCAGCTACTCAGGAGGCTGAGGCAGGAGAATTGCTTGAACCCGGGAGGAGGAGGTTGCAGTGAGCCAAGACTGCACCACTGCATTCCAGCAGGGACAACAAAAACAAAACTCCATCTCAAAAAAAAAAAAAAAAAGTTCCTTGTGAAATGTAATACGCTTACAAAAATGTCATCAGTTACACTATTTGAATATAGGTCCTGAATTTGGAAAAAGCCATTCTGTTTTTAGAAATACTATCTCACATCCAACCTAAATCTACTTCCCTTAACTTCAATCCTTTGGCCCTATTTTTTCCAATTACTATAGCCACACAAAGTATGTTTCCTCTCCAAGCACATTCTCTTTAGTGCCTTCCATTGTCCCTCAAAGTATAATCTTTTCAGATCCCTCACTCCTGAGACTACCCTTTTCTAGAAGTATTTCACAAGGTCAATATTTCTTTTAAATAGTACAAATAAAAAAACGTTCTACATGCTGTATGAGTGAGTACTGAAGAGTACTACTTCATCTATTCTGAATGCTGCTTTTTTTTTTTCTTTTCTTTTTTTTTTGAGACAGGGTCTCACTCTGTCACCCAGGCTGGAGTGCAGTGGTGCAATCTCGGCTCACTGCAACCTCCACCTCTGAGGTTCAAGCGATTCTTGTGCCTCAGCCTCCTGAGTAGCTGGGACTACAGTGTGTGCCACTATGCCCAGCTAATTTTTGTATTTTTAGTAGAGATAGGGTTTCACCATGTTGGCCAGACTGGTCTTGAACTCCTGACCTCAAGTGATCTGCCCACCTGTAATCCCAAAGTGCTGGGATTACAGGCGTGAGCCACCGCACCCAGCAAATGCTTCCTTTTATTGAGAGACAAATGCCACGGTTTGAAGACTTTGAATTTATAAGTTGTGTCCTTAGGCAAATCAAATTGTTTCATCCTTTTGAGCCTCAGTTTCATCTGTAAAATCTAATGGGGTTTTTGTGAGGCATCTAACAGTATGCCTAACAGAAAAGTAATACTGATGACTACTAATTTTATTCTATTAATATAAGCTAAGATTGCCTTTTTTCTAAAGTGTCCATTTCTAAAGTGTCCAGTGATTCTTACCTCGCTACCAAATCTAGTTGTTCTTATCTTGAACCAAATCTAGTCTCTTAGCTAGTTTTTTTGGAGTTCAGAGAATATACAAGAGCATACCAAGAAATTTCCCTGTTTACGGTAGACTGCTATAGCATCCTGTTTCTTGTTCACAATCTGGGATGGGGTAGATAGTTCTTATCTTGAACCAAATCTAGTTGCTTAGCTAGTTTTTTTTTTTTCCTAGTTATCAGGTGCATTTTATCATAACTTTATTTTCTAAGACCAACTGTATTTTTTTTAAGCATTGATGATGTGCCAGCTGCTGTATTATAGATGGAAAATATAATGAAGTAAGACACAATCTTTCCCCCAAGGATCTTCTGGCATAGTGGAATGAAAAGACAAACAGGTAGTTCTTATAAGGTGACATATGTGCTCTCTTAGAAGTACTATAGGCTGGAGATTTAGAAGAGCATAAAGCAATGGCATCTAACCTAGAGTTGGGCAGGATGAAAGTCACTTAATAGGAGGTTAAGCTGAGACTTGGAGGGATGAACAAAGAGGCATCAGAGTATCTAGTAAAGCTTCCCTACAGATGGTTGAAACCTGTGGTTCAGGACGGTATTCTAAAGTTTATGAGGGAATAATGATGTCTGTTCTGATTTTTTAAAACAAGTATTTATTTACATACTTTCCCTTTAAGACTTAAACAGTGCATGCCTCCAAATGTATGAGCAATGATTAGCGGAAACCAAATGGGTTTGTTCATGATCCAGCAGTCTTGTGGGTTTAGCAGTCAGCTGGAAAATCCTAGCCAGCATGAAAATTTTAATGATTCTATAGTTTTTAACTCTAATTTTTAGGCACATATTATTTAATTTATGCCAAAGACGGCACACTTTAGGAAGTGACATCATACTAATAAGAGAACCTAGAGTCCTAGTGATAAGTCTACAAATTTACTTAAAGATAATTGTCACTAGATCCATAAATTTGCATTAATTTGGTGAATATTCTTGTATTAGCAAACCAAGATGACTGTCCTTTTTAAAAAGCCAATATTGGCCAGGCACGGTGGCTCACACCTGTAATCCCAGCACTTTGGGGGGCCAAGGCGGGTGGATCACGAGGTCAGGAGTTTGAGACCAGCCTGACCAACATGGTGAAACCCCGCCTCTACTAAAAATACAAAAAAATTAGCCGGGCGTGGTGTCGCGCACCTGTAATCCCAACTACTCAGGAGGCTGAGGCAGGAGAAGTGCTTGAACCCAGGAGGCAGAGACTGCAGTGAACCGAGATCGCACCACTGCACTCTAGCCTGGGTGACAGAGTGAGACTCCATCTCAAAAAAAAAAAAAAAAAAAAAAGCCAATATTAAGTGGAGAAAAAAATGATGATGATTCTGATTCTGAGTAATTTAATCTTCTCTACTCCATAGTGTTTATACAGAGAGGTGGTTGTAAATACATCCTGAAATCTGCTCTTACCACATCTTTCATAATAATTATGAAAACACGAGTTTTAAAGTGTAAACTTCCAAGCATTTTTGTCCATTTGGTTTTTTTTTTTTTTTGAGATGGAGTCTTGCTCTGTCGCCCAGGCTGGAGTGCAGTGGTGCAATCTTGGCTCACTGCAAGCTCCGCCTCCCAGGTTCACGCCATTCTCCAGCCTCAGCCTCCCGAGTAGCTGGTACTATAGGTGCCTGCCACCACGCCCGGCTAATTTTTTTGTATTTTTAGTAGAGACGGGATTTCACTGTGTTAGCCAGGATGGTCTCGATCTCCTGACCTCATGATCCGCCTGCCTTGGCCTCCCAAAGTGCTGGGATTACAGGCGTGAGCCATGGTGCCCAGCCCCATTTTGATATTTTAAAATATTTACATTTTAATCTGCTACAGCAACATGGATCTTTTATATTTCCTGTGCTCCTCCCTAGAATGTTCTTTTCTCCAGGATTCATTTCTTCACATCATTCATGTCTCTGCTCAAATATCCCCAGTCCAAAAGCACTCCCATAGTGATTACTGAATAACTAACAGCTGTCAACCCTTCAAGGTCAGCCTCAGATGCAGAGTGCTGCCTTGCCTGCATTCACACCACTTGCAGGGCAGTGTGCACCTGCTGAATGGACACAATGGAGGTACAAAGGCCCAGCCATCTCAGCCTGATGCAGGATACTCTCACAAGCAACAATCACTCCAGATCTCTCCCACTAGGTAACTGAGGCTCTGAGGGACTTGCACTGCATTTCAACTTCTTCCTCTGCCCAACTCTGCTTCCACCCACTTCCTTTCAAATGTATTGATCCAGGTAAACATCGAAGTGAATAACCACTCCTCTATCTACCCCATCCCAGAATGTGACCAGAAACAGGATGCTATAGCACTCTACCGTAAGCAAGGAAATTTCTTGGCATGCTCTTGTATATTCTCTGAAATCCAAACAAGTTTTATACTCTACTTCATCTCATACAATAAATTTTATAAGAAAAATATGTACCTTATAAATATATACACTTATGTATCCATAAAAATAAGAAACTGAAAAAACTAAAGAAAAAAAGAGGCCGGGCGCGGTGGGTCATGCCTGTAATCCCAGCACTTTGGGAAGCCGAGGCAGGCGGATCATGAGGTCAGGAGATCGAGACCATCCTGGCTAACATGATGAAACCCCGTGTCTACTGAAAATACAAAAAATTAGCCGGGTGTGGTGGCAGGCACCTGTAGTCCCAGCTATTCAGGAGGCTGAGGCAGGAGAATGGCCTGAACCCGGGAGGCGGAGCTTGCAGCAAGCGGTGATCACGTCACTGCACACCAGCCTGGGCGACAGAGCGAGACTCCGTCTCAAAAAAAAAAAAAAAAAAAAAAAAAAGAGAAAAATATGCAAGTGTTTTTTCCCCACAGTGAAATAAAAATTACTCATCAGGTAGACATACTATGGTGACCTGATGACTGAATAGGGCTAAACATATAGCATTTTGGTAAGCATGGTCATACAACATACTAATTTGTTTATAACTCTTCTTTATTATCTGTGAATAGTTAAAAATATCCCATTAAAATCTTCTGCTTCATCATTGAATGCTTACGCCTCTCAGTGAAAAATAGGCTTTTAAAAATGTTAAAACAAACTCCTAGAACACCAACTTTCAATAAGCAAATTATACTGCAAGTTAGATTATATTCAAAGTTAATTTTTTTTTTTTTTTGATGGAGTCTCCCTCTGTTGCCCAGGCTGGAGTGCAGTGGCATGATCTCGGTTCGCAGCAATCTCCGTCTCCCAGGTTCAAGCAATTCTCCTGCCTCAGCCTCCCGAGTAGCTGGAATTACAGGCATGCGCCCCCACACCCAGCTAATTTTTTTGTATTTTTAGTAGAGACGGGGTTTCACCTTATTGGCCAGGCTGGTCTTGAACTCCTGACCTTGTGATCTGCCCGCCTCGGCCTCCCAAAGTACTGGGATAACAGGCATGAGCTATCACGCCTGGCCTGAAAGTTAATTTTATCCCAAATCTCTATAAGGTCCAAACTATGATATGATTTAATGCTACATAAAATAGCTTTACAGGCTATTTAATAACTCCTTCTTAAGACAATATACAGCTATTGATTTTCTTTTTTTTTAAGACAGAGTCTCAGTCTGCTACCCAGGCTGGAGTGCGGTGGCACGATGTTGGCTCACTGCAATGTCCACCTTCCGGGTTCAAGCGATTCTTGTGTCTCAGCCTCCCAAGTAGCTGGGACTATAGGCACGAGCCACCATGCCTGGCTAATTTTTTGCATTTTTAGTAGAGACGGGATTTCGCCAAGTTGACCAGGCTAGTCTGGAACTGCTGACCTCAGGAGATCCACCCGCCTTGGCCTCCCAAAGTGCTGGGATTACAGGCATAAGCCACCGTGCCCGGCCTATACAGCTATTGTTGTTCTCCAACATTTAAAAAATAAAAGCATGAGGCCAGTCTCGATAATTCATGCCTGTAATCCCAGAACTTTGGGAGGCCGAGGCAGGTAGGTTACTTGTGGTCAGGAGTTCAAGACCAGCCTGGCCAACATGGTGAAACCCTGCCTCTACCAAAAAATACAAAAATTAGCCAGGTGTGGTGATGCAAAACTGTAGTCCCAGCTACTTGGGAGGCTGGAGGAGGAGAAATGCTTGAACCCGGGAGGTGGAGGTTTCAGTGACTGGAGATTGCTCCACTGCACTCCAGCCTGGGTGACAGAGTGAGAGTCTCAAAAATAAATAAATAAATAAATAAATAAATAAATAAATAAAAGCAGGAATACTTATTACATACTTTGATGAAAGCAGTGTGGTATACACAGATGCACTCATAGAAAAATCAAATCAATGATTATATAAAAATGTTGCCTTTAGCTGTTTTGACTTCAACTGTGTTTAAGGATAAAAAGTAAATGCAACTTACAACTAAGATTCTTTGGTTACAAATTATAGCAGTGCCCCTCCCTACCCAATTTGTGAAAGATTTAAACAAAAACCAAAACCCTGTGGTAGAAGAGGAAAAATCCAGAAAGGCAGCATAGGCAACTGATCTGAGTTAATGAGTCATCAGCCTCTCCCCAACAGGCACTGCAGAACACTGCAGTGGCAAATAACACCAGAGGAAAAAATTTTTTTCCTATAAAGTCCACTCCAAATTGCTGCTGGTTAATGCAACTGGTAATTTCATTATTTCAGAAATTATTCTTTTTATTACCAAAGTCTTGGATGATATGGCTGTTGGGGGCAAAGGGGAGGTGATATATAAAAGTTAAACACTAAGATTCCAAGGTAATATTTACTCACATACAAAATCCTGGGGCACTTCATTGATAATGAAGCATTATTTTGATGTAACACTTGTTACATTAGAGTGTAATGAAAAAATACATTCTATCTAATTGATTAAAGACTATCTCTGGAAATCACAGATTTTTTTTAAAAAAGATTCAGAAGAATCTAATGGATTATAACCAATTACTTATTTTCACACACTGTTAATCTTTTTAGAGAAAGGTATCTTAAATCTGTTTAATATTTTTATGTTTGGTCAGAAAGTTATAGAACAGGTGGAATTCCAACAAATAACATTACCTGATCATACTTTTAGAGTATAGTGCTAGTCATTTTGTGACACTCTCTATTCATCTCCTTCAATCCACCTACCTAGCAATCCTATTAGAATGGCTTATGTGGCAGATTTATTTCACTATGTATATTTAGTTTCCTGATTTTTCCTTGCCAACCAAAAGCCAACTTTGTTCAAAATTTGTTAAGCCTATTATTGTAATTCCAGTTCCCTCGACTGCTTTGGAAATAAGCACATAATAAATGATGTTCTAACCATAAGAATTAAGGCAAAATCTGTTGGAGACCTTCTGGAAATAATTTCTTTGTTCTTTTAAAAGATGCAGGCAGCTGGGCACGGTGGCTGTAATCCCAGCACTTTGGGAGGCCAAGGTGGGTGGATCACATGAGGTCAGGAGTTTGAGACCAGCCTGGCCAACGTGGCGAAATCCCATCTCTACTAAAAATACAAAAATTAGCCAGGCATGGTGACGTGCGTCTGTAGTTCCAGCTACTTGGGAGGCTGAGGCAGGAGAATCACTTGAACGTGGAAGGCAGAGGTTGCACTGAGCCGAGATTGCGCCACTGCACTCCAGCCTGGGCAACAGAGTGAGACTCCATCTCAAAAAAAAAAAAAAAAAAAAAGATACAGGCTATGAGAAACAATACTCTCCTTTGGGATTTGGTCATCTGCCTGGGACATCTGGAACTGCGGCAGCCATATTAGGACCTTGAGGGAGCTAAGCAGGCAGCCCACCTTGCTAAGGATGACAAAATAGAAAGACAAAAGACATCTGAGTCCTTGTTGCCTTTATTGGCACACTCAATTAACCAACACAACAAGAAAGGACTTTGAAAAATAAATATTTTTATATTGTACATATTTCATAGTGCTTTTTAAAAAAATAAACCAAAAGGTTAAGAATATACATAAGGTCATCAATGAAGTAATCCATAAGAATTACTAAGGTGGACTACAATGAAATGTGTAGACAAAAGCAGGAATCAAAGAGCAGAGAACAGCAAAGTCACAGATGGCAAACTGGACTAACAATCAGGAAAAACTTATTCTTATTGGAATAAAATTATCTGAGGACACACACACACTCTTCTATTTTAACTGTATATCAAAACTAAGGCATTCCTGAAAAAGAAATAGTGAAGATAAAACGCTAGGGTGGACACTTAAACTGGGAATGGAATTTAAATTGTGTCAGCTAAACACACTTACAGTTCATCAACAAGCTTGTCCAGAAATGATTTTTATGTCACTTTTAGAAATGGATTACTTTCCAGCCAGGCACGGTGGCTCACATCCCAGCACTTTGGGAAGCCAAGGCCAGTGGGTCACGAGATCAGGAGTTCAAGACTTGCCTGGCCAAGATGGTGAAACCCTCTCTCTACTAAAAATACAAAAACATTAGCTGGGCATGGTGGCAGGTGCCTATAATCCCAGCTACTAGGGAAGCTGAGGCAGAGAATTGCTTGAACCCAGGAGGCGGAGGTTGCAGCGAGCTGAGATTGAGCCACTGCACTCCAGCCTGGGCGACAGAGCAAGACTCCAACTAAAAAAAAAAAGTAGATTCCTTTCCCTTCAAATTTTTACAAATAAAATTGTGCAATATTGGGTGAAACAGTAACAAAATACTGTATTGAGTGTACAAGTTCCACAATATCAATGTATACGCTAGAAGCCTATGGTCAATGGTAAAACTGATGTACGGATTCAAGTATCCCTGCCCTCAAAGTGCGTATTATATCATTTTCCTACTTCCTCCCTTCCATATGGCATAGTGTCTTATACAGCAGTAACTCAGTAAAATGTTCTGAAATTAAAAACAGATAACATCAGGCTGGGCGCAGTGGCTTACACCTGTAATCTGAGCACTTTGAGAGGCTGAGGCAGGTGGATGAGGTCAGGAGTTGGAGACCAGCTTGGCCAACATGACAAAACCTGGTCTCTACTAAAAATACCAAAATTAGCCGGGCATGGCGGCGTGTGCCTGTAATCCCAGCTACTCGGGGCGCTGAGGCAGGAGAATTGCTTGAACCCAGGAAGCTAAGGTTGCAATGCGCCAAGATCACGCCACTGCACTCTAGTCTGGGCGCCAGAGCAAGACTCTGTCTCAAAAAAAAAAAAAAAAAAAAAAAGACATAACATCAACTACTATTTGTTAAGTACATATCACACTCCAGGCATTATGTTAAAAAAAGCAAACATCTCTTTAATTCTTAACACTAGTCCTATGAAATAGGTATTATTTGATTAAGAAATAGGGGACAGAACTAAAGAGTGATGATGCCCAGATTTGGTCTGGTCACAACACCTAGGTATGTAATAAATAATTCAAAACACCTTACTTCGACAGTAGTTTTCACCTTTAGCTATTAGGCTGCTGCAAAAGTAATTGCTGTTTTGCCATCGAAAGCAATGGCAAAAACTGCAATTACTTTTGCACCAACTATACCATTTTTAGAAAAGAAAGCCATGTGTCATGGACTAAATGTGTCCCCCCAAAATTCACATTTTAATTCCAACCCTCAATGTGATGGTATTAGGAAGTGAGGCCTTTGGTACATAATTAGGTCCTGAAGGTGGAGCCCTCATGAATGGGATTAGTGCCCCTCTAGAGATGATCTCTGAGCTGGATGCAGTGGCTCATGCCTGTAATCTCAGCACTTTGGGAGGCTAAGGCAGAAGGATTGCATGAGTCCAGGTGTTCAAGAACAGAATAGGTAACATAGTGAGACCTTGTCCCTACAAAAAATTAAAAAATTAGCTGGGCGTGGTGGTGTGCACCCATAGTCCCAGCTACTTAGGAGGTTGAAGTGGAGGACTGCTTGAGCCTGGGAGGTTGAGGCTGCACTGAGCCATGGTCGCACTGCTGCACTCCAGCCTGGGTGACAGAGCGAGACTGTCTCAAGGGAAGCGAAAAAAAGAAAGAGAGAGAGAAAGAGAGAGAGATGATCTCTGCTCTCTACCATGTGAGGATACAAGAAGATGTCCATCTACAAACCAGAAGGAAGCAGGCCCTGACCAGACACAGGATCTATAGGCACCTTGACCTCGGACTTCCCACACTCCAGACTATGAGAAATGTTGCTGTTTAAGTCACATAGTCTATGGCAATTTGTTACAGCAACCAAACTAAGACTTTTTTGTATTATTTACTGACCCTATGTAAAAACGCAAGCACAAGGGAGAAGATGAAAAAAAGGTGACATAATGGGACATTTTGTGAATACAAACTAAGGAGTAATTAGTAAAACAAGAATTGATTGTTCCTAAATTACCCATCTCCTTTTTTTTTGAGATGGAGTCTTGCTCTATCACCCAGGCTGGAGTGCAGTGGTGCGATCTCGGCTCACTGCAACCTCCGCCTCCTGGGTTCATGCGATTCTCCTGTCTCAGCCTCCCGAGTAGCTGGGATTACAGGTACGTGCTACCACACCTGTCTACCTTTTTTTTTTTTTTGTATTTTTAGTACAGATGGGATTTCACAATGTTGGCCAAGCTGGTCTTGAACTCCTGATCTCAAGTGATCTGCCCACCTCGGCCTCCCAAAGTGCTGGGATAACAGGCCGAGCCACCGCGCCCGGCCACTCATCTCTCTCTCTCTTTTTTGTTTTTTGAGATGGAGTTTTGCTCTTGTTGCCCAGGCTGGAGTGCAATGGCACCATCTCAGTTCACTGCAACCTCCACCTCCCGGATTTAAGCTACTCTTCCTGCCTCAGCCTCCCAAGTAGCTGGGATTACAGACATGCGCCACCACACCTGGCTAATTTTGTATTTTTAGTAGAGATGGGGTTTCACCACATTGGTCAGGCTGGTCTTGAACTCCTGACCTCAGGTGAACTGCCCGCGTCGGCCTCCCAAAGTGCTGGATGAGCCACTACGCCTGGCCCCATCTCTTACAGAACTAAGATTTTTAAAAAACATAACATTGTATTTTACTAATACCTAGCTTTATAACACAAACATAACCAACTAACTATATTAGCCAAAAAAAAGATAAAACATCAATGTGACTACAAAGTAAATGGACATATCTAAGAGGAAAATGGGCATATTTGAGGATAATCAGAATATTAATGCCCACAGACTCGATACAACTTTGCTACTATTAAAAATAGAGAACAGAAGTGGAAAATTTCTGGTCAATTATTTTAAGTTCAGAACAACAAAGCTACCTGAAACAGAATTTGGGTAAGAAATTCCTGCTTTTTTTTTTTTTTTTTCAATTAAGACAGGGTCTGGGTCTGGCTTTATCACCTATGCTGGAGTACAGTGATGCAATCTCGGCTCACTGCAACCTCAGCTCACTGTAACCTCCACCTCCAGGGCTCAAGTGATCCCCCCACCTCAGTGCTGGGATTACAGGCATGAGCTAGGATTACAGGCATGATTACAGTGCTGGGATTACAGGCATGAGCCACTGTGCCGGGCCTTATTTTTTTTATTTCTTAAACTTGATAAACTGAAGGGGGAAAAGTAATTGTAAAGCTCACATTAATATCCCACATTTGAATTTTTAGGAAATTTTCCTGATTTCAGGTTACAAAGAAAAAACAAGACATCAAAGAAGATCCTATTGATTTAAAGCTTAACTTACCTATGATGCAAACAGCCAAGAAGACAGCCAACAATATAAATAGAAAAGAAAGCATTTGTTACACATCTTTCTTTAAAATCTGTTTTCAGAAGCAATATGCTTATAATTTTAAAAATACCTAATGAAAGATCTCACCATTTGAATATGATTGACATTATTTCCCAATTAATTTTTTTTACATAATTGTAATCAATACTAGCATAAAATTATTTTACTTCAATTTTTCTATGCGCTACACAGTCTTTGTGTCATCTTAAACTGTATACTATTCCATTAAATAGATACCATACTTTACCTAACAACAATAACTCTCTCTACTGCGTACCAAGACTGCTTCCTATTTGGGACTGTTATTAACATTTTGCTAATATACTTTTTTTTCTTTTTTTTTTGAGACAAGGTCTTGCTCTGTCACCCAGGCTGGAGTACAGTGGTGCGATCAAGGCTCACTGCAGCCTCAATCTCTTGGGCTAAAGCAATCTCCTGCCTTAGCCTCCCTTACTGGGACCACAGGCATGTACCACCATGCCCAGCTTTTTGATTTTTATGTAAAGACAAAGTCTCATTCTGTTACCCAGGCTGCTCTTGAACTCCTGGGCTCAAGTGATCCTCCCGCTTCGGCCTCCCAAAGTGCTGGGATTACAGGTGTAAGCCACTGCACCCTGCCACTTTAATTCAATTTAACTTACTGACTAGGTAAAGTCAAGGTAAGACAACCACCTAAGAATTCATGCTGATGTCTCACAACAGCAATTCTTACAAACACACAGATCCCTATCTAGAAGTTAACACCATATTTCACCTAATCTAAGATAATATCAATTTTAATAAACTCCTTTATTTGATGTACTACTAAGGAAAAAAACCTGACAAATTATGGCATTCCAGAAATTGCAGGACAGGCACTAATTTCAGAGCTGTTAAAAATATGGGAGAAAAATGTCCTAGAAACAACAAAATATGGTATTAGAACTAAATACAGTACAATATTTATATACACGAGAAGTGAGACTTGCCAACCTCAATAGAAATAAAGTGAAGACCTAAGAAACAGGAAAACAAAAGATCTCTGAACTCGTAGAATGACAGTCTTAAAGCTTCTGCACATGGCAAAAGACCTGCATACAGTCTTAGGACTCAATTTATGCACAATTAAAAATTATTACCTAATACTTTGGATCACTGCAGATTTAAAGCAGCAAATCATTAGAGAGCTACTCTATAAGAATACATGGAAGGACTGGGTGTGGCGGCTCATGCCTGTAATCCCAGCACTTTGGGAGGCCAAGGTGGGCGGATCACGAGGTCAGGAGATCGAGACCATCCTGGCTAACACAGTGAAACCCCGTCTCTACTAAAAATACAAAAAATTAGCTGGGCGTGATGGCAGGTGCCTGTAGTCCCAGCTACTCAGGAGGCTGAGGCAGAATGGTGAACCCAGGAAGCGGAGGCTGCAGTGAGCCGAGATTGCGCCACTGCACTCCACAGCCTAGGTGACAGAGCGAGACTCTGCCTCAAAAAAAAAAGAATAAATGGAAGGTAAAAAGGAAAGAGATGTTAATTGACTAATGGTAATAAGAATGACCCATAACCATCAAGAAAAGGTCAATTTGGGTTTATTATTTTCTAGGAAACATGGGGAAAAAATTGGTAATATGCAACCACGCCCTTAAAGATGTTCAAGCCTTTTGACTCAAAAACTGTATTTCTGAGAATATATTTGGCATGTGGATAAGGACTTATTTATATACGTGTTTATTGTTATACTGCAATATTAGAAAAACCTTTAAAATCCAATAATGACAACATAATGTAGTATTAATTTATCTGAAATCCTACAGTATTCCCCCCCCACAAAATGTACTTAATAATAATAATGAAATTTCTTATGTTAAATAGTCTACAATTCCAAGTTCGTAGTGCCAAGGACTGTCATCAGCAAACTCTCTTCCTGAATCCTGAACCTTCATGGTGTATTAGCACTGCAATGACTGGCTTTTGGATAGGCTTTTGTCAGATAAACTGCCTATGAAATGACTTTACCATTTTTTTTTTTGAGATGGAGTTTTGCTCTTGTTGCCTAGGATCGACTGCAATGGCGCAATCTCGGCTCACTGCAACCTCCACGTCCTGGGTTCATGTGATTCTCTTGCCTCAGCCTCCCGAGTAGCTGGGATTACAGGTATGCGCCACCACGCCCAGCTAATTTTGTATTTTTAGTGGAGACAGGGTTTCTCCAAGTTGGCCAGGCTTGTCTCGAACTCCTGACCTCAGGTGATCCGCCCGCTTTGGCCTCCCAAAGTGCTGGGATTACAGGCGTGAGCTGCTGTGCCCAGCCAACTTTACCAATTTTTTTCAAAATTCAGGCAATCATGCAGGAAAATTATCACCTTCAAAAGAAGTCAAACTAGAAACTGTATGACTACTTTAAAAAGGCAATTGCTTAAAATACTTAGAAACTTTTTTTTTTTTGAGACAGAGTTTTGCTCTTGTTGCCCAGGCTGCAGTGCAATGGCGCGATCTTGGCTCACCACAACCTCTGCCTCCCGGGTTCAAGCAATTCTCCTGCTTCAGCCTCCAGAGTAGCTGCGATTACAGGCATGTGCCTCCATGCCCAGCTAATTATGTATTTTTAGTAGAGTTGGGGTTTCTACATGTTGGTCAGGCTGGTCTCGAACTCCTGACCTCAGGTGATCCGCCCGCTTTGGCCTCCCAAAGTGCTGGGATTACAGGCGTGAGCTGCTGTGCCCAGCCAACTTTACCAATTTTTTTCAAAATTCAGGCAATCATGCAGGAAAATTATCACCTTCAAAAGAAGTCAAACTAGAAACTGTATGACTACTTTAAAAAGGCAATTGCTTAAAATACTTAGAAACTTTTTTTTTTTTGAGACAGAGTTTTGCTCTTGTTGCCCAGGCTGCAGTGCAATGGCGCGATCTTGGCTCACCACAATCTCTGCCTCCCGGGTTCAAGCAATTCTCCTGCTTCGGCCTCCAGAGTAGCTGCGATTACAGGCATGTGCCTCCATGCCCGGCTAATTATGTATTTTTAGTAGAGTCGGGATTTCTACATGTTGGTCAGGCTGGTCTTGAACTCCCGACCTCAGGTGATCTACCCACCTCGGCCTCCCAAAGCGCTGGGATAACACGTGCGAGCCACCAAGCCCAGCCGAAACTTATTTTTAAAACTTTACAATTACCATATTACTCTCGTTACTGAGCAAATTTTGATGGCTTTGCCAAAAAAAAAAAAATCATGAGCAGCTAAACTAGCCAAATGTAAGAAATGTAGGCATTTGAGACTGACACACATACAAGGAACAAAAAAGAGACAGCATCAACAGTGTTGTACTAAAAATGCTATTACACTTATAAAATGATGCTGTCTAGGTACGGTGGCTCATGCCTGTATTCTCAGCTACTTGGGAAGCTGAGGTGGGAGGATCACGCTTGAGTCCAGGAGTTCAAGACCAGCTTGGACAACACAGTGAGACCCTGTCTCAAAAAAAAAGAAAAAAAAAAAGAAAAGAAAAGAAAATATGTCTATTTTTTTTTTCTTTGAGACAGAGTCTCGCTCTATGGGCAGGCTGGAGTGCAGTGGCGCGATTTAGGCTCACTGCAACCTCCCCCTCCCGGATTCAAGCAATTCTACTGCCTCCGCCTCCCGAATAGCTGAGACCGCAGGTGTGTGCCACCATGCCCAGCTAATTTTTGTTTGTTTAGTAGAGACAGAGTTTCACCATATTGGCCAGGATGGTCTCGATCTCTTGATCTTGTGATCTGCCTGCCTTGGCCTCCCAAAGTGCTGGGATTACAGGGGTGAGCCACTGTACCTGGCCGATGTCTATATTTAAACGAATCCATCCTGTCATTTGTTTAGTTTTATTTTTTATTTTTTTGAGATGGAGTCTTATTGTTGCCCAGGCTGGAGTGCAATGGTGCGATCTCGGCTCACTGCAAGCTCCAAACTCCCGGGTTTATGCCATTCTCCTGCCTCAGCCTCCTGAGTAGCTGGGACTACAGGCACCCGCCACCACGCCCAGCTAATTTTTTGTATTTTTAGTAGAGACAGGGTTTCACCATGTTGGCCAGGATGGTCTCGATCTCTTGATTTTGTGATCCGCCCACCTCGGCCTCCCAAAGTGCTGGGATTACAGGCGTAAGCCACCATGCCCAGCCATCCTCTCGTTTATTTAATGGATGGAATAGAAGAGGACAAAGGTTCATAAACTGTGCTCAGGTATATTAACCCAATGTTTAGAAGAGAGTGTTACATAAATAGGTTCACATTTAATTCAGGAATTCATAAAATCTCTGCAATAAAAATATATCCTAAAGCACAAAGGATAAAAGAAGAAAAGAATGCTGCCTAAGATAGGTGAAAAAACACCTCACAATCTGGATTTAAATAATGACTATAGTCAAAAGTCCAGACATTTTCAATTCAGAGGACAAGAAATCTGTGTTTCTAACAGTTTACCTAGTATACTATGATTAACAACCAGGGTTTATTTAACTAAACTAGTTGTGGGGAGAGGAGAAGTTTTCAATAGTATGATTTACTAAGAAATTAACTGCCTGCTCCTCTGGTATGTGCTCAAGGTCTCTAATATTGCTTCTTAATAGCACTTACTACTCTTGTGATTAAAAAATGTGAAAGAAGCTGTTCAATGTCTGTCTTCACTTCCAGACTATAAATGCTAGAAAAACAGGGACCGCCTCTGCTTTGTTTATTGAACACCCCAATTATCCAGTAAAATGCCTTGGCACATAGTAGGCAATTACTAAATATTGTTCAGTGACAGTACTGGCAAGGGTGTGGGGGGAAATAGAAACTCTAATCGTTGAGTGAAAACTGATAAAACCCTTTCAAAGTACACTGAATACACATTTTGGCCTAATGCTTGATGGCCAAGATTTTTAAAATATTCAACTGACGCCAAAGCTGAATCCAAATATTACCATCACAGAATGACCTTCTAAGATCAAAAATTATGATTAAATATTCTTAAATATTAAGAAAATATTAAATTAGATTCAATTTATTAAGTTATAATTTTATTAATAATTTTAATGGTCAATTTGTTCAATCTTGTGAATGGTAGAACACATATAATTCTATAATGAACAGATAAAATTTAATCCCTATTAATCTGCCTAGTATTATTATTTAAAATTTTACAAAATTTATTAGCTCAAAAAGGCTCTACTCCAACACATATATGGACAACTGGCTTTTGACAAAAGTGCAAAGGCAATTCAGTGTAGAAAGCATATTGTCTTTTCAACAAGTGGTGGTAGAACCAACGTATACATAAAATGCAAAAAAAAAAAAAAACCCGTAACTATATAGAAAAATCTAAAAATGGATGGTAGACCTAAATGTAAAACCTAAAACTATAAAACTTCCTTTGTGACCTTGGATTTGACATAACGCTAAAAGCACAATCCACAAAAGAATAAAATGGTAAACTGGACTTCAAATCTCTGCTCATCAAAAAACATTGTTAGAACAAAAAGACAAGGTAAAGACTGGGAGAAAATATTTACAGACATAAACCTGACAAAGAACTTATATCCAGAATCTACAAAGATCAAAACTCAATAATAGGAAAACTCAATTAAAACAGGCAAAAGATTTGAACATTCACTTAACCAAGGAAGATAGATGGCAAAGTACATGAAAAGATGCTTAAGCTCATTAGTCACTAGGAAAATGCAAGTTAAAACCACAATGAAATGCCATTCCACAGCTATCAGAATGGCTAAAAGTTTAAAAGACTGACAAAGGAAGTGTTGGTAAGGATGTAGAACAACTAACACACTCACATATTGCTAGTAGAACTGTAAAATGGTACAACCACTTTGGAAAACAGTTTGGCAGTTTCTTAGAAAGTTAAAATTACACTTACCATATGATTCAGCCATTCTACTCCTTGGTATTTCCCCATGAGAAAGCTTATGTCCAAAGACTTACATGAATGTTCATAGGACCTTTATTCATAATGGCCAAAAAGTGGAAAGACAGCACAAATATCCAGCAATGGGTGAATGGATAAACAAACTATGGTATATCCATAAAATGGAATAATAGTCAGCAAGGAAAATATGAATCATCGATACATGTAATGCAAACTAACTATAATGATAGAAAATAGATCAGTGGATGGTTAAGGACAGGAGGTGGGGAGGTATGGAAGGACAGGATTAAAAAGAGGAACAAAGAAACTTCTCTTGGGTGTGATGGATATGTTCACTATATTGATTACAGTGCTGGCTTCATGTGTGTATACATATATTAAAACTTATCCAACTGTATACTTTATGTGCAGATATGTCAATTATATATCAATAAAATTATTTTTTAAAAAGCACAAGTTATTGCCAGCATGACTCCTATAAAGGCATGCTTCCACAGGACACATGTTCACTTTTGCTTTTATTTGTTGACTAATAGAGTATTTCTTTTCTTTTCTTTTTTTGAGACAGAGTCTCACTCTATCGCCAGGCTGGAGTGCAGTGGGTGTGATCTCAGCTCACTGCAACCTCTGCCTCCTAGGTTCAAGTGATTCTCCTCCCTCAGCCTCCTGAGTAGCTGGGACTACAGGTGCACACCACCACGCCCAGCTAATTTTTGTATTTTCAGTAGAGATGGGGTTTCACCATGTTGGCCAGGATGGTCTCAATCTCTTGACCTCGTGATCCACCCACCTTGGCCTCCCAAAGTGCTGGGATTACAGGCGTGAGCCACCAGGCCCAGCCAACTAATATAGTATTTCTAAAGGACTATTTGACCTATGCAAATTTGTTAAGAGAATTTTAACCCTAGAAACAGCATAGGGGCAACAGATGAAAACTTAGCCAAACCAGTTTTTTGTCTGTCTATTTAGAATAAATATATGTGGCTCTGGATAAGGCTGTGTGGGCACTCTCTGGTCCTGCCAAGTTTAACTAATTCTGGGAATTTCCACAGTCACTTAATAGCTCAGGAGTGTAGAAGTCAGATATGCCTCTTAAGTACTTTATTCATCTATATTTTCAGAATGGGGCTAATGGCATATCAGCTTACAATATGTTGAATGAGAATTTAGGAAAATATTAACTCCATCTTGAACACACTTTCGTGCCATGAGGCATAGAAGGGTTTGTTGTCCAAGACTCAGATTAAGCTCTAATAATTTGGACATCAAAGTTGATATGGCTCAATGGCTCATTTGGAGGGTGGAGGTATAGGGAAAGTTATTTTCTGTTGCTTTATACTACTCTGAGGTAGAATTAGCTCACAATAAATAACTGTTTCTGACAGCCTGTTTATCTCTATTTACAGCTACTTTCCAAGCTGTCCCTATACCCAGTAGAGTACCTTAGGGAGAATGAGGTGATATTTAAAACACACACACACGCCCCACTGTACAATAAGCAGGTACTACAGGGCCATATTCAGGCACTGCAGGTATACTACGTTGGGACCTGAGAAGATTCTGTATTTTAAGTGTCTATTTTGGATCACATTGAAGAGTTTGGTGTCAGTCAATCTGCTTCTTAGATTCATAGAGATACTTTTTCCTTTCTTGAACAAGTGAAATATTGGGCACTGAAACCAAGTGTGTTATATTCAAAATAATTTGTGGATTTTATAACTCATCTAAATAAAGCTCCTCGCTACCTCATTTTGCATTACCTACGACTAGGACTCACGGATTATCAAAAACTCACTTTTCACAAGAAAGGACCCAGCTATTCCTCTATTTAGCTAGCTACCACACTCTTAATGTTCAAATGCAATCTGATTCACTATTTAACTATTTGAACACTCTTACATAATTGCTTTGGTACATAAAATCAGCAACTTCACAATTATTAACAATTACAGCATTTTACTTTTTCAACAATATCTATTCAAACTTCGATTGATAGAATTTCAATGTATAAATCACATTAAGGAGTATTTCAAGTTATATCTAAAATACTTACTGTTATTTGAAAGTAGTAAGTCCAAAGGTCACACCTCTCATACTGACATTGTTACATTAATTCCATATGATAGTAACTTAAGCTATTACATGATGGTAGATCACACACAATTCAGGGATGCTAGAAATGTTAAAAGCACACCTTCCAAAGACCCAAGCTAAATGGCAGATTTTGGCAAATTACTAAGGACAAAGGTGAACTTCTGAACATCCCTAAATTGGAGAGCAATTTGGCAGTGCCCACCAAAATTCAAATTGTACTTACCTTTGACATGGCTAGTCCATTTCTAGGAATTTATTGTAGATGTACAAAATGTTCTATTAACAAAATATTAACTATAGCACTGTTTCTTAAGCAAAAGATTGGAATGTCCATTAATATGGAGGCTGGTTAAATACCTTGTAATACTATGACAGGCTACATGTTTAGCGGTATTATGGCAGCAATCTCTGGAAAGTGACTCCCTGGGCTCTAATCCTGAGCCCTACCACTTATAAACTGTGTGACTGTTGGACATTTAATCATCCCGTGCCTAGTTTTCCTCATTTGTTAAATATAGAAAAATAGTGCCTATCTCATAGGTTGTTATGAGGCTTCCATGAGTTAATAAAACTAAAGTATTAAGAAAGCATTTGGATCAGGAGTAAGCTCTCAATAAATGTTACATATGATGATGAGGGTATATTAATACAATTGAATACTAAACTATCATTAAAAAGAATGAGGCAGTTTTAACTGTATCAATGTGAAAAGATCTCCAACGTAATACTCAAGCGAAAAATGTAAGGTCCAGAATAATACGAAGAGGTGCTACCATTTGTGGATAAATATATGGGGGAAGAAAAGAATAAGGATGAGGGGAGAGAAAACACACTTGTATGAATATATAAATTTTACCATATTTGTACATGTATTACCCATTCAACTGAATTAAAAATATTGTTGGATGAGTAAATGAATGTTAAAACAACTGAGCCAAGTAAAACTATTATATATTGCACCTAATTGACTGAGCAAATAATAGCACATATTATTATTACATATATATTTTTCTGAGACAGGGTCTGGCTCTGTCACCCAGGGTCTGCAGTGGCACGATCTCAGCTCACTGCAACCTCTGCCTCCCAGGCTCAAGCAATCCTCCCACCTCAGCCTCCCGAATAGCGGGAACTAGATGTGTGTGCCACCACGCCTGGCTAATTTTTTTTTTTTTTTTTTTTGTACAGACATGGTTTTGCCATGTTGCCCTTCAATTCCTGGGCTCAAGCAATCCGCCTGCATCGGCCTCCCAAAGTGCTGGGATTACAGGTGTGAGCCACTGCACCCAGCTGGCAAATATATATACGGTCCTTATGTGCTAGTTATTATTCCAATCGCTTCTATTATTCACAACATCCAATGAAGTTAAATACTCTTATTATCCTTATTTTAAAGTTGAGAAAAATGCAATGCAAAAAGACACAAGTAACTCCTCCAAAGTCACACCACTAGGAAGCAGAGCCAGGATTTGACTCACACAGTCTGGTTTCCTTCATCTCTTTGTTATATTAATACTACTCTAAAATTATTTTTATTTACATATATCCCAACTCTTGTAAAAAAAACTTTGGACAGCTTACATTAAAGCACATATATGCAATTAATAAAACTGGTAATGAAAAGGGGAAGTAATACCAATGTGAGAAAAAAATACAGCTACTTTAAGTATGCAACAAATCCAACTCTAAAGCATCTGCTATTTTCTGTCTAGGCTTTGAATGATGTATTCTACGGAGATACTTTTAAAAGGACAGAAATCAAGTATTAAACAATTATAAGTACTTTTTATTTTGCTTCTTTAAAGAAGTTCTTGTTTAAAGTTTTCTTAAGGCAAGTTAATCTTGTAATCCAGTTTATATGCCAAAACCCAAATAGGGACTTTTCTTATGATTCTGTCATATGATTAAGTCAGGTGACAGATCCCACACTTGTGCAATGTGCTCTACACTCTAAGGCAGAAAGCGTGTCGATAGCACTGACTATCCATACCAAAAATAACATGCCAAATTTGTAATCCTATCTAGTAGTCCCTATCATTTTTTGGTACATTTTTCTTTTCTTTTTTTTTTTCTTACTTTTGAGACAGGGTGTCGCTCTGACGCCCAGGCTGGAGTGCAGTGGCACATTCGCAGTTCACTGAAACCTTGAATGCCCCGGGATCAAGTGATCCTCCCACCTCAGCCTCTTGAGTAGCTGGGACTACAGGTGCATGCCATCGTGCCCAAATAATTTTTTTAATTTTTAGTTTTTACTGGTAGAGGGGGGTCTTGCCATGTTGCCCAGGATGGTCTCCAACACCGGGCTCAAGCGATCTACCTGCCTCAGCCTCCCAAAGTGCTGGGATTACAGGCGTGAGCCACCATGCCCAGCCTGTTTTTCCTAATTACAGAAACACTTCATGTCCACTGTAAAAATAAAAACATATAATGTAAAGTGTAAGGAAGAAAGTAAATCATCTTAGTGCCCATTGTTTCCCATAATCCATCATATACACAGACATGTACAAACATGTAGTTTTATATAAATATGTTACTATGGATATTCTGTCTCTTTCCTTTTCTGCTTATTTCCTCTTTCCAACGGTGACAACCAGGTAAAAATATACAAAACTCATGGTGTTTTTCAACTGGTTTTATAAAAAATGAGTTATCATTACAAATGTTTCTCTGTACTTTGTATTTTTTTTTCTTAAGATACATGATGGCCTGGGCAATAAGGTGAAACCCCGTCTCTACCAAATATACAAAAAATTAGCCAGGTGTGGTGGTGCACACCTGTAGCCCCAGCTACTCTGGAGGCTGAGGCGGGAGGATAGCTTAAACCTAAGAGGAGGAAGTTGCAGTGAGCCAAGACAGCACCAGTACACTCCAATCTGGGTAACAGAGCAAGATCCTGTCTCAGGAAAAAAAAAAAAAAAAAGACACATGATAGAAATCCTTTCAGAATGTACTTGGAAATCCTTTCTAATCACCAGTAGATTTAACTCCTACCATTTAATCACTTCACAACATTCCATAAAATGCCTCGGCCATAATTTACATAACAATACCCCTATTAACAGGCATTCCCTTTGTTTCCACGTTTTTTGCCACTACTAACATTGAAAATTGAAACACTGTTGCAGCTAACACTCCTGTAAACTCTTACTGGTGCTTTTATTTCTAAGGAAAAGATTACATGGAGTTAGACTGATGGGTGGAAAATACATGTATTCTCAGTATTAACTGATGTTGCTTGATTGTTTACTAGGAAAAACTCTAACACTTCACATCTCCGCTAGCATTTTATGAGATAATCCTTCTCCACATATCCCTGCTAGCAGTAGGTTTACCACTTAATTTTTGCTTGTCAGAGAAATAATATTTCATTGTTAGTATATTGATTACTAGTAAGGTTACACATCCTTTACTGTTTGTTGAATGTTTGGATTTCTCTTCTGTGAACTTCTGGTGACATGTTTTATCCATATTTTTACTGGGTGAACTTTTTCTTAATTGGAAAGAGTTCTTTCAATGGTTAACTCATCTGTTACATATATCTCAAGCCTTTTTTTCCGCCTGATTTTGTCTTTGGTCCTTTATTTTTGCCACTAAAGAATCCTTCGTTTCCATGCAGTCTCATGTGTCTATCCATACTTTTATGACTTTTAGGTTTCCTATCTTGGTTTAAAAAACTACATCTGGATTGTTTGTATAAAGGAAATTTAGGAGATTAATATCTTAAATATTTTATTGTTTACATTTAAGCCTCTAATCCATCTGAAATCAGTTTTTGCATCTGTTGCAATGTATTGGATCAATTATATTTTCTTCTAGATGAGCAAGTTGTATCAGTTAACATTTATGATATATATGTGCCCTTTTTCACCATTGGATTGAATTATCCCTTTGAAATGTGGTAAATTATCTTATATACTGAGATTTACTCTGCTTTTTAAAATTCTGCTGCACTTATATACTTAAAATTAAAAATATATTTACACACCTATAAAATTAAATAACTTACTCAGCTACCTGGATGAGACAAAACATTTTCACTTAAGATATCCAAGTAGTTAAGATGAAAGAATTATTTAGGTGCCTTAATTTTCCATATCAAATTAAGAAATATTTTGCAATGCCTACTGACATTATGAATTCAAATATACAGAAGGTATAGTAATAAATTTTAATTTTTTCTTTAATGCATCAATCTAGAGATAATTACTTATTTTGATGCATTTCCTTACAACTTTTTCCATATGTATATACTATTATTATTATACATATGCTCTTTTTTCAATTTTAAAGGTATTTTCCAATTCAATTAGTCTTCTCTATTGTACCTTTAAACATTAAAAAAATTAAACTAAGAACTAAAAACTTATAAAGTCTGGTTGCTTTTCATTGCTCAAGCACATCTGAAACTCTTCTATATCATATCATATACCACCCATTTTATTTTCAGTGAAATAAGCTTAATTATTTTTCAGAAAAGAAACAAAATGTGGCATGTTGCAGATAAAATTTTTTTAAAGGCTTACCAAGAGAACAGTTTCAACAGATAGCATTAAGATCCAAAACTGAAATTTTTGTTGTTAGTCATAATAATACCAAAAATAATAGTGATTTTTAAAACCTTAAGATATAAGAAAGTGTTTCCTTCTAAAATTTAAATCTGAAAATACTTATGATATACCATTAATTTTTAAAAACAGCTAATCACAGTTGTAAATTTATTAACTAGAGCTAACTACAAAGAAATATACAGAAAGAGGAGTTTCAAATGTAAATAAATCATTATTCTAAAGATCACTTCAGTAGTTTCAGGTAAAAATAAATATGTTACTACGAAGATACACAACCACTTCAGCTGTCTTTATATATACATACACACACATTGCGTACTTTATATACTACAAATATTTACTCTATATATAGTATATACATAATATGTATATACTAAATATAAATGAATACACTTATAAAAACCAAAGTCGCTATCATTTCACCATAGGGAAAAAAGAGAATAGCAAAACTAATATTCTCTTCAGAAATTATATGGAAAACATTTTTATTGCTCACATTTCATTTATTTAAAATAAAGTTACTTAGTATAAAGAATAAATTCATTCCTAAATCAATAAATCCATTTGTTATAATAGACAATCAACATTAAGGAAAAGTCAATAAACTTAATAAAATCTTTCCTTAAGACAAATGAGTAATTTTTTTTTTCAGGAATAAAGTGATTCATAAACTCATGATAGCTATACTTACTGTTTAATTTGCTGATATTTTCCATTGCAAAACTACTAACCCTTGTGAATCATGAATTTAAGAAGGGAAGAATTTTACTCTAGTTTATGTCTCCATTATGTTCTCTACATTTCTTTGTCTATTTCATATAAGGATAAAAATAAGATATAAAAACACTTAATTTTTTTAAAAAGACAAAATTTTTAAGCTTATAAGCATTAACTCAAAAGTCCCTGCTCTACAATCTGTACAATTTTAATATACTTCTATAATCCATTGCAGGAATAAAAACTTCAAAATTGAAGAACTGCCTCCTTAAATTTATTCCATACATTAATGATTACAAGCTTTGGAAAATCTTTATATAGAAAATATTAAGACACTGCAGTTGCCCAAATAAGGGACTTTATCTTGATATTTTTCAGATAAAATTAATAAATCTGTTTTAGAATCTTTGCTACAAGTACACTTTTCTTGTTCCCCCATTTTTTGGGTAATAGCTTCTTTTCAAATTCTACTCTCTTCTTCATGCCCCAAACCTGCTGCTCACAGGGACATCAGTCAATTCTGTGGGTTGTCTTAAGTCTTTAGAAATTCAGTATATAAAATCAAAGTAGTTATCAGTAAAATTAATTAAAAATTTTTTTTACAAAATATGTTCTAGGCATTTTACATTCATGATCTAACTTAATAGCACCATCTATAGATTTAAACGTGAGAAAACTTAACCTTACTTAAGTACACTGTCCAAAGTCACACAGTTATTAAGTGGTAGGGCCAGAACTTCAACTAGGTCTCTATGACTGGGAAATCAATTCATGTAAAGTCTGAGCTACACTGCTTTACCATTTTACACACCACTTAGTTTTTTTTGTTTTTGTTTTTGTTTTTTTTGAGATGGAGTCTCACTCTGTTGCCCAGGCTGGAGCGCAGTGGTGTGATCTTGGCTCACTGCAACCTCCACCTGTCGGGTTCAAGTGATTCTCCTGCCTCAGCCTCCTGAGTAGCTGGCACTACAGGCGCGTGCCGCCATGCCTGGCTAATTTTTTTAATTTTTTTAAGTAAAGACAGGGTTTCACCGTGTTAGCCAGGATGGTCTCGATCTCCTGACGTTGTGATCTGCCCGCCTTGGCCTCCCAAAGCACTGGGATTACAGACACCACTTAGTTTTTAAGATATTTTCACATAGATTACCTAGGGTTTATGTCATAGGAAGGTTCCTAAGTATCAAACCTGAACCCCTCCCCAGCATTACGTAAAAGGACATATAACTAAAGTGGCAGAGCTGAATGAAGATCCTCTGACTTTTAGTCTAGTGCTAGTCCACTTATAGATCACGCAGAGCCACTTTTTCATTTAGTACGATTCATTCCTCTTCCCTTCTCTCCCATATTTTGATGATAACCATACTTATTAGTAAACAAACATGCTGTGAAAATAAGTTGGTCTCAGCATTAATAAAGTCCATCTGAGGTTTTTATCTATTGTATTGACCATGAATTTGGAAGGTTATTACCAGTTTATATTTAAAAGCTAACATTTAGTGCACAACTTTAGGAAGAGCTATGATCTGCAAAAATTAAAGTGGTTTAATTTCTTTGTCTAATTGCCCAACATTCATTCAATAAATAATTTATTGAGTACCTATCAGGTACTTCAGTATTCTGGTGCTGAAGACACAATAGTATTATAGTTCACAGTCCTGAGAGCTTTATGATTTGCTGAGGAAGAGCCCAGGGAACAGGAATTAAATACAATGCTAGAAGTGCAAGTAGAAGAATAGAAAAGATGATGATGATGATTAGTAGTAGTCTATAGGACTGAGTGGCTACCTCTGCCCATGGGGAAGAAAGCATTCTTAGTGGTGGCAAAAATCTATAAAGGCACTGAAAACAAGAACTCAGGAAAAGAAAACCAGAAGTGCCAAGGGCCCTAAAATAAAACCAAACCCTTATGCTTTATTTAATAGTGGACTATAGCACAATTCCCTAATAAATGTTAAGATTTCTACATGTAACACTCATAAACTGATAAGGCTAGTCTCAGAAATGTTTTCCAGGCTTCCAATCGTGTGTGTGTGTGTGTGTGTGTGTGTGTGTGTGTGTGTGTGTGATCTGTGTATAATGTCAAAGCTTTTTTTCACATTTAACCTTACTAGCAATGTAATCACCAATTCCCACTACTAATCTACATTTCATCAGTGGTCTAAGTTATTGCTTTCACGAGTTCCCTAAAACTGGGGGAATTGTGAAGTAAAACTGCAGACTCATCCAACCACTTTCATACTGACATTTTCCCCTCTAGTAGTCAATGCTTCTAGCTGGTTTTCTCTTTCACATTTTGGTCTCAGCCAGACAGGACTAGTTAGGACTTCCAGACCACATAAGGAATTCTCCTTACGTGGTGCAATGTCACCTGGTCACTGAAGTAACACTTCCTTTTTTTCTTCCCCTCTCCTCTAGAGATCAAGGAACCTTATTATGGAGAAAATTAATGGATAAAACTACATATATATATCTACAGCAGGCATGATGACATAAATATATCAATACATTAGTCTATTGTCCAGTATGGGTCGTAAGTACGAAATGCTAAAATGGTAAATCCACAAGAGATAGTAGTAATCTTCATTACTTGGGGAAAGCAACATCTCCGAGGTTATGTTTTCTACTAAGGAGCATCAATAAGCTAGGTTATGTATTTTGCACTTACTATAAAAATACTTTGTTAAACTGCTGCTATTGTAGAATTTTAACTTTTTATTCTCCTTAACAAAATAAGACCGTTTATTGTATAGAATTTGGAAGACACAGAAAAACAAAAATAAATCAGTCACATCCACCAAAGATGATTCCATCTTCCTCATTTTCCAGCAGTCTTCTTTAATTACCTTAGTTAGAAAACTACAAGATTTAACTGAGCATATAATTTTTCATATTAAGAAAGGTGTAATTTAAATTTTAAAAATCAAATTTGTAATATTCGTAAGACCTTCAATTGAAAAGCAGCATGGAATTTTCTGAGTTTGCAGTATAAATAAAAGAGTTTAACCACAAACTGAAAAACATTCTTCCCTAAAGCACATTGTTTGGGATCAAAACATTGGTAATAATACATTATGGACGGAATGGGAGTACTTGGGTTGGACAACACCTGTATTTTCAATTGGACAACAATTTCTGTATTTTCACAAAATACTATTCATCAAAATCTGAAGAGGGCACCGGGAGTTTTACAAATGGGGAAAGCTAAAGAGGGATACAAATGCTACTTAACCTAAATTTACCACAAAGCCGATCAAGGAATAGATTGGGAGTGCCAATTCAGTAGTATTTTAGGGGAAAATGACAAAAAGGGAAGGATTGACGGCAGAAAACATGTGCAGACAGCAACATCTCGACTTGATTCTACCTTTAAGCATATGGCCAAATCAATTTGGTTTAACTATTTCCAACCCAATCAGTTTCTTATTTCGGTTTCAGGGAACCCTACTCACTCTTCCCTAAACCAGCCTGGGCCTCCTGCACACCACAACACCACAATACCATCTTTCAACGCCTCCTCATTCAATCGAGACTGTCGCATTACTAACACCTCCTGTTTTGAAGACAGTATTCCTTCAACTGTCCTCTCTGCAGAGAAGAAAAAGTAAAAGCCCTTCTTTTACTTTTCTAGTCCCATCCGAAGCACGTGAACATCTACGGAACCTTCCCTGCAGGTATGTCAGATAAAATCCTTAGAATCACTGAGAAAGCACATTCGGAGGGAAGCTTCACAGTGACTCTGCAGTGAGGGCCGTATCAGTGACAGTCCCTCCCAAGCCTGTCTCACCGGAGACGCCTCTGCCTCCAGGGTTTTTGCTACCTCCCCGCTCCTCAGCCCTGAGCTGAGGGTAAGGACAGTGAGGACCTTTGCCAAAGAATGGGCTTTAAGGAATGGGACCTAATGTCTACTGCAGACCCTGTGAAATGGCTGAAACAATCTGCTACCCGAAGCCCCAAAGGCTCTGAGTAGGGAACCATAATGGCCGCACTCACTTCCAACCCTGGGAAAGGTGGACATCTGAATCCCCAAGTAGCGGGAACGACCACACTTGGGGGAGCGGGGGTTAAGGAGAAATGAGCTCCTTGCCGGTGCAGGGTGACAGCGGGGAGGAAGCCTCAGGCAGAAAAGTCGCCGTTCACACTCTCCCTTCTCTCCTTCCTCTGCCTCCTTCCACCCCCTCTATCCCCACCACTCGCCAGTTACCGGTCGCCGCTCACCTGCTGGGGCGCGAGGTGCAGAGACTGTACCGACCGAGGACCCAGAGGCTGTCACCACGGAGGGGAAGTCCTCAGCTGCACAGGTTGGGGGGGGGGGGGGGGGCGGGCCCAACCAGTCACATGACGTCGAGCTCCGCCCTGCCTCCTCCATCCCAGCGCTCTACATCTCGGGGGGCCTGAATTTTTACGGATCCCTTGAATATTAATTTTCTTGGATTAAAGAAATAAAAGATAAATTTTCACAAAGAGTATGTTATAAAGTACAATGTGGAAAATGTGGACAGCAAGAGTTAAAGCGCATTGCTAAGGAAGTGACGTTCACGCCACAATCGAGGGACAGGAAATGGCGGTGGCGTTCCGTCCCTCTGGAGTCCGCCGGTAAAATTCCAGGCTCTGAGGTTTGGGCCAATCACGTGATCTTAAAACTTGAGGCGTGCTGGAGGGTAGCCAATCTATCTGGCCGATTGTTAACTACGTTTGTTTTAAAACACCTAACTTAAACTTGAGCTTTCCACAGATTTCTTTACATTTAGAAGAACTAACTTTATAAAACCCTACTAGGAGGCAACAGCGTTTGAAGGTCACTCTGGAGACCACAAACTGGGAAGAACGGGGCTGAGAAAAACTATCTTGCGGATATGGGACAAGAGAGGGAGGGGTGGAAAAATCTGGATTTTACCGCCAGGGCCTACCGAGCCAGCCCCACAAGCAGTGTCGTAAGCGGGTGGGAGGGAGGAGCATGACCCCAGAAGGCCCAGTCCAGGAGAAAGATGGAGGTTCCGGAGTGGAGGGGGCAGGGTGCGCGGAGGCGAGCAGTGCGGCTGCGCGTGAGGCGGCGGCGCGCCGGCGCGCGAGGGGCGGGGTGAAAGGTCACAGCGCGGCAGCGGGTCTGGCTGGCGGCAGCGGCGGGAGGGAGCCGAGAGACCCGAGTGCACGTGTGGAGAAGCGGCGGCACAAGCGCGGCGGCGGGAGACACTCCCGCCCCCACCAGACTCAAGCCCTCACTCGACTCTCGCGGCCTTCGTTGCTCGCACAGCTCCCTGCCCAGGCTAGGAGGCCGGCTTGCGGGGTTGAGTGGCCCGAGCTAAGGGTGCGGAGACCTAAGGGCGGCGACTACGACGGCGTTGATATCGGTGGTAACGACGGCCTCAGCAGGCGGGGAAGATGAAAGGGTGAGGAAGGGCAGCCGGGCAGGGCCCGGCCGGTGGGGTAGAAGGGTCCGGGCCCATGTAGAGGGGGAGAGCCGCAAAGGCGAGGAGAGATTCAGGGCGAAGACGGGCGGAGGGAGATTTCTCTGCTTCTCAGTTCCCTCGGCTCCCGGAGGGGGCGGAGGCGAGGCTCGGGCTGTTGGCGGGCTGAAGGGCCAGCGGAGGCAAGACCCGGGGGGCTTCAGGGTTTCGGTTCGGAGACGAGTGTGGGTTGTTGAGTGGGGAGAAGCGACCGAGTGGGGCAACATGGAAAGGCTATTGTGAAGCGCCCGGGGCCTCCTTCCCGGGAGCGGACCGCTGAGCCACGCCGGCCCGCAGCTCCAGGTGGAGTGGTTTGGTTGTCTTCCACCTCCAGACTCAACTCTGGAACTGCGGTGTTTGACACCTTTCAGTTTAATTCACGCTTGGGAGCTGTGCAGAACCTTCTGGAGGAAGAAGAAATTGGAATAAAGAGCACGGGGATGAGTATTAAGAGCTAGTGACTCAACTAGATTTGGGTTGGGTCACAGCGAGTGGAGGAGGGGGAGAGAGCGCGATCACTGTAGACTTGGGGTGCCAACATATTTAAGGAAGTATAGGGTGGATCAGTAGGTGGAGCTGTTGCTTCAGTAGTTCACTATTGCCCCTGAGTGCTGAGGCGGTCCTGGGTAGTTCTACCACGCTGCTCCTTTCAGGTGATTGGCAAAGTTAATGTTCGGTCTTTCACCGTTTGCCTCTTACGTAAAATTAGGAATTATTTTGGATCGACTGGTTAAGTTTTTATGAAATGTCTCCTTACCATTAAGTTGTATAGTTTTAATGTATTAATTACGTAACATTTTTCCGAAGCATTGTCTCAAGCCGTTTTGGAGCTTGTCTTTACCCTCAAAGAGATGAAGCTCATAAACGTTAAAAAGCTCTCTGCGATGCCATAGTTTGTTGTTGTAAGTCGATTAAGAAGTCGTAACTATGTTTTAAGTTAACGAAGTCATTCCAACTATTCAATAGCACTTTTGAGGATGAAATAAAAGTCACTTTCAACGTAATCTCATACTGCCCCAAACAAGGACCTAAATATTACCTCTGTGTATCGGTATTTGAGGTTCCTGAAGAGATTCCAAGAAAGTTTAATTTGGTCTTAGGTCTGTAACATGTTTCCTTACTTTAATTTTCCTTTAAATACTGGATATTTATTCTAATGTTGAATTGTATGTTTTGTACTAATAATCTTTAAAGTTTAAGAACCATGAACTATTCACAGTACCTGCATTGTTTCACATCAAGTTGTAAAGAGTTCCAGTTAGGGAAATATAATTGACGGGTATAGGAAGTATTTGCTCCACTTGAATCATGATCTTGGAAGTTTGGCTATTTCAGATACAATCCAACATATTTGGAGAATGTTGTTTTTCTGCTATACTGCACTCCTTTTGTTTTGTTCTTTTCATTTTTTTTTTTTTAATGAGGCAGGGTCTGGCTCTGTTGCCCAGGCTGGAGTGCAGTGGCGCTATCTCGGCCCACTGCAACCTTTGCCTCCCCAGCTCAAGCAATCCTCCCGCCTCAGCCTTCCGAGTCGGTGGGACCTCAGGCGCGCACCACCACGCCTTGCTAATTTTTTGTATATTTTGTAGAGACGGGGGTCTGACTATGTTGGCCAGGCTGGTCTCAAACTCCTGAGCTCAAGCGATCCACCCACCTCTGCCTCCCAAAGTGCTGGGATTACAGGTGTGAGCCACTGAACGCGGCATATACTGCACTTCTTGAACATGGTTGCTGACTCTTACTCATTTTTGTACTCATTGTCAGGCACTCAGTACTTGTTTGTCATGTTCTGTTAAGTAAGAAAAATGAGGCTGAAGAGTTCCCAGTGTTGAAATTGCCATGGATTTACGAAGGGGTTGCCAGGAAATTATTCTGTATGTTTAGATCCAAAATCTTCAATCTAGTTCAGTCTCCATAGGCTGTGATGTTCTTTCTGATACATAACTTGGCGATAGAAATGAAGCTGAACAGTCATATTATTCACAATCTACCTTGAATTAATATATTCATGGAGCAATTATCTCTGTTTAAAATGGGTATTTACATGTAACCTGATGAAGGCAGATCCCTAGAAATAACTGGCCGAATTTAGAGGAAACTTACAACTATTGAATCTGTACCTTTATGCCAGTAACTATGCCAGTGAAGTTCCTATTACTTCTTATGATTGGGAGCTTAGAATTGTGTTCTTTACTGTAAACCTTTAAGATGATTTCACAGGAATAATCCCTTTAACTTAACAAATGAACTAACTCCCAGATGAGATGAAACTTTTTAATTTTTTTTGCTTCTAAGTCTGTATTTAAGACACTCAACAAATGAGTTGTGTGAATCTTACTTGTGCTTGTTCGGATACTGAACCTACAACAGTATAGGTTTAAAATAAGTTAAGCGCCTTGAGTTCCAAAACTTGTACCACAGTGCACAGTGTGGTCGATTTTAAAGTCCTGACTCTTAATTTGGAATGGCCTGTAAAAACGAAACAGTGGTCCTGGTTATGTGGCTTTTGTATGAAATTTTATTTGCTAAGTATTCTATTGTATATTGAGGTAAGTAAACAGTAAATTGAAATATCTAAAATTGGAAACTGCGGAAGTCCCAACACGAAGCCAGTCAAATATTTAAAATTGTACACTGTTGCCTATGTTGCCTATCATATTGAAACTTAAAACTTAGCTGGTTTTTCTTCATATTTTTACCATGAGTATTTTTATTAGTAGTAGCAGTAGGACTTTCCATTGTATTGGCATGTCTTTCCTCCATAGAAGATAAATTTCCGGTTATTAACTACTGAATGTAATTTATATGCACATGTAGAAGTTTGAGATATACTAGGAAATGTTGCTTACTTTTGAGGTTGGCTGTTTTTATGAACCAGGGACATTGTAGTTTGAATTTGTGGGTGATATTTTTATCTGTTCTTCTCTAGGGAAGGCGATTTCAAGCAAGAAGGTATGCCACAGATAACCATGACTGAGGTGGCAATGTAATTAGGCAGTGTAATGGAAAGTATAATAAAACCAAATCATTTAGCCTTCAATTGTAGTAAAGAGGTGCAAATTAGTTCTAATAAAAAATGTCTTTAACAAAATGTGAATACGTGACTAAGATGGGAAAGTAGGTAGCAGTAATATAAATATGGAACAATGTTGACTACTAATTGGAATAGTAAAGGGAGCCATTTTACCAAATAAAATTAAAATGTAAGATTCTGCAGTCAGAAACAAAACTTTAAAAACTCCGAACAGTGGTTACCTCTGACAGCATATGGACTGGGAAGGGGCAAAAGGAATGCTTTTTGCATCTCAGCATAGTGAGACCTTGTCTCTACAAACAATAAAGCAGCCAGGAGAATCACCTGAACCTGGCAGGTGGAGGTTGTAGTGAGCTGAGATCGTGCCACTGCATTCCTGCCTGGGCGACAGAGTGAGACTCTGTCTCAAAAAAAAAAAAAAAAAAGCCAGGCATGCTGGTGCAAGTCTGTAGTTCCAGCTACTTGGGAGGCTGAGGCAGGAGGATCACTTGAGCCCAGGAGTTCAAGGCTGCAGAGAGCCATGATCTTGTCACTATATTTCAGCCTGGGCAACAGAGCGAAAACTGGTCTTAAAAAACAAAACAAAACAAAACTTTTTTTAAAGGTTTATTGCTGTTTTGTTTTTCAGCAAAACCAAAAGCTAGTCAGGCTGACGTAGCATTTGACACCTTTTATAAACCTACAGTTTATACTTCTTCCTTCTGTGAAACAATTTGTGGTTTGTTGATTGAGATAGTGAATTTTAACAAATACTTTGTAATGTGCCCTTGCTGTGTTGAGATGAATTCATATAAAATATAACCTTACACCATAAGTTTTTTTAAAAAATCAATGTACTGTTCTCTCTAATATAAAAGAAAAATAAAAGGGAAGTAATTTATAATAAAATTTATTTCAGTATTTAATGATGTGGCACAACTATGCCATAAAGCATAAGATCAAGTGTTTGCATCTATCTGTAAATAGAATCATCGTGTAATTTAGAAAGTATGTCTGCTGCCTATACAGTTGTGTGCATTGTTGACTCATGTTGTGTTGCCATTAGTGGTGTAATTTCTTCCTGAAATTGCAGACAACTCTTAGGAAAGCTCTAAACAAAGAATAATCAATACTTTCTGAGTTGGAAAAGATTTTTTAAAGTCACTTAGTAGTCCAAGCACTCATCTTATTGAATCAAGATATATTCCCTGTTTATCATAATTTCAAAGATCCTTACTTCTGTTGTGTGAATATTATTGCACATGTGATCAGTAGAGTGGGAAGTGTTACTGGGACTCCTAATTTTTTCTTCCAGGTATTGCTTATGGCTTTCAGCTGTGTGATATCTGAAGCGATACTCTTTCTCAATTATTCAAATGATTGGCCTTCATCTTTTTTTAAATGCAGCCTGCAGTAACCAATAGAATACCAGTAGTAACCAGTAGACACATTCTTCCCATCGTGAACGTGAGAGCTATATTTAAGTCTATTCAATGCCTAACTTAATGGCACAATTTTATTGTTCTGTCTAGTACAGTCGTGACTAGCTACAGTTGGCGATTGAGCAGTTGAAATGTACCTTGTGGTCTGTGGCACAGTTGCCATTTCCCGGGTAAGATGTCTGCAGTCTGTGTACTGAGGACCTGGAGCAGGAATGCTGGGCAGCTGATTTGTTTCACTGTTTTCCAACATGTAGTAATGTTCATGTTTTGAAGCCAAATTATGTGTGTTTCTTTGATTATCCTTCATTCAAGTATAGTCATCCACATAACTTTCTGAAAACAATTAATGCTGTATGTGGACAGCTTGTTCAGTTCAGATTCTCAGACACTGAAGAAGGGATTAGAAAAGTAACTGTTAATGTTATGTAAAAGAAGGAGATACAGTGTCTCAGTTTGATAACATCGGTAAAGTTCAAAGTGATAAAGCTTCTGTTACCATCGCTAGTCCTTATGATGGAGTCATTGAAAACTCTAGCATAGTCTAGATGATATTGCCTATGTGGGGAAGCCATTAGTAAACATAGAAACAGAAGCTTTAAAGGGTACTGTTAATTTGTTTTACCAAATTGATTATTGTCCACCTTTTGTCATTGGGTCTCAATTAAAAGTGACCTTTAAAAAAAAAAAAAGAAAAAATGTGCCTTGTATGACAGAACTAAATTTTAAATTTTAAAGTGTGAAAGCTCGGATTCTCAGCTGGGTACTGTGGCTCACACTCGTAATCCCGACACTTTGGGAAGCCAAAGCAGGAGGATCACTTGAGCCCAGGAGTTCAAGACCAGCCTGGGCTATAACATAGTGAGACCTCATCTCTACAAAAAAATAGTAATCATAATTAGCTGGGGTATGGTGGTGTGTGCCTGTAGTCCCAGCTACTTGGGAAGTCAAGTTGGGAAAATCACTTGAGCTTAGGAGGTTGAAGCTGCACTGCATCGAGGCATGATAATGTCACTGCACTCTAGCCTGGGTGACAGAGGGAGACCCTGTCTCAAAAAGAAAAAACTCACAGTTATTGGTCCGTTTTTATGTTTGAAACAACTTAGATATGTGGATCTACTGCAGATTTTGTGAAATGTAAATACAGATCAAATATTTCTAAGGAAAATGAGTAGTTGAATTGGGCCATGCTGTAAGTGTAGTAAACTGGATTTTAAAGACTTGGAATAAAAAAAATTTTTAAGGTAAAATAAGTTTTATTTTGACTACATGTTGAAATGATTTCTTCCCCTTGTAAATGTGGATGCTAAACTTGAATGAAAAAAAACTTCTAAGGGAAAATAAGTTTTATTTTGACTACATGTTTAAATGATTTCTCCCTCTTGTAAATGTGGATACTAAACTTGAATGAAAAAGTTTTTAAGGTAAAATAAGTTTTATTTTGATTACATGTTGAAATGATTTCTTCCCCTTGTAAATGTGAATACTAAACTTTTTTTTGTTATATCAAGGAAGTCTTCCCAAGATATTAAACATTTTAAAATTTTGTATGTCACTTGTATATCTGTTGGACGGTCCTGTGCTAAACCCATAAAAAAGCCAAAGTTGTATAAAACAGGATCTTTTCCCTTAGAATCTACTTCCCATCCCAGATGGTAGATATTTCTAAATGTTTCAACTTGTGGGCCAACAGAAAGTTTATGGCTGTTTATACCTCTGTGTTGAAGGATTTTGAGGCGAATCTGGTTTTTTGGTTAAAGTGTTGCCATTCAGTCACTTGGTCTGCTGTGAAAGGGTAGGGAAGAGATAATTGGAAGTATTCATCTTTCTTGAGCTAGTGCAAGCTATATTCTGCCTCTGTCAGAAACTTGTTCTCCAACTCCAGAGGCTTCTTACCTCAGTCCCCTATAGTGCTGTAGTGAATGCTTGTTCATAAAACTACCTGACACACATCCTTAATTACTTCTTTTGGATAATTTCCTAAGAATGAATTTTCTGGATCAAAAGGTACTGACATTTTTAAAGCTCTGGTGTTTCTTGCCAGTTGACCTCCAAAAAGATAGTAGCAATTTATTCTGTCAGCAATGTATGAGAATGTCCTTCTCTTTCCAAGGGCTAACGAAAGGGAAGGGCACGTGGAAAAACCTCAGGAAAACATATTGTGGCTGACATTTCAGCCATGAATGGTATAAATTTTCTTTGCGATGCGTTCAATACATTTAAATACATTAAAATGATAGAAATAACTAATAGCTTCCTTACAAGTTGTCTTTGAGTAAATATTCACATTTTGCTTTAACTCTACTTTTACTTTGCTGATTAGGTGATAAACGGCATTTCCTTTTTTAAAGATTTGATGATTATTTAGTGAAGTTTGGACATATACCATTTTTACTGGTCATTTTGTGACGTAAGTTGTTTATAACTTACCCAGTTATTAATTGGGATGATGATTGCCTTAACTTCAAATTGTAAAACAAAGATGATATTCTTTAGAGAGTAGGGGTGAGACATTAGGGCCCAGGTCATTTGAAATAAAAATTTTTAGAGGTGAAACTTGGTAAACAAGGATAAGCAAGGAAAATATTTTGTACTTAGGAGCACTTCAAACACTTCTTTTTCCAGAAAATTAGGGTATATTTAAAGGTATGTTTGGGTTCCCCTGCTTCTAGTGTATATAATTTGTTACTTATTTTAAAGGAAACTTACTATAATGCAAAAAGCATTGAACTAAAAGCAACCAAGTTTTAGTTTTATGTACCACAAATGATAGCTAGCAGTAGGGTCACTAATAAAGGTGTTTCAACCTCTGGGCCTTGGTTGTCTTTTAAGGGAATGGCTTGAATCTGAATAGGAATGGCCAAAGATTCTAGCTTGTGTGCCAGTTCTATTTTGTAGGTATCTGGGGAAGCAGAATTAACAGAGATTAAAATAGGACATAAAGAATACATAGAAAACTAAATTTCTCTATTGGATGAACGGTGGGCTCTTCATAGATTGTAGAGGTAGTTCTAATTTCTTATGGAAAGTGATGCTGTCTCTTTTGGATGTGTTGAATTTGAGATTCTTGTAGAGATCACCAGTAACCAGTCAGAAATATTGGCTTGGATTCAGAGATTTGGAAATAAAAACATTAACATTTAGATGGCAGTGAAAGAAAAGCCATAAGCTGGCAAGGAGCTTTCTTAACTGAATATGTGGATGACAGTGGAAACAATTTTCCACAGAATAATTTGATTCTTTTTAGGTTATATTCTTGAGCAGATTGTGCCCATGTGTGTATTTAGCATTAGTAACCGACCATATAATTGCTGAGATTTTTATACCTCTGATACTTGCAGGCATACAGTTTGGAGAGCTGATCCACCCCACCTTCGCTTTTTTCAAAGAAATAGAGTCAGGGTTTTGCCATGTTGCCCAGGCTGGTCTCGAACTCCTGGACTCAAAGGATCTGCCCACTTTGGCTTCCCAAAATGCTGGGATTACAGGCCTGAGCTACCATGCCCAGCCCCTTTTACTTTTAAAATTACTGCCAAACCTCTAGATCAGTAACTGCCAACTAGGGCAACCCCCCACCCCCTCTTCCCAATTATTGGTAATGTCTGAAGACACTTTTGGTTGTCCTAACAGGATGTAGGAGAGTTCTGGCACCCAGTGGGTAAAATCTAGGGATGCTGCTGAGTATTCTGCAGTGTACCAGAAAGGCCCTTTACAACAAAGAATAATGTAGCCCCAAATGCTAATGTTGAGATTGAGAAACCCTGCTGTAAAATCTAGGTAAGATGGAACTTACTAAAAGTAATTTAGTAATTCCCTGAAATAATCTGAGATCCTGCCCTAAGTCTTATAGTTTTATAGAAGAGGTAAGATACAAGAATAAATGTTTGTAGCAGGGCAGAGGTGCCTTGTAAGGACAGAAACGGTAATATAGTTCATATGAGGTAGAAATCTCAGTGGGTGACAGGTTAAGACCTCATGAGCAGTTAGTGTTGAAACTGTGTGATAAATTCTGAATGGGCTTACTTTCAGGTTGAAGGAATTTATTTTCCAGAGGAATCACTCTTTCATGTAATTTACTACAGGGTAAGAGTTTAGAAACATTACTGCTAGCAAAGAAAAAATTACCTCCCTTCTAACCCCTTGACATTTTTAAATCAAAGGACCATTTGATCCTAACTAAAAGATGCTTTGAGTTTTATGCAAATGCACCTTTATCAGTATACGTCAGAAAAATGTTTACCAATAGATCTCTCTCCCTTTTTTTAAAAAGTGACCTTGAGGGGTAAAGGTCATTCCTTTGACAGAAATTGTTGTGACTGATCTTGTGCTACAATGGAAATTAAGAGACATAGGCTTGATTCTGGCTTTATCCATAACTGTCTGTATAACTATAGGTACATTTGTCTCTTGGGGGTTTAGTTTCATCATCTGTAAAATGAAGGGGGAGTAGATCCAGTCCAGATCAAATACTCTGCACAACAAATGAACAGGCAGTTAAAATTATGTGCCAAGGTACTCTTAATACTCACTAAAAGTATAAACAGGCTTTAAGCTTTCTCTATACTTCATTTTCACTTTTTGTTATATAACTTAAAAAGTCACACTTTGAGCCTGGTGTGGTGATGTGGTGCCTGTTGTCCCAATAGCTCAGGAGGCTGAGGCTGGAAGATCACTTAAGCCCAGCAGTTCAAGGCCCCTGGGCAATATAGTGAAACCATCCTTCTTAAAAAAACCACTTTTTACCGAGACCCACTTTTGTGGAGTCATATCCCCATCTTGTGGCCTTTCAGAATATTGCTACTAAATGTTTTTACAATTATGAGCATAATTGGCAATGGGTTGAATAGCTAAAAACATTTGCGTCCATAATATCTGACATCGCTGTGCCAAAATTTAATGTGCATTAACTCATCACACTGCTTGATTTATAGGCCAAGGGTAAAGTTTTCTTACTAGCATAGTCTAACCCAGAAGTTATGTACGTGAAATTATAATCTTGTGGCACAAATTAATAGCCGATGGGAGTCTATAAAGAGGCAGATAAGTAACTGCATTTTTCACATTTAAGGACTTAATATAAAGTATCTGTAGGCACTTTGGCAGTAGCGGTTTCTTATTTACATCACAGTCTGTCCCACTTTTCCTTAGTCTAAAAATTCTGGTATGAAAATGCCTTGGGGTTTGATTGTTATGAATCTGAAAAACAAGAAAAAGCACATCACACCAGTTTACTTGAGCTGAGAGAGTAATTTAGTGTATTTAATAACAACTGTCTTCAATTTTCTACAGGTAGGGCTGTAAACTCTACTGCCAACAGGAACCACATAAAGTAGATCAGTAAAGCAAGAGAAGCTGCAATTTGAGACTTTATGTAAAATCGTTTCATTTAAATATTAGCATCGAACTTAATGTAAAAACCAGAAACAAAAAGGAAAAACTGTGAATCAGGCCAGGCACGGTGGCTTGCGCCTGTAATCCCAGCACTTTCGGGGGCCGAGGTGAGAGACCAGGAATTCGAGACCAGCAGTTGGAGACCAGCCTGGCCAACATGGCGAAACCCTGTCTCTACTAAAAATGCAAAAATTAGCTGGGCATGGTGGCGGGCACCGTAGTCCCAGCTACTCGGTAGGCTGAGGCATGAGAATCGCTTGAACCTGGGAGGCAGAGGTTGCAGTAAGCTGAGATTGAGCCACTGCACTCTAGCCTGAGCTTCTGAGGGAGACTGTCTCAAAAACCAAACAAACAAAAAACCTGTGGGTCAAATAGTTGTGACCACATGGCTGATTTAACTCTTAGGCTGGCAATTTGTGTCTTATATACAGAGTAAAGGTCTTAAACTACTGATAAATTAAGATAGTCTACATTGTTACATCATATTACATTCTTAACAGAAGTAAGCAAACAATTCATGATCCGTTGTGATCATATAGGATAGTTTTTCCAATGACCCGTTCTCTATGCCCATCCTTAGCCCTTGTTTCCCTCAGCAGATTTCTCAGATTTAGGAATTTACGCACATGCCGTGGGAAATTTAATTTAGATGGGTGTTAAATTTGGATGATGATTTACATAACAAGCTTAATTACAAAAGTAAAGCTGCCAAGGTGGAATTTGAGAATCTGAATTTTTAACTGGCAAGATGATTCTGGTATATAACCAGGTTTGGGATCCATTCTTTGATTTTGTAACACTACTCACTCTCCAGGTTTTTTCCTCCCTTCTCTTGAACATTGTTTCTTGGACATCTTTGTAGGTTCCTGTTCTTTTACGTCTAAAATTCAAGTGTTTCTTACATTCTTTTCTTTGACCTTCTTACTACAGACATCCTTGGTAGTCTCATATAGTCCCATAATCAAAGGTTATATGCTATGAATTAGTTATGTTTCAGGAAATAGCTGTCAAAGCAATGTGTTATAAAAGAGAATTCTTTCATTTAAAAAGTCCAAGTGCATTTCCCTTTACTACCTAGTTTTTATTTAACATTAGCATTGCTTCAGTCTCATTGGGTAACATTTAGACTGCATTATATAAATCATTTTTAAAATTGCCCATTCATACCTTAAAAGCGTTTGACACTAGTTTTGATGGAAAAAAAAACTATCAGAACATGTATTTATAGGTGTTTATTCCAAAAGCAAAGATGATAACAGACTGTCTGGACACTGCTGAAATTTGGAAGAGTGATCTGGTACTTAAATGGAAGGCTCACTCATTCAGCTCTCATTCAATTTCTGTTCTATATAAACTGAAGCCTTGTGCAGCTGGGGATTGAGAAATCGTGTTTTAAATGTTTGAAGGTCTTGCCTCCTTTTACTTGTTCATATAGTAAGAAATAAACGAGGAATCATTTACTTTCTACTTTGAGTTTTAGTATCAAAAATAACATGCCTGGAAAGTACTGCAGTTTGTTGTACCTTATATAATGAGTAATGTTTGTATTTTATTTAATTTTTTGTTAGGGATTCTTTTTCAGCTTTTATCTTAGATCCAGGGGGTACATGTACCGGTTTGTTACGTGGGTGTGTTGCATGATGCTGAGGTTTAGTGTACAATTGATCTTGTCACCTGGGTAGTGAGCATGATACCCAGCAGGTAGTTTTTCACCTCTTGCCCCTCCCTCCCTTCTCCCTCTTCTAGTAGTCCCCAGTATCTGTTGTTCCCATCTTTATGTTCATATGTACCCAGTGTTCAGCTCCCACATATAAGTGAGAACATGCAGTATTGAGTGTTCTGTTACTTTAATTTACTTAGGATAATGGCCTCCAGCTGCATCCATATTGCTGCAAAGAATGTGATTTTGTTCTTTTTTATGGTTATGTAGTATTCCATGGTGTATGTGTGGAAATCTTTAAACATTTATGAAATGAAACAGTAGAATGAGCCCCATCAATCAACTACAGTAAGTAGGATCGATTCCCATTTTATTTCATCTTTGTTTGACCTATACTTTTCCCTTTTCCTTTTTTGCTGGGGCACTTCCAAAAGAAACTCTAGATGTAGTATCCTTTTCCAAATCTCTAAATACTTTAATATTTAATATGAATATTTTTTCTGTCTTTTTTTTTTTTTTTTTTTTTTTGGAGACAGAGTCTTGCTCTGTCACCCAGGCTGGAGTGCAGCATCGTGATCTCAGCTCACTGAAACCTCCACCTCCCAGGTTCAAACGATTCTCCTGCCTCAGCCTCCTGAGTAGCTGGGATTACAGGTGTGCGCCACCACACCTGGCTAATTTTTGGTACTTTTAGTAGAGATGGGGTTTCGCCATGTTGGCCAGGCTGGTCTTAAACTCCCTAACTCAGGTGATTCACCTGCCTCAGCCGCCCAAAGTGCTGGGATTACAGGCATGAGCCACCATGCCTGGCCTTTAATATCTTTAATATGAATCTTTAACAGAGAAGGATTTTTTAAACAATTACAATACCTTATATTATCTTATGATCTGATATCCAGTTTGTACTTATTTTCTGTCTTGTAAATGTCTTTTAAAAATAGATTTTTTTTCACATTAGAATCCAGAAAGGTTCACAAATTGCAGTTGGCTGAAATGCCTTATCTCTTACGCTAATAGTTCCTCCACTAATTAAAAAAAAAAATTGAGTAGTTTTAGATTTTTAGAAAAATTGCAAAGATGCTATAAAGAATTCCCAGTTTTCTCATATTACTAACACCTTACATTAGTATGATACCGTGGTAAGAAAATGAAAAGACAAGCTACAATTGAGATTAGTTGCAAAATCATCTGTCTGATAAAGGACTTGTATCCAGAATATATAAAGAACTCTTACAACTCACTAAGACAAGCAATCCAATGTAAAAGCAGGAGTACAAAATTAGTGTAAAAAATTCTAGGTTTATTCTCAGGGCTAAACCATGGGCAAGAGATTTAAAGAGTGATTTTACAAAAAAAAAAAAAAATGGCTAATAGCCATACAAAAACATACTCAACATCATTAGTCAGTAGAGAAATACGTCCAATGAGATATCACATCACACCAGTAGAATGGCTATTAACAGAAAGGCAATAAAAGGTATAGAGAAACTGGAACCCTGATACATTACTGATGGAAATATAAACGTCACAGCCACAGTTTAGAGGTTAAATGTCTGAAATGGGTTTCACTGGGCTAAAATCAAGGTGTTGGCAGACAGAGTGATTTTAAATAGTGTCCTTCAAAAATTATTATCTATCTGGAACCTCAGCATGTGAGCTAAGTTAGAAATAGGGTCTTTGCAGATATAATTGAGTTCATATGAATTAGAGCAGGTCCTGAATGTAATGACTAGCGTCCTTATAAGAAGAGTAAAGGAAACAGACACACCACAAAGACAATGTGAAGATGGAGGTAGGCTGCCCCAAGCGTGGGGCCACCGAAGCTGGAAGGGGCAAGGAAAGATTCCTAGAGTTTTGAGAACATGGCCCTGCTGACAGCTTGATTTTGGACTTCTAGCCTCCTGTACTATAAGAGAATAAGTTTGTTGCTTCAAGCCACTGAGTTTGTGGTAATTTTTAAAGATAGCCCTAGGATACTAATACAGTAGGATTGTGTTTCTCCTAGAGGCCCTTGAGAAGAATCTTTCCTTGGCTCTTCCAGCTTCTATAGGCAACCTGCATTCCTTAGCTCCTGGCTCTTCCTTCATCTTCAAAGCCAGCCATAGAGCATCTTAAAATCTTTTTTGTCTGAATAGTATTCTGTTGTCATATCTCCTCTGTTTATTAAGGACTTATGTGATTATATTAGGCCCGTCTGGATAATCATGGTTGATCTTCACATCTCAAGATCTTAATCACATCTGCAAAGTCTGTTCTTCCATGTAAAGTAAGATATTCAAGATTCCTGGGATTATGACATGTACATCCTTTGGTTGGGGGTGAGGGGCATTATTGTACCTACCACAGACAGTTTTTTTAAAAGCTAAAAATATTTGTCATACAACCTAGCAATCCCACTTCCAGTTATCTACCAGAAAAAAAACTAAGGCGTATGTCCACACGCAGACTTTTATGCAATATTCATAGCAGCATTATAATAGTCAAGATGCACATACAGCCCAAATATCCATCAGCTGGTGAATGAATAAACAAAATGTGGTATAAACTATACCAAAATAGAATACTATTCAGCAATAAAAAGATCAGACTGCTGACGTGTTAAAACAGAGGTGAACGTCAAAATCATGCCACATGAAAGAAGCCTAGTGCAAAAGATCACTTTTCTTGTGTGCTTCCATTTATATTAAATGTCTAGTAAAGGCACATTTGTAGAAAGAGAAAGTAGATTTAGTGGCTGTCTAGGGGTAGGAAAGGGGATTGATTGCGGATGCACCTAAGGAATTTTGAGACTGTAATGAGAATGTTCCAAAACTGAATTGCAATGATAGTTGCACAACTTTATAGTAAAAAAATCACTGAAGTGTGCACTTAAAACATGGCTTTTATGGTATATAAATTATACCTCAAGAAGGCTGCTTAAGGAGAAAGAAATGAGGGGGATTTAAGAAAGAGGGAGTTCATACACCTAAATGTAAAATGTCTAGAGAAAACATAAAAATCTTTGTGATCTTGAGTTAGGCATATTTCTTGAATACAACTCAGAAATAAATCCATGAAATAAATTTGTCAAAATGTAAAACTTTCCCAAAAACAATAAGAAAATGAAAAAAGCCATAGACTGGTAAAAATTCTTTGCAACATACATAACTTACAAATGACAAGTATCCATAATACACCCAAAACTCAAGAAAAACCAGTTTTTAAAAAATTGACAAGAAATCTGAACTAATTAATTTATCAAAGATGATAACATGAATGGCAAAGAAATACATGAAAAGATGCTCACTTCATTTATTATTTAGGGGGATGCAAATTAAAAACCACAATAAATTGTCACTACATACCTGTTAGCATAAATTTTAAAAGTTAACAATGCCAAATGCTGATGAAGATTCAGAACAGTAGAACTCCTATACACTTAAGACCTAGCATTCCCACTCCTAGGTATTTACTAAGAGAAATAAGAACTTATGTTCATACCAAAACTTATATGTAAATGTTTATAGGAATTTTACTTGCAGTTACCTAAAATTGTAAACAACTGCTCTTCAACAAGAGGATAAATTTACAGTACATCCACATAATGGAATACCATTCAGCATTAACAAGGAATGAGCTATTGATATGCACAACACCGGGGTGAGTCTCAGACATTATGCTAAATGAAAGAAACCAAACAAGCAGCTATGTATTTTGTGATTCCATTTATGTGACATTCTTGAAAAGGCAAAACTTTGGGGAACAGAAAAGAGATTTGTGGCTGCTTGGGAGTTGAACTTTAAAGGGTCATGTGGGAGGTTTTGGGAGTAATTAAATTGTATATTTTGGTAATGGTTACATGATTATATGTATTTGTAAAAACTCAGAACTATACACCAAAAAGATGAATTTAATTTTATGTAAGCTTTAAAAAGTTTTTTTTTTTCTTTTTTTTTTCCGAAAGCCAAGGAATCAATCAAAACTGATGCCCATAAAAGGCAGGAAAATGAAGAACAGTTAATACTTGGTACAAATAGAAAATTGCAAGCTGATGGACTTGAATCAACTAAATCAGTAATTCAATAATTACATTAAATCTTTTTTTGAACAGTCTCACTCTGTCACTCAGGCTGGAGTGCAGTGGTGGCGATCTCGGCTCACTGCAACCTCTGCCCTTGGGTTCAAGCAATTCTCCTGCCTCAGCCTCTCAAGTAGCTGGGACTAAAGGCACGCGCCACCACACCTGGCTAATTTTTTGTATTTTTAGTAGAGACAGGGTTTCACCATGTTGGCCAGGCCAGTGTTGAACTCCTGGCTTCAAGTGATCCACCCGAGTCAGCCTTCCAAAGTGCTGGGATTGCAGGTGTGAGCCACTGTGCCTGGCCCATTAAATCTTAATGGACCAGATACTCCAATTGTCAGATTAAAAGAATAAGATCCAACTATATGCTATTTACACACACTTTAAATATAAGGACACAAGGAAAAGTAAAAAGAAAAAGGTAAAAGATAGAACATGAAACTTTGATTTGAAGGAAGCTGTAAAGCCAGGCCTGGTGGCTCATCCCTGTAATCCCAGCACTTTGGGAGGCTGAGGCAGGTGGATTGCTTGAGTTCAGGAGTTCAAGACCAGCCTGAGCAACATGGTGAAATCCTGTCTCTACCAAAAATACAAAAACAAAACAAAACAAAAATAGCTGAAAGTGGTGGCATGCATTTGAGGTCTCAGCTACTTGGAAGGCTGAGGCAGGAGGATCCCCTGAGCCCGTAGGCGGAGCTTGCAGCAAGCCAAGACTGTGCTACTGCACTCTAGCCTGGGCAACAGAGTTGAGACCCTCATCTCAAAAAAAAAAAAAGAAAGAAAGAAAACTGCGTATTAATGAACAAAGTAGACTTTAAAACAAGGAGTATTGCCAGCAAAAAGGATATTTCAAAATGATAAAAGCGTCAAATTATCAACAGTAGTCCTAAATATTTGTGCACTTTCTAATTTGAAAATACCTGAAGCTTTCTTTTATTGATTGAATGAAACAGCAGAAAGGAAGAAACACTTCCAAACTTTCTTTGAGGCCAAGATAACCCTGATAAGAAAACATATCAAGAATATTACAAGGGCTGGGTGCAGTGGCTCACGCCTATAATCCCAACACTTTGGGAGGCCAGGGTGGGCGAGCCTATCACTTGAGGCCATAATTTCAAGACCAGCCTGGCCAACATGGTGAAACCCCATCTCTACTAAAAATACAAAAATTAGTTAGGAGTGGTGGCACATGCTTGTAATGACAGCTGTTTAGGAGGCTGAGGCAGGAGGATTGCTTGAACCCAGGATGCGGAGGTTGCAATAAGCTGAGATTGCACCGCTACACTCCAGCCTGAGCAACAGAGGGAGACTCCGTCTCAAAAAAAAAAAAAAAGAAAAGGAAAAAAGTGTATCAAGAGTAAGCCTTTTTGAGATACCATGTGAACAAAGACTTGGAGTTAACATATACTGCAGCCAAGGATGGAGAGGCCATCAATTGACAGGAAAAACTGCAAGCAAAGCAGATTTTGGAACAAAGATTTGAAATTGTTTGCAGTATGTTCACTTTGAAGTGTCTGCTGGAGATTGCTTGGATCTAGGAATGTAGAGTTCAGGAGTGAACTATAGGCTAGAGACAGAAATTTGGAAATTGGCAGCATTAAAGCCACACAACTACAAGATTGAATGAGATCACCAAGAGAATAATTATAGAGAAGATAACCAAATGCGTCCATATACGAGGCCGTCATAAAATTGGTTCTTTTTCAGCTTCCGCATTTATACACAAGCATACTTGATGTTTTAGCCATATCAAACTGACTGATTTTCGGACTACATCACTGCTGTTTTGTTCATGTTTTATTAGACTGCATCTCTTGCCCTTCCACAGGATAAGCTAGTCGTTCTTCAAAATGTTTCCCATTGTCACCTTCATTCTAGTATTATTTTTGTACTATATGTACATACACTGTTAGTAGCACATTGTATATACCTGTCTTTCCTACCAGATGTAAACACCTTTGCATTCCAGATGCATAACACATAGATACTCAAATATTTATTGAAATATAATTGATTTATGCTTTAGGCAACTCTATTATGTTCATAAGAACTTTAGAAAAATTTAGATTGACAGAATTTTTTAAATCTCCATTAGGTTAGTTTTTTAATAGAGAATTTGGACTTTTAACTTAATTTTTTATAGGTTATTCTAACTAAAACCTTTTTGGTTGTTTACATTCAAGTAATGTTATTTTCTTGACATGTCTACATATCCCTTATGCTTATGCCTTTTTTTTTTTTTAACTCCGTGTTCCTTGCTAACTTATATTTACAAGTTGATTATAGTACTTTGATATATTTAGAAAATCCATGTCTTAAAATAATTTGGAGCTAAGTGATCAGGATTACAGAAGTATTCCATTTCAGTCAGACATATCATGTTAATGAGAGTTAAACTATATTTGAAGCTCAGTTTTGCTGACAAGGTTACATTAAGTGAACATTTTGAAATTTTTCTAGCATATTTGTTTCTTGCAAAAATCAAATTAATTTCTCAAAAACAGCTTAATTTTTCCAACAGCTACCAAACAATACTTAAATCTCAAATTTGTTTAAAGCGTGTATATACATATATATAACGCGCATAGAAAAATATTGGAAGACTATCAGCAAACTTATTTCTGGCCATATTATTGCAGGATATTTTCCCTTTCTACGTCATTTCTATGGTGTGCTTTAAAAAAAAAAAAGGCATGTATTTTTTTAATTAGTTAGGGGAAGATTAAGCTGCCTATTTCCTAATGGTTCAATATTGTTTTCTCTATTTAGGCTTTATCTGGCCACCCTAATGGAAACTTTTTTTAGTAGTTAACTTTTATTAGACTCATTGTAGCACAGTGCACTATAACCACTTTTTCTTCTTGTATGAAGTCAAGAAATACCTGGTATTATTCTTTGAAAACTGTAAGTATGCTTGAAGCCTAGTTACTACCTACAAATGATTCCTAAAGTTTTAAAAACCTCAAGTTCTTTCATTTATACTTTAGAAGCTTGACTTTGTAGGTTCTTAAGTTACTATTATTGTTGATACTTCAACTTCATAATGTAATTTTAAATCACTTTTTAAATACTAAGACTTTTTTTTAAATGAGATGCTCTAAATTAATACAAACTGTATATAAAAAAATTACTACACCCAACTTGTGGCACTATGGTAAGTTAAACAGGAGACAGTGTAGGTAAGATGTGATCCCTGTCAGCTACTGCATTTTTAAAGGATCCTATATTTTGGCCAGGCACAGTGGCTCACGCCTGTAGGCCCAGCACTTTGGTAGGCCAAGGTGGGCGGATCACTTGAGCTCAGGAACTGTAGACCAGCCTGGGCAACATGGTGAAACCCTGTCTCTACAAAAAATTCAAAAATCAGCTGGGCGTGGTGGCATGTGCCTTCCTCAGCTACTCGTTAGGCTGAGGTGGGAAGATCACTTGAGCCTGAGAAGCGGAGGCTGCTGTGACCTGTAATTATGCCTGGGCAACAGAGCAACCCTGTCTCAAAAAAAGAAAAATAAAGGATTCTATAGTTTACAGGATAACAGTATCCACAGATTTTTCTTTCTTTCTTTCTTTTTTTTTTTTTTGAGGCGGAGTCTTGCTCTCTCGCCCAGGCTGGAGTACAGTGGTGCGATCTTGGCTCACTGCAACCTCTGCCTCCTGGGTTCCAGTGATTCTTCTGCCTCAGCCTCCCGGGTAGCTGTGACTACAGGCACGTGCCACCACACCGGGCTAATTTTTGTATTTTTAGTAGAGACAGAGTTTCACCATATTGGCCAGGCTGGTCTCAAACTCTTGACCTTATGATCTGCCCACCTTGGCCTCCCAATTTTTTTTTTTTTTTATGTGAATGGTAGATAGTGGGGAAAGTGAGCCCAGTAGATTTTAGTCAGAAAAGTGTTATGAAGAGGGGGAGTTCTGTGAATGAGATGTAATCTACTTAAAGAAAACATGAATTTCATACAGGGAATTCATTATAGTTGTCAAATACTTGGGATGAGAAAAGACTATACTTAAGTGACTAGAAGTTGGAAGAGACTATAACAAGAAAATGTCTATTTTTTTATTTTTACTTTTTTAAACTTCCTATGGTGCTGAGGGGTTTTTTAAATATATAAATCTCTTACCCTTTTACTAACATGTTTGTTTATTTAATCTGTGTGGTTGCTAAGAAACTATGTTCAGATTTTAGGAAGACATACAAGACATGAAAAGATCATTGGTTGCAACAAATAATACAGATTAGTGGTATAAAAAATAATCAAGGCAGGAAGGATAAAGTTCCAAATGAGCTAAGCCTTTCAAAACTGCTAAGTATGACAGAAACGATGCTTTATGCTGTCTTTTGTGTTCTTCATACAGACTACTTAAATAGGGGGTAAAAGTCTCTTGTTTTTGCCTCTAACTCCTTACCAAGTAGAATGTTCTCCAAACTGGGCATTATAGAGTAATACATCTTAGAGAACTTTGTACTATAAGATAAAATATTACATCATATTCCTCTCCAGATAAATCAAATTTAGAAATTTCTTTTTTTATCTGTAATTATTGCTGTTTTTTGTTTTGTTTTTGAGACAGTCTGTCACCCAGGCTGGAATGCAATGGTACACAATCATAGCTTACTGCAGCCTCGACCTTCCAGGCTCAAGCAGTCCTCTCACTTCAGCCTTCTAAGTAGCTGGGACCATAGGTGCACGCCACCACACCTGGTTAAGTTTTTTTAAAAAAATTTCTTACAAAGTTTTGCTATATGCCCAGGTTGGTCTTGAACTCCAGGGCTCAAAGGATCCTCTCACCCCGGTCTCCCAAAGTGCTGGGATTACAGGCCTTCATGCCCAGCTGTTTTTTTTTGTTTCTGTTTTTGTTTTTTTGCATTTTAATCTAAATTTTAACATTTCAAAATACAGTTTTTAAAATTACAATTTCTACTACAAATTAAAATCCTTTCAAGCATGTTTTTGTATATGTTAACAAAAGTCCGTTGTTAAATATAGTTGAAATGTGCTTTTTCTCTACAAAACACAATATGCTACAACATCTTTTTGGGCAAATAATACGGATGGAGCAAAAAAATTGTAGAATGCTGTCAGGTTTGCCTTATCACATTTGATCCACCTTTAACAGTATTGAAGTTCACTTCAGCTATTAAAAATTCTTTGTTTACAGCTCTGCAGGCAGAATACCTTTGATACTTTGTTAGAAATTGGAACTGAAAATTTTTCGCTTTAATCTTTTCCATGGACCCAATTGTTTTGATTACAAGTGGTTTCTTAGGAATGCTCCTTTTATTAGTCCTTTCTCATGCTGCTAATAAAGACATACCCGAGACTGGGTAATTTATAAAGGAAAGAGGTTTAATTGACTCACAGTTGCGCAGGGATAGGGAGGTCTCAGGAAACCTATAAACATGGTGGAAGGGGAAGCAAACACATCATTCTTCACATGGTGGCAGGAAGGAGAAATGAGAGCGAAGTGAAGGAAAGCCTCCTTATAAAACCATCAGATCTTGTGAGAACTCACTATCACGAGAACAGCATGAGGGCAACCGCCCCCATGATTCGCCGGGTCCCTCTCACAACATGGGAATTATGGGAACTACAAGATGAAATTTGGATGGGGACACAGCCAAACCATATCACTCCTGTTGCTTTCTTAATGGATAGTTTTCATCCTGGGGTGATTTTCAAGATGGTGGATTCCTTTGTTTCGTTTCCAGCAACTCTGGTTCTGAAAATGGGGTATGTGTATCCAGGAATGTGAATTTTGCATATCACCTCTGTGACTCTGATGTAGGTAGTTCATAGACCACGGTTTTCATGAATAGAATGTGCATGGTATTGCATACCTCCATTGTTTTCTTAGAATAAATTACTAGAAGTAATAAGATACTTGGGCAAAGGAACTGTAATTTTACCAGAAATAGGTGTATCTAAATTTTTCTGAACTATGAACTACAAGGAAAATTTTGACACTTGCAGAATGTTATTCTGGCCTTTGTAGTAGTCGTTGTGTACCATATTTGTCCCTGAATGTATGTAATTATATGAAAGCTATGAGTAGAATTTGTATTGAATGACTGTCAAAATTTGCTTATAAATGATAATTTGCTTATAAATCAACTCTGAAAGAGTTGGATTTATCAATCATGTAAAAAAGACTTGGTACCCCTTTCATATGTTCATATTAACAAATGGGGCTAATTATGTTTTATTGAGTACATTTTGATTTGTTCCAGTAGCCGGATCGAGCTGGGAGATGTGACACCACACAATATTAAACAGTTGAAAAGATTGAATCAGGTCATCTTTCCAGTCAGCTACAATGACAAGTTCTACAAGGATGTGCTGGAGGTTGGCGAGCTAGCAAAACTTGGTATAATATAGTTTTTTTTTTGTCCTCCCTTCTTTTCTTTCTTTTTGTTCTTGAACCCTAGTTTTTTATAGAGCAGAAGAAGTTAACTAATTTAGTTTGTTTATTTTATAAGTGAGGAAATGGGAGTGGTCTAGGTTGTGAGAAAAATCTCAGAGAAATCAGTTGAATAAAACAGTTGAATTTTAAAAAGAAATGCTTAGTGTTCTTAGTGTATACCTGTGTGTTTTCACTTTAAGCTATACTCTAGAGGAGGCTTAAACTTCCTAAGATGGCATAAGAGCTTTGAGATCATTGATATTCATGAAATAGTTGATGAAATTTAATGTTGATAGGAACAGTGTAGTCCTTTAAAAGGGAAAAAGATTAAATGTGTTATTCTGTCTGTTCAACATTATATCTTTATGTTTTCCTTGGCAGCCTATTTCAATGATATTGCTGTAGGTGCAGTATGCTGTAGGGTGGATCATTCACAGAATCAGAAGAGACTTTACATCATGACACTAGGATGTCTGGCACCTTACCGAAGGCTAGGAATAGGTAAAAAATTGTGGTTTTTTTACTTCTTCAGAGAAGCATAAACATATTATTTGTTAATGTGTCTGACCTAGTAAGTTAATTTGGGTCTTTTTAAGGAATACTGAGAAAGGGTTACTGAATTATGTAAAATATGGTGAAAAATAACTAGTGTTTATTAACATAATTCTATTGGAAGCCCTACATAGATTTGCTGTTTACGTCCCCTTCTGCTTTTTCTGTTTTTCTTCTACCCGGAAGTGCTTGTTTAAAAAGGTTAGTCTTCTGCTAACAGTTTTAAACATACGTAGCTATTGTAGAGAGAGAACACAACTTTGGAAAATAAGGATATCTAGTGTATACCTCATAAATTCTTTTAGGACTCAATAAGTAGTTCAGATGGCAAGTGGATAGATACATAATTTAAAGGTTGATTTATGAAGTCACGTGTTTGTTATTTATTTTATTAACAGGAACTAAAATGTTAAATCATGTCTTAAACATCTGTGAAAAAGATGGTACTTTTGACAACATTTATCTGTAAGTAAAATAATATTTAATGTTCTTATCAAAGGGGTTTAATTGGCAGGAGAAATCTTTACTAGAAACTTTAAAATCTGGTCACTTATTGTGCCTTTGGAAACACTGTGGAAGTAGTTGTTACAAAGTATTCGAGTAGTTGTTAGTTTTGTTTAGTTTTGTTTTATTAATAATAGTAGATTAGGAACCTGAGATAGAACACATTGCTTTATTATATTAGGATGAGAGCACCAAAGTCACAGGGATGAAATCAGGATTAAAACTCAGGCCTTCAGAATTCAAGACTATTAATACTACTTTTCTCATGCAAAACCTTGTGTGTTTTGTTCAAGGCTATGTTGATAGCTTTGAACATTGTAGTAGATCATTTGTAGTAGAGTTTAATAATCAAAATCAGAGATTACCTAGCTGAGATTGTACTTGAATCTCAAGAGGCTGTAGATAAAGAGTTATGACTAAGATCACAGTCATGGATGTTCATAATTTAGTTTGGCCATGTGAGAGATTGAATTATACAGTGTTATTTTGGGAGTAATTGAGAAAGCTTGCGTTTTTAATTTTTAAAACATACCATGTATTTTATCAATCAGAAGGAAGATATATCTTCAAGCTTTGAGACCCTAGTTTTTTATTTTTCATCATTTTTTTTCTGTGTGTTAATAGGGCCTTTTAATAATTTATCCTCTTACAGTGAAAAAATTTTGATAGCTGTGGTACTTTTCCCTTTGTTGACTACAAGAATAAACACTGAGCCTTCTAATCTCAGCCAGCTGTCTTACAAATGTAAAAATTAGATTAAAAGTGTAAAATTGTCATCAAAAGGTTTTAGGTAAGCATGCCTAACCCTTGTTGATTACTGGTAGTTGTAAAGAGAATGTAACAGATGTTTGGAGCTATCTGTGGAGAATGCTTAAAACTTGATGAAACCTTAATTTTAATTTTTTTTCTGATACTCTCTTATATCTCAGGCATGTCCAGATCAGCAATGAGTCGGCAATTGACTTCTACAGGAAGTTTGGCTTTGAGATTATTGAGACAAAGAAGAACTACTATAAGAGGATAGAGCCCGCAGATGCTCATGTGCTGCAGAAAAACCTCAAAGTTCCTTCTGGTCAGAATGCAGATGTGCAAAAGACAGACAACTGAACAAATTACAAATGAACTTTCTTGCACTTGCTTGTCGCCAAATAAAAGAGAGGCCCATTGATTCCTCCCCCACCCCAACACTTTTCTTTTAAAGCTTTTCTCCCTCCTTGTTCTTGTTTTTCTTTCTTCCTTTCCTTTTCTCTGAGAGTTTTAATACTTTCAAGGACTTTAAAAAAATAATCATGTTTGAATTGTTTTCTCTTATTTTTGTGAGGTGGTTTGAAGGAAGGACAAGGTAGATCTGTTTAGTTTTGCAGTTGAAGTTAGATGGTCCTAAACATTTAATTGTCAAATAATTTCAAATTTAATGTCCTGCTTTCACATTGAAGGGCAGAGCCTACAAAACATTGTATATTTCAAAAGACAAAAAGAAGCAGCAGCAGTATCTTGTTCTCTAATTCATAGACAAGTTGAGTGTGTTTGTGGTACTTTGGGTTTTTAAACACTTTGGGATACTAATCCCTAGACATTGCCTTCACTCCACCTTTAGTCCTTCTGAGCACTCTCTCGGGAGTTGGAACATTGTTATCCTTGTAAGAAATACTAAGCTTATGTTGATTTTTAAGTAATTATATCTTCTCTTCTTGCTGGTGGGTGGGGCAGTTTGGTTTAGTGTTATACTTTGGTCTAAGTATTTGAGTTAAACTGCTTTTTTGCTAATGAGTGGGCTGGTTGTTAGCAGGTTTGTTTTTCCTGCTGTTGATTGTTACTAGTGGCATTAACTTTTAGAATTTGGGCTGGTGAGATTAATTTTTTTTAATATCCCAGCTAGAGATATGGCCTTTAACTGACCTAAAGAGGTGTGTTGTGATTTAATTTTTTCCCGTTCCTTTTTCTTCAGTAAACCCAACAATAGTCTAACCTTAAAAATTGAGTTGATGTCCTTATAGGTCACTACCCCTAAATAAACCTGAAGCAGGTGTTTTCTCTTGGACATACTAAAAAATACCTAAAAGGAAGCTTAGATGGGCTGTGACACAAAAAATTCAATTACTGTCATCTAATGCCAGCTGTTAAAAGTGTGGCCACTGAGCATTTGATTTTATAGGAAAAAATAGTATTTTTGAGAATAACATAGCTGTGCTATTGCACATCTGTTGGAGGACATCCCAGATTTGCTTATACTCAGTGCCTGTGATATTGAGTTTAAGGATTTGAGGCAGGGGTAATTATTAAACATATTGCTTCTATTCTTGGAAAAATAGAAGTGTAAAATGTTAATAATACAAATGTCACTGTGACCTCCTCCACTGAGAGGACTGGTTTATGCCAGATCATTTTCCGGCACACACGGAGTGGCTTTGACAGATTGATAACTTTGTAAGATGGGAGACATCTGAAATATTCATGTTTTCCTTTTGTAGTCCCATCTCCACTATTTAGAAATGTTCTCAGACTTTAAAATAATGCACAGGGCTTGAGCTTTCTGTCATTTGACTTTAAAAGGAAGTTTCATTCATATTTATCCTCTTATGTAAAATTGCGGTATAAAGTCTCATTTCCAAATATGTTAAATGACAAAATTATTTTATAAAATGTTTATGCACACTTTATAACCTTAAGTTTTTATTTGAGAATGTGAAAGTACAAAGTGCAGTAGACTTCAACAATCTTGAGTGCCAAGAATAATACAGAAAAAGAAGACAGTTGATGAATGAGTTTATAGGGTTCTAATCTTAAGATGGTAAAAATGTAGAAAGACCTTGCTGGTTTTTTGGGGGTATTCGTTTCTTAAACAATCCAAATCTAAGCTTAGAAGAAAAGTTTAGCGTTAAGCACCTTTATCTTCATGAATAAGCTTCAGCTTGCTCTTGGCAAGAGAAGAGTGCTTGAGTTACAGAAGGCATAAGTAGTTTGAAGAATGCAGCAGCCTTTTTGTAAACTTCCCAGATATCAAAATAGACTTTGATATATAAATGGTTTTCTGAGATGACACTGCCTCTATTTCTATAACCATTTCACCTGGACTATCTAATCAGTCCTATGAATGTATCCCTAAATGTGGTTATTGAAAACCTAATAGCTGCCTCATGACAAGTACATGTTATTTAAGGAGGAAAAAATATTAAATTTTGAATTGAGTGTGTAGGCTCCCTATCATTATATATAGAGTTTCTTTTTCCACGGTAGTCAGTGACTTAACCTGAATTGTAAATGTTTGTAAAGGGTTAATTGTCCTACATCAAACTTAGTTAAATAATTCCATCCACTTATGGAGGAGGAGGAGAATGTGGAAGAGGTAAAAAGCTGGGCACAAGTTCATATGCCTATGAGTCAGTAAAGACTGAAGTAATGTCCTATGTTGAGCTGGTTATTTTGATATATGATAATAATTATCTTTGAAGTAGAACAATTCTGTTAACTGGAAAATCACAGGATATATCCATCATATTTTTCAGGACAGATAGTTTTTACTGTGGGGCAAATAGGTTAAAATTACACTATGTTAGTTGCATTTAGGTTTTAAAGCAAAGAATCTGTAGAGAAATCTATGCAATATATAGTTTGTCCAGATTAGCTTTCATTTGGGGAATGAAGTTCTGAAATATCTAAAGCAGTTTACTCATCAATTGAAAAGTCCTCCAAAAAGAGAACTATTGGGAAACCATGGTGTGGTGGTGGAAAAGAAAAGCTCCCTCAGTTTTTTGGAGGGAATAACTTAAAAAAATACTTAAATGGCTAAGTTTACTTGGTGCAGTTAAGAATTAAACTTGTCAATTTTAACATTGCTGTTACATCTGAAATAAACTTATGTGATGTTCTGGTAGTGATCTGTGATATCTGTAAATGTCAAAACTGTATTGTTGAATTCTGCAGCCAGCAACCGTACATACTCATTGTGTAGTGTTTCCCTTACTGCTTTTATTTACTTTCACATTTAAGATCTAATTTTAAAATCATTAAAATAGGCCAAGTGTAATTAAGGCATCCTAATTCAGATCTTCTGTGACTTGCTAGGTACAGTGCCCAATATCTACAATTCAGTTCCAATGAGAGGGAAAAAGTAAGATCCAAGGAACTGTCTTGCTGCTGTATTTTTAATGTAATTATTAGAAATACTTGACACTTTAGGCTGCAATCTAGTTAGTAATGTTTATTGGCTACAGACAACATATTCAGGTGTTTTGTTTTTCTTCCTTGTAAGGAAGGAGTACGGTAGTTCAATGAGTTGGGAATTGGCTTTTAAGCTTTTTATCAAACATGAATTTAAGATTTTTTCTTTAACAGAATTCAGTATTTAATATTTCTAGTCAAAATTGTTATAATTAGATTTTTGCTTTTTTCATTTAAGAAGCAATGAGTGATCCTTGTCTAGTGTGTCTCAGTTATTACTGTAGTTTAAAACAACAAACAAGTATTACCTTCCACAGTTCTGGATCAGGAATCTAGGAGCTGCTTAACTGGGTGGTTCTGTCTTGAGATCTCAGAAGGTTGCAGTCAAGCTGTTAGCCAGGACTGTACCATCTTGAAGCTTGACAAGGCTAGAGGAGCCATTTCCAAGATGTCTTGCTTACGTGGCTCTTGGGCTTCTGTTCCTCACTGTGTGGGTATCACACACAGTGCCTGATGCTCACGTGGCTCTTGGGCTTCAGTTCCTTGGGCACCAGTTGCCTGGTGGACAACTGGTATGTGGCTTCCCCTAGAGCAGGTGATATAAGAAAGTGAGCAGAAACCATACTTTTTTATGACGTAGCCTCAGGTGACATTATTTCTGCCATATTCCATGAGTCACACAGACCAACCATTGAATCAGCTTGGTATAGTGTGGGAGGGGACTGCACAAGGATGTGAATACTGGGAGGTGGATATCATTGGGCCCTCTAGGAGACTGGCTATCACTGCTCAGAGAAGATGCTGGGCTTCGTTGACTCCCAAGGTCAGGGTAGTTTTGGTTAGGTTGTGTTTTATTAGTCTCTAAAAGGAGTAGTTTTCTAAATGAGGGTTATAAAGCACTGCACTTTACAGTTATTCGGGATATAAAAGAAATAGTGGGTCTAAAGGCTGTGCTCTTGTGGTTGGGTTTTCAGTGGGGAGGGGAGACTAGTCTGTCTCAGACTGATGCTGTTCTCACTGATTTGAATATTTCTGGGAAATTGGATACTACAGTCACAAATAGGAACAGTAAGCCTATAGAAGTTTTTCAGGGAGTAAATATTTTCTATGGCAGTGTCCTGAATTGGTTCTCCCTTGCAAGACTGAACTGTAGGAACTTAGTCCTAGTTTATGATACAGCCAAGTAACATAGTCACATGGGAAAAAGAGCTTGAGTCAGATTTCTTAATGTGTGTTGTTAACTTGGTAGAACATTGAGAATTATTTAAGTCAGAGAACGATCTGTTACTGGGGCAGAAATTCTCAACCTTTTCAGTTCTCCAAAATTTAAGATACTTGATTTCTTAGGTAAAATGTTTTTGTTTTTGTTTTGGAGACAGAGTCTCGCTCTGTCGCCCAGGCTGGAGTGCAGTGGCGCGATCTTGGCTCACTGCAAACTCCGCCTCCCAGATTCAAGCAATTCTGCCTGAGCCTCCCAAGTAGCTGCGACTAGAAAGCGCATGCCACCACGCCTGGCTAATTTTTTGTATTTTAGTAGAGATGGGGGTTTCACCGTGTTGCCCAGGCTGGTCTCAAACTCCTGAGCTTAGGCAATCCTCCTGGGGCAGCCTCCCAAAGTGCTAGGATTACAGGCGAGCCATGGCGCCTGGCCAGTAAAATGTTTTCTATCTAGAATGAATCAAGGTATTTTCCTTGCTCAGTAGCTTCTAGAATAAGAAAAAAATAGCAGCAAGATCTGATTCAGAAATAGTTGGGAGCAGAAAGTTAATATGAAGGAGTTGCTACTTGTTAACAGCCTAGAGTTGAGATCTAGAAGAATTATTACCTTTTTAAATTTGTGATGAAAGCTTAAATCCAGCATTTGGGAAGTTACTCTATTGGCTGAACTATTTTGGAGTTTGTAAGCTTTGTATTAGATATTCCTGATTTAACTGAAACTAATTTGCCACATAGCTTTAATTTCATCCCAGTTTTACTTGTTTTACTGTCCTCAAAAACTCAAGACATCTGAACTCAAAGGATCTAAGCAGTATAAATTAAAGCACATGTTGAATCACTGTAGCTTTCGTAGGACATCTGATTATAATGCTTTTCTTTGTTTCTTTGTCCATACTGAACTTGTCTAGTTTATCTTTGAGAAACATTTGCTAGTATCAAAAATCTTCTGTAAAGATTTGAACAATCTTGAATTCTCCTTGTCACTAGCCATCTCTTCCCCTAAAGTATAATAAAACTGTCAGGTACTATATGTGTAATTGCTTATGCAGGTGAAATTTGAATACACAAACAGTAAATCCCAGTTCTCTTAGTAAGATGAAGGCTTTGTTATAGCACCTTTAAAACAATTTTATAACATCCTTCATTCTTATCACTTTCCTAAGTAAGAAACGATCTTCCTTTAGTGGATATAAAAGTTGTACATTGTTTCTGCAGATTTACTGGGTGCCTACTATTCTGAACTCTAGGGATACAGCAGTGAGCAAGGCAAAAAATATCTGTGACTTCTTTAAATAAAGGTAAGTAAAATTCTAGTTTAAGCAGAATTCATGTCTAAGTGCAGGTCATCCTATTTACTAAAATGAATCAGCTCCTTCAAGGATCTTGATTTTACCTTAATTTTGAATTCCCTACATTGACTTGTTTTCTCTAACATTGGCTCCAGTACAAACAAAAAGCCTTAATTCCCATAGGAGAACTGAGACTTACAAGTGGGAAAGGGAGTGCAAAACAGATACAAGTTCAGAATTTATACAGCAGAAACAATCTAACATTGTAGAGGTTCTTTTTTTTTTTTTCTTTTTCTTTTTGAGACGGAGTCTTTCATTCTATCACCCAGGATGGAGCACAGTGGCGCAATCTCGGCTCACTGCAATCTCCGCCACCTAGATTCAAGCAATTCTGTCTCGGCCTCCTGAGTAGCTGGGATTACAGACAGGCACCACCATGCCCAGCTATTTTTTGTACTTTTAGTGGAGACGGGGTTTCACCATGTTGACCGGCCTCTTCTCGAACTTCTGGCCTCAGGTGATCCTCCCACCTCGGCCTCCCAAAGTGCTGGGATTACAGGCGTGAGCCACTGTGCCCAACCTAACATTGTAGAGGTTCTGATTCCATCATACGTAGCTTGTGTCCCTGGACTCAATGTAGCTTATCTCATTCTAAATGGCCTTTTTCATGCTACAGTTTAAAAACAGACTAGCTCCGCTCTGGTGACAGCTAGAGATCATATCATCAGACAAATGAGTGACCTACTTCACAACTTGACCTTTTGCATCAGGATCCAAAGAGTAAATTCTTTCCTTCATCATTTTAGTTTCTGATTAACAGTTCTTCCCCAGATGATGTACTAGGGGGACTTGATTCAGTTTGTTTTACATATAAGCAAATCTGTATGACCTTGGTTACAATTATCTGCAAGTTTCCTGATTGTCTTACTTGCTTTGTTATAGTTACAACAGTGCTAACTCCTTCAAGTGTAACTTCCACAACTGCTCAGTACCTACTAGCTTGGTCTTTTCTTGCCAAACCTTTCTTCCCTACATAGAATTGTCTAGAGTCCCTTCACAGCAAATGGAAGTTTAGCCTATATAATGTACCCTGGGACAAGTTTAGAATGTGGATTATCACCAATCATTGACATTTAAAAAAAAAACAACAACAACAAAAGGTGCTCCTTGTAACTTGCAGGGCATAGTACACTGCCTTATGTGAAATTTGGTCATGGAATGTACTCATAAGAGATAAGTGCTGACAGTTAAAAAGATGAGTATGGCCCTTCCCTGGAGATGCTTAACAGTCTAGTAGAAAATAAACATAACATTTTTTTCAATTCCCATGAGATACTATGTTGGCATGAGAGGCATATTTTTACAGAATTTTGAAGACGACTTATTTAAATTAGTTTTGAGTTTTGGTTCTATTACTACAAACAAAATGAGTAATTATTGTGTCATATGGTTATTTAGACATCTAAGAGTGAACAAAAATGATAAGTGTGCTTAGAGAATTAAATATCTCCACTGAGGCATGGTAGCACCACAGGAAAGATGTGTCCCGTAGCAGATATGAGATAACTTAGCTATTGGAAATAATCTAGGACTAAAGTAATTGATCAAAACAAAAACTGGGGGGAAATAACTGAACATGTAGCCCAACTCCAGAGCTTTGCAAATTTATAAGCTTAAGTGGTGGCTCACGCCTGTAGTCCCAGCACTTTGGGAGGCTGAGGCGGGTGGATCATGAGGTCAGGAGATCGAGACCATCCTGGCTAACACGGTGAAACCCCGTCTCTACTAAAAATACAAAAAATTGGCCGGGCGCAGTGGCAGGCACCTGTAGTCCCAGCTACTCGGGAGGCTGAGGCAGGAGAATGGCGTGAACCCTGGAAGCGGTGTTTGCAGTGAGCAGAAATTGCACCACTGCACTCCAGCCTGGGGAACAAAGCAAGACTCCGTCTCAAAAGGAAAAAAAAATATATGGTCAGATTTAACGTATGCATTTAAAAGGACAAAAATTCTGCATTAAGAACTTGGGAGAGGGGTTAAAAAAACTCAAATTTAACTGTTTAAAGAGCTCCTAAGAAAAGCATTGCGATATTTTGATAAAAGATCAAAAACATTCTAATAGACAATTTTTTAAAATATGGCTTTACTTTTGCCTAATGTTGCATTGGGTTCATTCATTACAATAAAACTTATTGGCCGGACACGGTGGTTCACGCCTGTAATCCCAGCACTTTGGGAGTCTGAGGCAGGTGGATCACCTGAGGTCGTGGGTTCGAGACCAGCCTAACCAACGTGGAGAAGCCCCGCCTCTACTAGAAATACAAAATTAGACGGGCATGGTGGCACATGCCTGTAATCCCAGCTACTTGGGAGGCTAAGGCAGGAGAACTGCTTGAACCCAGGAAGCAGAGGTTGCACTCCAGCCTGGGCAACAAGAGCGAAACTCCGTCTCAAAAAAATACAAAACTTACTGAGAGCTTACCATGTATCAGGCACTGTGATTGATGCTACCATACAACATAGTGCTTATAATTAACAATACTGTAATATATACTTAAAATATATTTTTATTAATAATAAATACAACAGTGCTTTTAATTAACAATACTGTAATATATACTTAAAATATATTTTTATTAATACTTAATAAAAATATTTTTTAAGTATATGTTACAGATAAATCTTACATGTAAGTTTTTAAATCACAAAACAATAGAGGCTGAGAGGAAATTTTGGGCATGATATGTTTATGGCATTGTGATGGGTTCATGGGTGGATACTTATCTCCAAACTCCTCAAGTTGTATACTTTAGATATGTACAGCTTTTTTGTATGTCAATCATACCTCAATAAAGTGCTTTTTTAAAAAAATTAACCAAAATAGACCATATCTTGGGTTATAAGTCAAAATACTAGCACTTTGAGAAGCCAAGGTGGGTGGATCACCTGAGGTCTGGAGTTTGAGACCAGCTGACCAACATGGTGAAACCCTATCTCTACTAAAAATAAAAAAAATTAGCTGGGCGTGGCAGCTTGGGAAGCTGAGGTAGGAGAATCACTTGAACCCGGGAGGCAGAGGTTGCAGTGAGCCAAGATCAAAAAATTAGCTGAGCATGGCTACTTGGGATGCTGAGGTAGAAGAATCGCTTGAACCCGGGAGGGGGAGGTTGCAGTGAGCTGAGATCGTGCCATTGCACTCCAACCTGGACAAGAGCAAAACTCAGTCTCAAAAAAAAAAAAAAAAAAAAGGTCAAAATATATTTAAGAAGCTTAATATCTAGAAAATAAATAATCTGAAAATTAAACATTTCTAAATCATGTCTAAGAAGCTGTTGCAAGAGAAATGAGAATATTTTGAACAGAAGGAAAATGAAAATATATCAAAAGCTGCAGCAAGCAGCTAAACATGCTTAAAGGGTAATTTACAGCATTAAATGTGTATGGGAGGAAAAATATCTTAAATAAAAGATCTTAAGTTTCCATCTTAAGAAACTAGAAAAACAAGAACTAGTTAAACCTAAAGTAAGCTGAAAAGGAAAAAATAAAGAGCAGAAACCAATGAGATTGAAGACAAAACAACAAACAAAGCAACTGCCACTTTGAAAAAATAAGATTGATAAACTTCTATCTAGACTGACCAAAGAACAGAGAAGACACAAATTACTGATATCAGTAATGGCAGGGGACAACACTACAGAACCTAGAATAAAAGGATAATCAATTCATCCAATACAACAACTTAGATGAAATGGACATATTTTTTGAAAGACAAATTACTAACGTTATTTAAGAGGAAAGTCTGAGGTTTGTAAAAGTTAGACAGTCACCATATGACTCAGCAACATATACATCAGAAATGTCCACATGATAACTTGTACATGAGTATTCATAGCATTCATAATAGCCAAAGGGTGAGAACAACCCAAGTGTCCATCAACTATATCCACAGAAAGAGCTATTGTTCGGTCATAATAGGTGAATTGTATGGTGTGCAACAATATCAGTAAAGCTGTTTTCATAAGAAAAAGAAATAGGAAACCTGAATAGTCTCGTATATATAAAGGAAATTGAATTTGTAGTTAAAATCCTCCCTACAAAGAAATCCCAGGCCCGATGGCCTCTTTTGTGAATTCTATCAAATATTTAAGGAAGATGTGATACCAATCCTACCTACTCCAAGAAAATAGAAAAGAATACTGCATAACTCATTTTATGAGGACAGCATTATACCAACACTAAAACCAGACAAAGACATTATAAGAAAACTATAGACCGATATCTCTCATGAATTATGACTGGAAAATCCTTAAGAAAGTATTAGCAGATCAAATCCAGCAATATATTAAAAGGATATATTATGATCAAATAGGATTAGTCTCAAGAATGAGAGGTTGATTTAACAATTGAAAACTAATTTGTGTAATTTATCATATTAACGATCTTTAAATTATTATCTCAATAGATGCAGGAAAAAGGTATTCAACAAAATTCAACACCCATTCATGATTTTTTAAGAGTTAGAACAATATAGGAATAAAAAGGAATTTATTTAATCTGAAAAAGTTATCTATAAGAGCTTTCACCATACTTGATGGTGAAAGACTGAATGCCTTACCACTAAGTTTGGGACGAAGGCAAGGATGGCTGCTCTCACCATTGCCATACAATATTGCAGTGGATTTCAGTAAGTGCAAAATTGTATATTAGACTAGCCAGTCCAATAAAACAAGAAAAGTATGCAGATTGTAACGAAGTAAAATGGTTTTATTTACAGATGATTAAGTAGAAAACATTAAGATTATCTTTTTTAAAAAAAAGCTACTAGAATTAATAAAGGAGTGTAGTAAGGTCACAAAATACAAACATCAGTTGTATTTCCAGCAATTAAAAAATTTGAAATGGAAAATTAATAATATAACAATGTAAAAAGATTTAGAGATACATTTAACAAAATATATGTAAGACATGTATACGAAAAGTTATAAAACACTGCTGGGAAACATTTTTAAAGATCCAAATAAATGCAGAAATATAACATGTTCATAAATCTCAAAACTCAATATTGTTGTCACTTGTCCTCATATCAAATTATATATATCTCAGTCAAAAACACTGAAGGCTTGTGTTTTCCTGTTTAAATTGATGAGCTTAGGTCTACATGGAAACGTGAAGAAAAGAGTTAATACGATTTATAAAAGGAAAACACAACTGGAGGACTTAACACTACTTGACTTTAAGACACATAAAGCTGCATAAAGACAGTGTGGTGTTGGTGTCAATGCCCACAAATATATCAATGGAATGGAATAAGAGTCCGAAAATGCATCAGTGAATATATGGTCACTTGATTTTTGTCCCAGATACAAACAATTCAGTGGAGGAAAGATAGTCTTTTCAACAACCAATGTTGGAAGAAATGGATTTTCCAATAAAATGTATAAACTTTGATCCACACCTCCACGATATGCAAAAATTAATTTAAAATACAGAATGAATCTAAATATAAAACTGAAAAGCATCTAGAAGAAAAAACATGAGAAAATCTGTGTGACCTTGTGTTAGTCAAAGATGTCTTAGTTATGACATCATAAGCATAATCCATAAAAGGAATAATTGATAAGTTGGATTTAAAATTACTACGTGAAAGATAAGAAAATGAAAATACAAACTGGGAACTGGGAAAAACCATTTGCATAGCATATATCTGAAAAAGGTTTTGTAATCAGAATATATAAAGAACCCTGGAAACTCAGTAAACAAAAAACAGCCCAGTAAAAATGGGCAAGACATTTGAACAACACTTCATCAATTCATATAAATGGCTAATAAGCACATGTAAAGATGTGCAGCATCATTAGTAAATAGGGAAATGCAAATTAAGGTCATAATGAAATATCATTATGTGCCTATTAGAATGATGAGAATTTAAATAGACTGATCATGGCCGAGCGCGGTGGCTCATACTTGTAATACCAGCACTTTGGGAGGCCAAGACAGGCAGATCTCTTGAGCCCAGGAGTTCAAGACTAGCCTGGGACGTGGTGAAACCCCATCTCTACTAAAAATACAAGAACTAGCCAGGCATAGTGGTGTACACCTGTAGTCCCAGCTACTCAGGAGGCTGAGGTGGGTGGATCACCTGAGCCCAGGAGTTTGCAGTGAGCCGTGATCACACCACTGCAATAAAGCCTGAGCAAGAGAGCAAGACCCAGTCTCAAAAAAAATAATAATAAGATGAAAATTATTAGACTGACCATATAAAGTGTCGCCAAGAATGTGGAAAAATTCAAACTCTTATATACTACTAGTGGGAATATAAAATAGTACCCAAACTTTGCAAAGCAGTTTGGCAGTTTTTTTAAAAACAGTAAATACAGGCTGGGCATGTTGGCTCCTACCTGTAATCTTAACACTGGGAGACTGAAGGAGGAGAATTACTTGGGTCCAGGAGTTGGAGAACAGCCTGGGCAACATAGCAAGTCTGTCTCTACAAAAAAAAAAAAAAAAAAAAAAAATCCAGGCATGGTGACATGCAACTGTAGTCCTAGTTACTTGGGAGGCTGAGGTAGGAGGATCTCTTGAGCACAGGAGTTCAAGGCTGCAATGAGCTATGATTGTGCCACTGCCCTCCAGTCTGGGCAACAGAACAAGACTCTGTCTTTAAGAGGGGGGAAAAAACAGTAAATACACTGAATGAAAGAAGATAGACAAGAAGAGACAAAAAGGGTACATATTGAATAGTTTCATGTATATAAAATTCTAGAAAATGGAAACTAATGTATAGTGACTGAAAGTACATTAGTGGTTGCCTGGAGAATAGGATAAGGCCAGAGGAGGGAATTAATTAGCATGAGGTAATTTGAGGAGCAAGAAAAATATGCTCATTTTTTACTGTGGAAGCAGTTTCACAGGTGTATACATATGTCAAAGCTTTATCACATTGCACATTTTATATATGTTCAGTTTGCTGTAGGTCAATTATATCTCAGTACAGCTATAGGAATATCATGTTGTATTGCAGTTTCCTTTATTGAGCTTCACAGATATTGCACTTTTTTCAAATTGAAGGTTTGTGTCAACCCTGCATGGAGCAAGTCTGTCAGTGCCATTCTTCCAACGGCATGTGCTCACTTCATGTCTCTGTATCATATTTTGGTAACTCTTGCAATATTTTAAACTTTTACTAATATTTTTGGAGGGAGTTTGGAACTATTAACCACAAAGAATAGTCTTTCCAGGCCAGGCATGGTGGCTTACACCTATAGTCACGGCACTTTGGGAGGCGGAGGTGGGCAGATCACTTGAGCTCGGGAGTTTGAGACCAGGCTGGGCAACAGGGTGAAACCCTGTCTCTACTAAAAATACAAAAATTAGCTGGGTGTGGTGGCACATGCCTGTAGTCCCAGCTACTTGGGAGGCTGAAAGGTGGCAGGATGCTTCGAGCCTGGCAGGCAGAGGTTGCAGTGAGCCGAGATTGCGCCACCACACTCCAGCCTGGCAACAGAGTGAGACCTTGTTTTTAAAAAAAAAAAAGTCTTTCCAGTGTTTGAAGTTGAAGGTGTAAACCCATTGGAGGATATTTCAAAGCATGATATATGTCCCATGGAATATAATAAATTGTGATAGATAACGTAGCATAAGAAGAAAATAATGGATTTCACAGAAAAGGATAATGTATCTATATTGGTGTCATATTGCTCTTTTCAAAGACAAGGAATACATATTTAGTTTCTAGCAGGAAAGCTGACAAGGATGAACCGTTATTGCTGAACCGTTCTCATTGCTGGTTATCCAAATGTCATAGTAATTTGAGTGCTTTATTTTATTATTTATTTAAACTGTTATTTTAGGTTCAAGGGTACATATGCAAGTTTCTTATATTGGTAAATTGCGTGTCATGAGGGTTGGTGTACATATTGTTTTATTACCCAGATAATAAGCATAGTACCCCATAGGTAGTTTTTGGATCCTCACCCTCCTCCCACCCTCTACCCTCAAGTAGGCTCTGGTGTCTGTTCCCTTCTTTAGGTTCGTGTGTAATCAACGTTTAGCTCCCACTTATAAGTGAGAACATTCGGTATTTGCTTTTCTGTTCTGTTGTATTTATTCACTTAGGATAGTGGCCTCTAGCTCCATTCATATTGCTGCAAAGGACATGATCTTTTTCTTTTTTATGGCTGCATAGTATGCCATGGTGTGTATGTGTCATATTTTCTTTATCCAGTCTATCACTGATGGGCATTTAGGTTGAGTCCATCTGTTTGCTATTGTAAATAGTGCTGTGGCGAACAAAGGTGTGCATGTGTCTTTATGGTAGAACAATTCACATTCCTTTGGGTATATACCAAACAATGGGATGCTGGGTCAAATGGTAGTTCTGTTTAAGTTCTTTTTTTTTTTTTTTAATTTGAGATGGGGTCTTGCTCTGTCGCCCAGGCTGGAGTGCAGTGGCGTGATCTTGGCTCACTGCAACCTCCCCCTTCTGGGTTCCAACGATTCTCCTGCCTCAGGCTCCCGAGTAGCTGGGATTACAGGCGCATGCCACCACACCCGGCTAATTTTTTTACTTTTAGTATAGACAGGGTTTCACCCTGTTGGGCAAGCTGGTCTTGAACTCCTGACCTCGTGATCCACCTGCCTCTGCCTCCCAAAGTGCTGAGATTACAGGTGTGAGCCACCGCACCCAGCCCTGTTTAAGTTATTTTGGAAATTGTCAAACTGCTTTCCATAATGTCTGAACTAATGTACATTCCCACCAGTAGTGTATAAGCATTCCCTTTTCTCCGCATCCTTGCCAGCATCTGTTATGTTTTGGCTTTTTAATAATAGCCATTCTAGGGCAAAGTGAGGTGGCGCATGCCTGTAATCCAAGCATCTTGGGAGGCCCAGGTAGGCAGATCACTTCAGTGCAGGAGTTCAAGAACAGCCTGGGCAACACGGTGAAACTCCGTCTCTACAAAAACTACAAAAATTGGGCTGGTGTGGTGGTGTGCACCTGTAGTCCTAGCTAGTAGGGTGTCTGAGGTAGGAGGATCCCTTGACCCCAGGAGGTTGAGCCGAGGTCACACCACTGCACTCCAGCCTGGGTGACAGAGTAAGACCCTGTCAAAAGAAAAAAAAGTCATTCTAACTAGTGTGAGATGGTATCTCCTTATAGTTTGGGTTTGCATTTCTCTAATGTTTAGAGATATTGAGTATTTCTTCATATGCTTATTGGCTGCATGTATGTCTTCTTTTGAAAAGTGCCTGTTCATGTCCTTTGCCTGCTTTTTACCGTAGTTTTTTTTTTTTACTGTTAATTAGTTTAAGTTCCTTGAAGATTTTTGATATTAGACCTTTGCCAGATGAATAGTTTGGAAACATTTTCTCCCATTCTGTAGGTTGTCAGTTTACTCTGTTGATAGTTTCTTTTGCTGTGCAGATGCTCTTTAATTTAATTAAGTCCCATTTGTCAATTTTTTGTCAAACTTTTGTTAATATTATATTGGTTACGGTGATATGTGATCAGTGATCTTTGACGTTGCTATTGTATTTGTTTTGAGGCCCCACAAATTGTGCCCATATAAGATGGTAAAATTAATTGGTAAATGTGTGTGTTCTAACTGCTCCACTGACCGGCAATTCCATCATCTCCCTCTCCTGAGGCCTCCCTGAAACACAGCAATATTGAAATTAGGCCAATTAATAACCCTAAAATGTCCTCTAAGTGTTCAAGTGAAAGGAAGGGTCACACATCTCTCACTTTAAATTAAAAGCTAGAAGTGACTAAGCTTAGCAAGGAAGGTTTGTTAAAAGCCAAGATAGACTAAACGCTAGGCCTCTGGTACCAAGCAGCCAAGTTTTGAATGCAAAGGAAAAGTTATTGAGGGAAATTAAAAGTGCTACTCCAGTGAACACATAAATGGTAAGAAAGCAAAACAGCCTTATTGCTGATACAGAGAACGTTTTAATGATCTGGATAGAAGATCAAACCAGTCACAACATTCCCTTAAGACAAAGCCTAACCGAGAACAAGGTGCTAACTTTCTTTAATTCTATGAAGTCTGAGAGAGGTGAGGAAACTTGCAGAAGAAAAGTTGGAAGCTAGCAGAGGTTGATTCATGAGGTTAAGGAAAGAAGCCATCTCCATAACATAAGAGTGCAAGGGGAAGAAGCAAGGGCCGATGTAGAATCTGCACCAAGTTATCCAGGAGATCTAGCTATGATCATTAATGAAGGTGGTTACATTAAACATCAGATTTTCAATGTAGACAAAACAGCCTTCTATTAAAAGATGATGGCTTTTAATACTTAATCGCTAGAGAGGAGAAGTAAATGACTGGCTTCAAAGCTTCAAAGGACAGGCTGACTCTCTTGTTAGGGGCTAATGCAGCTGGTGACTTTCAGTTGAAGCCAATACTCATTTACCATTCTAATGATCCTAGAGCCCTTAAGAATTAGGCTAAGTCTACTCTCCCCATGCTCTATAAGTGAAAAAATAAAGCCTGGATGTAAACAGCACATCTGTTTACAGCATGGTTTACTGAATATTTTAAACTCATTGTTGAGCCTACTGCTCAGAAAAAAAGATTCCTTTCAAAATATTACTGCTCATTGACAATGCACCTAGTCATCCAAGAGCTCTGTT